>NW_025791792.1:0-300000 GCF_000001405.40 Homo sapiens
AAGCTTCTGCCTGGACATTCAGGTGTTTCCGTAAATGTTCTGAAATTGAGGCGGAGGTTCCAAAACCTCAGTTCTTGACTTCTGTGCACCCACAGACTCAACACCACATGGAAGTTGCTAAGGCTTGGAGCTTCTACCCTCTGAAGCCACAGCCTGAACTCCACGTTGGGCCCCTTTCAGCCACAGTTGGAGAGGCTGGGATGCAGGGCACCAAGTCCCTAGGTTGCACACAGAACAGGGATCCTGGGCTCAGCCCACAAAACAATTTTTTCCTCCTGGGCCTCCAGGTTTCTGATGGGAGGGGGTGCCGTGAAGGTCTCTGACATGGCCTGGAGATATTTTCCCCATGGTCTTGGGGATTAACATTAGGCTCCTTGCTACTTAAGGAAATTTCTGCAGTCAGCTTAAATTTCTCCTCAAAAAATGGGTTTTTCTTTTCTACTGCATCATTGGGCTGCAAATTTTCTGAACTTTTACGCTCTGTTTTCCTCTTTAACAACAACAAAAAATCTTTTTGAGACGGAGTCTTGCTCTGTCACCCAGGCTGGAGTGCAGTGGCGCAATCTTGGCTCACTGCAACCTCCACCTCCCGGGTTCAAGTGATTCTCCTGCCTCAGCCTCCCTAGTTGGGATCACAGGCATGAGCCATTATGCCCAACTAATTTTTGCATTTTTAGTAGACACGGGGTTTCTTCATGTTGGCCAGGCTGGTCTCGAACTCAGCCTCAGGTGATCCACCCACCTCAGCCTCCCAAAGTGCTGGGATTACAGGTGTGAGCCACTGTGCCCGGCCTATTTCCCTTTTAAAATGGAATGTTTAACAGTATCCAAGTCACCTTTTTAATGCTTTGCTGCTTAAAAATTTCTTCTGCCAGATACCCTAAATCATCTCTCTGATGTTCAAAGTTCCACAAATCTCTAGGGCAGAGGCAAAAATGCCACCAGTGTCTTTGCTAAAACATAACAAGTGTCACCTTTGCTCCAGTTCCCAATAAGTTCCTCATCTTCATCTGAGACCACCTCAGCCTGGACCTTATTGTTCATATCACTATCAGCATTTTTGTCAAAGCCATTCAACAAGTCTCTAGGAGGTTCCAAACTTTCCCATGTTTTCCTATCTTCTTCTGAGCTCTCCAACCTGTTCCAATCTCTGCCTGTTACCCAGTTTCAAAATTCCTTCCACATTTTCAGGTATCTTTTCAGCAATGCCCCACTCTTGGTACCAACTTCTGTATTAGTTCATTTTCACACTGCTGATAAAGACATACCCAAGACTGGGAAGAAAGAAAGGTTTAATTGGACTTACAGTTCCACATGGCTGGGGAGGCCTCAGAATCATGGCAGGAGGCAAAATGCACTTCTTACATGGTGGCAGCAAGAGAAAAATGAGGAAGAACCGAAAGTGGAAACCCCTGATAAACCCATCAGATCTTGTGAGACTTAGTCACTATCATGAGAATAGTGCGGGAAAGACTGGCCCCCATGATTCAATTACCTCTGCCTGGGTCCCTCCTACAACACATGGGAATTCTGGGAGACACAATTCAAGGTGAGATTTGGGTGGGGACACAGAGCCTGACATCACTTTTCTTTATAGAAAATGGGCATTCAGCCTGAAACCACCAAGCAGCTCAGAGATGCTAACATCCTGAAGGAGAGCAAACGCTCCATCAGTAGAGAAAGACAAAGGCAATGTGCTCAAGCTATCAGGTTTAATAGAGGATTTGGAGGACAGATCTGGAAATCTCAACGCTTTTTCTAGTGAGCCACAAAAGGAAAGAATAGAGAGAATGGAAGAGAGGCCATATTTTCAGAACCGAAAACATGACGTCTTTGTTAGGCTCAAAGCTTTCAATGAGTGCCAAGACAGGCCAAGCAAAAATACACCCAAGAGAAAGAGAAAACCTCAAAGCCACCAGAAAGACAAGGCAGTTCACCCACAAAGGCATGAGAACCAGACAGGTATCTGGTTTCTCATTAGTAACACTGGATGCAGCAAGATGGTGCCATGGTATTTTTCAAAGCGCTGAGGGAAGGTAAATCAACACAGAATTCTATTCTATTCCAACCAGACTGTCATTTAAGAGTGACAAGGACATTTCTGACATACAGGGACTGAGAAGGTCACTTCCCACAGATCCTCTGTGAATGAGCTACTAACAGAGGTGGCCAGCGGCCAAGTGCAGTCACACGCATGCCATAATGGTGAGCAAAGAAATGGGTGACATGCCCTGGTTTTTTTGTTTTGTTTTTTGTTTTTTTGATATGGAGTCTCACTGTGTTGCATAGGCTGGAGTGCAGTGGCATGATCTCGGCTCACTGCGACCTCCGCCTCCCAGGTTCAAGTGACTCTCTGGCCTCAGTCTCCCGAGTAGCTGGGATGACAGGCATGTACCACCAAACCCAGCTAGTTTTCGTATTTTTAGTAGAGACGGGGTTTCATCATGTTGGCCAGGCTGGTCTCGAACTCCTGACCTCAGGTGATCCGCCCACCTCGACCTCCCAAAGTGCTGGATTACAGGTGTGAGCCACCGTGCCCGGCCTACATGCCCTGTTATATCCGAATAAGAAACGCACCTAACAGAAATCCACAGGTCACAATACAGAAGTTGCTAACTTTAGCGACTCAATCCTTCGTGGTTAGTGCCTGTTGGTCTTATTTAAGAAAACCCTTCTCTGCCCTGGGATCAGGAATGCTGTCTTCTGAATTATTTCCTAAAAGCTCTGCAATTTTGCCTTCTGCCTTTACATTTTGAATCCACCCAGAACTGGTGTATGAAAGTGGCATGAAGTAGGGGGTCTGACTCCATTTTATTTCACAGATCTTGCTGCTTGGCCCAATATCATGTACTAAAATGGCAACTGTTCCCCACCCTGTCATCTCTACAGTCTCTGTGTTGTTCCCTGGACTATTTATTGTCTTACTGTAGACAACAGTCTGTAGACAACAGTGTTGATAGTCCTGATATCTTTTTTTTTGTTGAGATGGAGTTTCGCACTGTCACCCTGGCCGGAGTGCAATGGCACGATCTTGGCTTGCTGCAACCTCCGCCTCCTGGCTTCAAGCGATTCTCCTGCCTCAGCCTCCCAAGCAGCTGGGATTACAGGCACCCGCCACCATGCCCAGCTAATTTTTTGTATTTTTAGTAGAGACGGGGTTTCACTATGTTGGCCAAGCTGGTCTCAAACTCCTGACCTCTTGATCCACCCACCTCGGCCTCCCAAAGTGCTGGGATTACAGGCATGAGCCACCGTGCCCAGCCCTTTTTTTTTTTTTTTTTTTTTTTTTTTTTTTTTTTTTGAGACAGAGTCTTGCTCTGTTGCCCAGGCTGGATGGAGTGCAATGCTGCGATCTCGGCTCACTGCAATCTCCACCTCCCGGGTTCTAGCGATTCTCCTGCCTCAGCCTCCTGAGTAACTGAGATTACAGGTGCCTGCCACCACACCCAGCTAATTTTGCATTTTTAGTAGAGGTGCGGTTTTGCCATGTTAGGCTGGTCTCAAACTCCTGAAATCAAGTGATCCTCCTGCCTCAGCCTCCCAAAGTGCTGGGATTACAGGTGTGAGCCACCTGGCCTTGATATCTATTTGAGCAAGCTTTCACATTTTGTGCTGCTTTTACAAGAATGTCTTGACTCTTCCTAGCTATTCAGAATTAACTTATCAAGCTTTACAAAAAACAGTACAACAAAACGGGGCTTGCTGGGACTTTGGGATTATACTGACTAAATTAATTTGAGAGAAGCTGACATCTTTACATATTGACTATTTCAATCCATGAACATTGTACATCTCCACCCTCCATCCCCACAAGACCACCTGGACTGAAGCTTAACTTTGCTGCAATAGCCTCTCTGGGTTCGCCTTTCCTTTGTCATCTTTTCAAAAACTCCAGGAAGAATTTAAAAACATGATATCCATCATTTTGGGCTGTTTTCAGTGAGATGGTCTCAATAAATCCACCTTGCTGGATTTCTGGGATGAGGTGTCCCCTTTCAAGAGAGGATACAGGCCTCAGAGGTATAGCAGTACCTATCAGTTCTGCCCACGCACACCCTGTAAGGGGCCAGCTGTGCTGTGGCCACATCAAGGGGCTCTGGAGGCTCCTGTGAGGGGGCCGCCTGAGCTGCTGTAAACCCACCCCTTGGGGCTGTGCACCTGCTCCAGTGAGTGTCTGCAACACAGAGACACCCCTTGGCTTCTAATGACCTCTGGCCAAAGCTCTCCTGGGAGAGGCCTCGGGACTCTGCCAGCACTGGTTGATGTGCCCAGGTCCTGTGGTCCCCACTGAGAGGACTGAGGCTCTGCGGGCAGAGGAAGGTTCAGTCCTGCTCCCCCTCCCCGTGGAGCCTGTGACTGGACACACTTTCTCTGAGCTCACTCTCTTGGGTGGGACCAGCTGCATCCCTGGAGCCTGTGACTGGACACACTCCGAGCTCACTCTCTCGGCTGGGACCAGCTGCATCCCTGGAGCCTGTGCCCACACACACTCTCTCTGAGCTCTCTCTCTCAGCTGGTACCAGCTGCATCCCCCTGGCTCCATTTCCTCTCCATAGTCAAGGAGAACATGTCTACAGCATCATGAGGAAGAGCTTAATGATGAGGTGTCTGTGCTGAAGACCATCCTGCCTCTGTGGGTCCTTACCTGGCCCTTGGCCCTGCCCTCTGAGACTCTGGGGCCAAGGGCTGAGTCTCAGCTCCTGAAACTTTTCTCTTCCCATGCCCCAGCCCTGGATGCAGGATCCAGCTGGGGCCCTGCTGTCCTTCCCTCTGGAACCCTGGTCCTGGGCCTTGGGAGTCCCTGGCCCACCAGAAAGGACCCTGACCCATCGCTACATGCCCGGCCTGGTGGGCCAAGTGCATTCTGTCAGGGCTCCTCCAGCCCTGCTGACGCCTGGACGCAGCCGTCGGGGTGAACCCGTCTCCACGGCCAGGCTCAACAGAGGGAAGGGGCTTGGTCTGGGTTGGGAGCCAAGAGGCAGTAGAAAGCCCAGAGGCTGTCGCCATTCACTGAGGGTGGAGGGATGGGGCAGCCTGGGTGGGTCCTCACCTGTTCCAGAACTCAGGACCTGGCCTTCTGGCCCAGGTTCTCTGCACTCAGCAACTTGTGCGAAACTTTATCCTGCAAGGGGTGATTGTGGTGTTTGTGGGAAGCGAGCAGCTCTCTGGCCACAACTTTCCCTCGGTTCTGGGTGACCCTGGGGACCTCCCTCCTCATTTCCCCCGAATCTGCTCCCTAGCTGAATGGAGGCCATCGAGGTCTTCAGGACCCTTCCAGCCTCTTCTGGGGCCCAGAACAGGCACTGAGGAGGCAGAGGGAGCCGGCCTGGGGCAGCAGGGCCTGGAGTGGTGTATGGTGAGTCAGCAGAGAAGGCCAAGTCTCACCCACTCCACAAAGCGAGCAGGGGCCGTGGGGAGGGCCCTGGGGGAGCCTCGGGTCCTCCGAGAGGCGGAGCCCACTGCAGCCCCTCCTGCCTGCACTGGGGCAAACGCCTCACGCTGGGCACAGCTCAGCCTGCCGGTCATAATCACAAACCCGTGTCATGCCTCGAGGAAACTCATGCTGAGTTTGTGACGTCTGCACTGACATTTTCGCTGTTTCTCACTTTTCCATTTTATCTTAAGTGAGCTTTATTGCTTTAACTTTAGTGATACCTGACAGTTAACAGGCACAGGAGATAAGTTTCTTTCAGTGACACTGCAAATGAGTAAGAAGGGGTTTCCTACGGGGTCAGGTGTCATGCTTTGCACAGCGATGCCCACCAGCACGTTCAAGGGAAGGCAGATGTTTCAAGCCTGACTCTCACACTCAGCAGTGAGGCCGGCTCTGTGTCGGGGAGTGTGGCACCAGCATTTTATTTTTGAGGCTAGAAATTTAAGGTAACAAGGCCTTTGCCAAGCTCTGGGAAAAGCCACGCACCGGCAGGCCTTCCTTTTCTGTTCCCTACCTGGCACTTTCTGTTTTGAGTAAAACTTGGTATCAAGGTTTTGCTCCCAAAACCGTTGCTCTGCAGAAATCTACAGTTCAAAGAGACGCTTTGAACACTGTTTTCAAAACTAAAATCCAAGAAAAGTGTCCGCCCTTTGCTCAGCGGCAGGAACCAGGCTGAGAGGGCTCTTCTCCACTCCAGCTGGGAAGGAGGGATCTGGGAGCCGCGTTTGGGACCCCCCCCAGCCTGGGGCACCCTGCTGGTGCTGCGGGTCCCTTTAGTCTCGGAGGCCCCGGGGACGGGGACCAGGGGACCTCGTTCATTTCAGCACTTCCTGGGGCCACCGCGCAGGGCTGAGCCTCCCACCCACACAGAGCACTTCCAGTGGGGTGCGGGGCGCCGGAGGGGCCGCGGCAAAGGCCCCAGAGGACACGCAGGGCCCGGGCCACCCCCTGCAGGGTCTCTGCCCGTTTCTCCAACCAAGGGTCGCTGGGAGGTTTGGGATGCACCGCGGTCTGACTGGGTCCCAGGCCGCCTTCCGCTGGGAGGGAGCAGGACCCCGCCTCGCAGCCCCTTCCCACCCCCGAAGCGGGTCCCCAGGACCGGCCCTGCTCCTCTCACCGGCACCCGCGGCGCCCCGGCCTGCAGCACCCCAGGGTGGGCGCTTCCCGTGTCTGGGTGGGGAGGCGAGGAGGGCCCTAGAACCCCCCCCGCCCCCGCCCTGCACACCCCCCCGCCCCTCCCCAATCTCATCCCCCAGCGAGGGCCTGGGATGCTGCGGCAGGGTGGAGGGAAAGAGAAGTCGTCTCTTTCGGAGCCAGGTAACCATGGAAACCTCGAGAAGGCTGGAAACCCCCGGAGTTCAGGGACCCGCAGGCGGCCAGCGACCCCCTCACCCCTCAGCGCAGCGGCCCCCGGGGGGTCCGCACGATGGATGCGCGCGTGGGAAGCTACTTTCCCCGAGTTCATTAAATGAGCTCTGAACAAGCCTATCCGGAAGAAGTTCCTTGGTAAGTCCCAACACGAACAGCCAGGAAGCCTCTAGAAGGAGAAGCCGGGCGCGGGCCAGGCCTGCGGGAATGCAGGAGGAGGGGGTGCCGGGAAGGCCAGGCCGGGCCCAGGGATCCGGGGGCTGCGAACGCGCCGCACAGTGAGGGTCGGTCCATCCTGCGCAGCGGGCCTGGTGCCTCCAGTGGGGTCCGTGATGAAGGGCAAAAAAAAAAAAAAAAAAAAAAAGGAAAATACGTGAGAGAAGAGCCTTTCAAACCTGAATGTGGAAAAACTTTCCTAATGATAAACAGAAATCCAGGAACGATAAGGAAAAAGATGAACACGTGACAACATTAAAAAAGAAAATTTTACACGGGACAAAATCATTAGCAACATAAACAAATGATAAAGCAGGGAAAGAACGTGCAGTGTATATCGCGCAGTTACCGTCTATAACGTGAAAAGAGCCGAGGAGACAAAAGAAAAAGGCAGCCCCACGGGAAACACGGGCCCGGAATGCAAGGCTGTGCTCAAACTCGCTCCTAAAAAAAGAAATCCTGACTGGGCGCGGTGGCTCACACCTGGAATCCCAGCACTTTGGGAGGCCGAGGCAGGTGGATCATGAGGTCAGGAGATCGAGACCATCCTGGCTAACACGGTGAAACCCCGTCTCTACTAAAAATACAAAAAAATCAGCCGGGCGTGGTGGCGGGCGCCTGTAGTCCCAGCTACTCGGGAGGCTGAGGCAGGAGAATGGCGTGAACCCGGGAGGCGGAGCTTGCAGTGAGCCAAGATCGCGCCACTGCACTCCAGCCTGGGTGACAGAGTGAGACCCTGTCTCAACAAAAAAATAAATAAATAAATAAAATTAAAAAATAAAAATACAAAAAATAAAAAATAAAGAGATCCTAACTGCAGCTGCACCAAGACAGCACTGGGACAGAGAGGCCAGACCGGCGATGGGGACGCCCGGCGATGGGGACGCCCGGCGATGGGGACAGGGCACCAGGAAGCAGGTTGGGATTTGGGCAGGGGAGGCGGGTCCATCTTTGCTCAGGAGTCCCACGCCCAGGGGTCTTTTCCACAGAAGAACTGATGCCATCAGTCATAGCCACAGAGGTAACGGCTGGAAGTTTGCTGTGGAGTCAACACTGCAGAAAGGCCACATTCAGGTGGAGGCAGGGAACCGGCGGGCATGCCTCGGGGGTTGGGCAGCAGAGAGGGGGCAGACACCCCACCGTGTCCATGGACGCTCCAGCAACGCGTCCGTGCCCGGGTGCCAGGGTGGCTCGGGGTCTCTAGAGTGCTGCTCACATTTATGGGCGCTTTGCTCCCTAAGCATGAGCCAGTCATCACTAGGGGCTCAGACTCCTGAGATGGGGGTGCCACGGTCCCAGTGGGCTCTCTCAGAACGGGGTCGTGTTCCACGCTCACTCCCAGATGGAAATGGCCTGGAAATGAAAAGGCACCACAGAACCACCCAGTGGGGAGAGGGTGCCTGGGCTGGAAGAGCAGACCCACGCCCACTGCCACTGTTGAGGGAGGAGCACCTGGGACTTCCCTCCTCTAATTCAATCTGGGAAGCAAAGGCCAGGCTTGGTCTGAAGGTGTAAGGTTCCTGCTCCCAGTCTGTTGACGAGTGAACTCTGATTCTGACTGATTCGTTACTCCTGCGTATTGTGAATTAAGTTAAAAAATACTCGGGAACAAACATGGTAAACCTTCCCTTAAAGGACTTTATTTCTCTATTTTTATATGGATCATTTATTAAATTAGAAGACTAAAAAGTAAAAATATATTTTACAATCAAAGAAAAATCTGGACAATGGACCCCAGTAAAATAATCAGAAGCGCACGTTCTGAGACCACTCCTGCCTGGCACCCTGCAGGGTAGCGCCCAGGGAGCATCTGCAGAGGGGAGAGGAGAGGAGGGGGAGCCTCCGGCGACCTGTCTTCTATCTCCGGAGCCCCGCCTGAGGCTCCAAGATGGCACAGTCAGGCTGTCCTTAGTGACCGCTGCCACGGAGCTGGCGATCGGCCTGCATCTTCAAACCCAGGAGCAGGAGCAGCAGAGGCTGGCAAGGCCTGGGCCCTCAGACACCAGGGGCCTAAACCCAGCTCCCAAACCCACTGCAGCCTCCCCTTGTGAGCTGGCAGACAAGCCTGTCCTTCTGAGTGTGACGACCTCATCCACACCTGACACAGGCGGGGGCGGGGGAGGGTGGGGGTTGTGAACCAGCTAATTCTGGGGACCGCTCGGAGGGGCTCAGCAAGCTGCTTCTACAGTAAGCCACTTCTACAGTAAGCCTTCAAACAGGAAATAAAGCATAAAATGAAGGAAAGAAGAATCTTATTTAATTAAAGGCCTTGCAAAATGTGATTTGTCTATTAAAAAAATAAAGCGCTTGTGAAAAAGAAAACTAAGAGATGGCGGCAAGCGTGGTCATCGGCAAAGGGTTGCTCTCCCTCCAGCGAGGCTGGCCCCCACTGTGTGGGTCCCTCGGGCCCCCACACGGGCTGCTCAAGGGCTGGCAGCAGGGGCCACGTCCTCTCTAGGAGACACCCACAGAGCCACATGTGCACGCGTGTGGCAGTCTCACTGCACCCCAGCAACGCGAAGGCAGAAACCGGTGCTGGTGGCCACACCTGGGCGCCTGGACACCGAAGCCCCCAGCACAGTGAGGCCTCTGAGTGTGGCTTGTGGTCTGTCCTGGGTTAGAGTTGTTAATATCACGGAACATACCATCTAGAACGTTCCAGTCCCGCCTGACACCTTCATTCCCAATGGAGAAGAAATCTACACAGGCGTAAGACCAGGCCATCTGAGACAGGGAATCCCAGGGGCCCCTCCGTCTGAGTGGTCGGCGTCTGCTGAACAAATACCATGTCTTTCTTCTTCAAAGGATCAAAGGCCTTTAGGACCCACAGCTGAAGAAGGCGCCTGCTGCCAGCATGTCCCTCCCCCACGGCCACCACACACTTCAAGTTTACAAAAATAAATATTTATCAACAGTATATTTGACAAAAACCACCCCCAATCGATGGCAGAAAGCAGTATTTTCTAGCTGGCACTGAAACTTAACCTATTTTTTTGAGGGAGAAAAAGACTAAAATGTAAGCACTAACTTCCTCCTTCTGCATCTTCCACAGAAGACCCACTTGTGGGCATTCTCTTTCTGTCCGTTATCAGTGGGTTTACATCCGAAGGCCGGCGGCAAGACACTTGAACCACAAACACCAGACATGCAGGTGTCTCAATGGCATGCAGATTATTTAAAGTGCATCACTTGTGAGAAGCTTCTCAAATTTCTGACTGTCATAACCAGGTGTCACCTAAAATCTGTCCTGTAGGCCAAGATGCTACACGCAGCGCCCAGGCAGTCAGAGGTAAGTGAGCGCCTCCCGCCTCAGAAAGCTTTTACAGGGCCACGCTCGCCAGGCTTTCCTCGCCCACGCTGAACCCACGTCCTGGGCACAGCAGCTCCCAAGCTGTCAGCAGTCGGCTGGCAGTGCCACCACACCCTCTCGGAATCATGCACAGTGCTGCCTCTATCACCTCTCACCCCAGCCTCGCAAGGCCTGTTGAGAAGAGAAGCTCCCTGGGAGGACACCCACGGAGCTGGCACGAGCGCAGCAGGAGAGACGGACGGCAGCCTCCGGCGGGCGAAGGACCCGGCTTCAGATGCCCGCTGGCTGGCAATCAGGCAGAGCCTGGCCAACCGTGCCAGGCCCCCTTCCTCACTCCAGGTGTGGGTTCATTCTGCCTTCAGGCCGGAGTCTGTCACAAGGCTGGCTGGACAGTGGCCAGGTGAGCCAGGCCAGAGGCCGGCCCCACACCATCCACAGGAAGCTGCTCAGCTCACCAGACCCAAGCCCTGGGCAGGGGCCAGGCTCACAGCAAAGCGCGTTAGGGCAAGGGCGTGAGTTTTCGTCTGGGAAGTTCTAAAAAAAACCCACAGTGTGAGGGATTGTGTGTGCCTTAAATCAACAGCTCTATTCCAATTACATCACATCACAAAATGCCATGAATGGAATCGGAAGGCGCTCCACCACCTCCAACACCCTGGCAGAAGCAGCTGCTCTCTACAGCAAGAGCATTTTCCAGAACGGCATGAGAAGGAGAGACGCACGTCCCAGGGACAGGAGAGCGCGCTGAGACCTCCCAGCACGAGATGGGAGGGGAGCCCCCGCCCCGTCCTGGACCGCCAGGAACCGAAAACCCACATGCACCCAAGAACAGGTGTGGACGGGGCGGCACAGAAGTCCACGGGAGGGGGCGACACGGGTGCTCTTTCACGGGAATCTTGTTGGGACAGCATTCCTTGGGGAGCGCCGGGTCGGCGTGTCCAAAGAGCGGGGGCAAAACGGCATCGAGGCAGAGGCTCTATGGCTCCTCCCCCATCTGCAGCAGGGAGTTGATGGCGGCATCCTTGTTCCCTCGCTGGGCTTCCAGCACGGAGCGGATCACCTCCTGGTCCATGTTGGGGAACATGTCCTGGATGGCTTTCAGGTCCTCCTCGCTACAGCGGGGCTGGGCGTTCACGGCGGCCGGGGGCAGGGCCACGGGCACCATGCCGGGGCTACAGACAGCGGGCATCCCTGGAAGCAAAGATCAAGTTTGGTAAAAACGTCGGAAAGTTCCAGAAGTGCCACACTAGCTCCTGCTGAAGGAAGAAAACAACGCATCCCACCGGCCTCCCTGAGGAAGGGGCCACCTCGGGTCTCAGCAAACACCAGTCCCGCAAGACACCCTGGAAAGGCAAACCCCCAAACAGCAACCCCAGGCACAGCCACGGGGAAGGTGGGCAGGGCCCTCTGTGACGCCTCCTTCACTAACTCATCTTCCTTCCATATAAAAATCAAAGTTTGATCTTTCAAATCTCACCCGAGTCTGTTTTATAACTAGCAGGCTGGGGGTGGTGTTTTGATCCCTTCAGAACTCGTGAATTTGCACTGCACACGCTCGTCTTCACTGACCAGTGGGCTCACAGAGTCCTCTGCATCTGGGGACGGACTACACGGAATGTCACGCCCGCTGATCCAAACACTGCACGGTCTGAGCCTCTTCCTTTATCAGGCATTCTAGAAGATGCTTTTGCAGCTTGGCAAGTGTGTCACTAAACTGTGTGCCGGTGGGGAACAATCACCACAGGCACTGAAGACCTCAGCAAAGCTGCAGCCGATGCCCAGAATGACAACCCCACACACACATACAAACTACACCAAGAAAATGCTCACAAAACTCAAACAAGTGGGGCAGCAGGTGCGGTGTACAGTGGACCCTCAGTGCACTGGGGCCACCGTCCAGGGTTCCTGGCATCTCCACCCCACAGCTACGCAGGCCCCTCGCCCCATGTCTGATGCGGGAGGACACACTGAGATGCAATCTATCGAGCAGGAGACGCACGGCGGTTCAGCCACTGCAGCACACACACCCCTGAAGGCACCGTGTGGCCGGACTTAAGACTCGCCTCCCAGCCTGGTGGCCGCTCCCTAAAACCACGAGCAGCCCTGAGCACAGGCAGCGTGCGCGGGGCTCAGCGACCAGTGAGGCACAGAGCACAGGCAGCGTGCGCGGGGCTCGGCGACCAGCGAGGCACAGAGCTCCTCCTGCAGCAGCAGCTGCAGCAGTGCAAGGGTTCACTGCTCACCCGTTCATTCACCTTTAAAAGCACGAACCATCTCCCAGCTAGGATCACTGGAGCGCTAGAGCCCCAATCTTAGGATAGGACTTTTGTTCCTTTCTACACTTGGAGGATCCTAAAGGCAGCAGAAGCCACTTCAATCCTGGCCTGAACCAACACCAGCAACAAGACCTGCAGGGGTGTAAACGGAGCAGACAGGGCTTGCCACCAAGCCTCCTGCACCTGCTGCAAAGGCCAGGACTCCTCAGCAAGGAAGGCCACCGCTTCCCGGCTCCTTCTAGGCCAGGCCGACTCTTCCTCCACACCCACCCCTGCCTCCTCTGCTTCTCGGCTCTCTCAGGGCCAGGCCCACCTTTCCTCCACACCCACACCTGCCTCTTGTCCTGGCCACTGGACACCTCACCTCACTGGGGAAGCATCATCCCCATGCTCATCAGCCTTTCGGCAATGACGGAAAACGAACCGAACCATGGCCAGGTGGGGACGTGGCCACCCTCACCACCCTTTCTTCTTCCTCAAACAAGACAAAGGCTTGGGCGCTGTCTGTCCTGGAGGGACCCCTGGGATCCCCGTGGCTTTTTGGGCGCCCCGGCTGGCAGGCGGGCAGGAACTTGGCCATCACCTGTCCCTGCCCATACAGCTCCCCACAGCATGGCAACAAGAGGAATGGGGCTCGGCCATCGCCTGTCCCTGCCCACACGTCTCCCCACAGCGTGGCAACATGAGGAACGGAGGCACCGTGCTCCCACTCTCTCCAGCCTTTACCAGTCTGATGGGGAAGGGACAGGAGGAGGGGAACTGCTGCAAAATCGATGACGGTGGCTGTGACGCTGCGACGTCACGGCCTGGGGTGTCCCGAGAAACCTGCTCTGCTGACAATGAGGGGATGTGGCGCCGACTGGCCCTCAAGTGAATCCCAACAGCACGGCCCCAACACACTCACTTGGGGAGCAGGCACCCCCGGGGGAAGAGGTGGGTGCTTCCACGGTGTGGGCTGAGGGGCAGTGGCCTGGCTCACTCCCCTCCTTCCTGCAGGGCAGAGGCCATGTGCCTGGCCTGAGCCGGCCCATCCTGGTTACCAAGCACGGATGTGTCCATCAAGCCCTCCGGGAACGGTGAGCGTATGTGTCAAGGCTGCCTGGGGACTTCAGGAGGACAGACCAGGAGCTCTGGGGCCTGGCGGAGAGCAAAGTCCCCAAAATGTGGGCAGAGAGGACGCCATGGGAGCCCGGGGCAGCCCAGAGCCCACCTGTAGCGGCCCTGGGAGGAGTGATGGGCGGCTTTGCTGTGTCCCTGCCATCTGCCGCGCTCAGCCCCACCAGCCACCTGCACGCACGCGGACGGATGTGCAGCACAGGACAGGCCCCACCTCACGTTCTTCACGCCGTGTGAATCTGCTGTCATATCTTGGCAAAATCAAATTCTCTACTGACAAACACAAGGATACCCAGGAAAACCAAAACTTGTCCCTTTTCCATTCAGGAAAAATTGCTCCGAGAAGGCCCTGATCTCAGACCACGCAGCATGGTAAGTCCCGGCCGCCGGTGGGCAGGGGAGCATCAGCCCTGCTCAGGCTGAAGGCATGTGGCCCTGGGCTCCAGACGTCTCGCACCACAGTGGAAAGACATCCAAAGAGCAGGTGGGGACGACCGTCCAGCTCAGAGACTGTTCCGGAACTCCCAAGGCTTGTTGCTGCTTCTCACTCCACAGAGCGTTATCACAAAGAAGAAAACCTACGTGATTCTTTGTTTCAAAGCGACCAAGTTAGCGGGTTAATAAACACAACAGCAGAGAGTTCCATGTGATAGTTTGTCTCGGAAACTTTTAAGCATCCAATTCTCATTTTGAATGGAACCATTTCGTATTTTAAATGGCATGTGCTGCTCAGCTGCAAACTCCCTATTCGCTGGAATTCCACGTGCGAGGGGAAGCATGCCTGGGCCGCTGGGTGAGCCCTTGGCTGGCCCTCTCTGGAACTCACAGGCGCTGCGAACGCCGGCTGCTCCCGTGCATGGTGCCACCGCGTGCACGTTCTCTATGGGCCTCCCCCTTGTCCATCCCAGCAGCGGCGTCCACCTGCGTGTTTTGCTTTCATACTTTGTGGACGGGCATTCATGTCCTGGTCTGGTTGGCTCCACAGAAACCAGTGGGGGTTGTGCCCACAGAGACGCAGGCCAGGATGACGGGAGGGACTGCGCCGGTGAGGACGTGGGGGCAGCAGAGAAAAGAGAGAAGCACTCCAGGCCCGTGTGAAATGGAGGTGCACGAGGGAACAGATGGAAACAGCGTCAACGGGCAGCTGCAGCCACGGTGAGCACAGAATGAGCTCATGCACACCCTGGTGCTGCCTATGCGGGCCAGGCTGGGGAGGCGCCGGACGCCCCACTTTCCAGGCCGATTCTCCTCCCACCACCAAGCAGAAGGAGGTGGAAAGCAACAGGAGGAGGGAAAGTGAGGAGGGCCCCAGAGGACAGCGCGGCCGGCACCACCTTCCACCTCAGCGCCTGTCAGTCTCGTGGGGACCCTCAGGGCAGACCCCTGGCAGTGGCTGCAGCCCGAGTGCCCCTCTGTGCCAGGGACAGCTGAAGGGACAGTGCAGGCAGGGCTGAGGCCCAGTGGCACCCGCGCTGGTCTCTCACGCACGAAGAACGCACGGGAAATTGAGCAGTTGGCTGCTGTTGCCAGCCTGGCGGAGAGTCTCTGTCCACTCTGCAGCTCCGTGGAAGAGAACATGCTTCATGAGGCCACGCGGTCTCCAGATGCTTCACGCCTAGATGTTTCCTTAAAATTGAGGCTAAAAAACCCCCTATAACCACATGATGCCTACCACGAATTATTTGAAATCTGTAAAGTATCTAATTTGGTAATCAAAATAATACTTTGTTTAAAAAAATCAAAACTTAAAACTGTTCTCTTCGGGCCATGATCATGGCGTAAAAGCTTTAATAATCAAGCTGTGCTTCGTGTTCCAGCCTCCCTTCCTCACTGATGCGGTCACACTTTATTTTTGTGAAGGAGATGGTCTGACCTCAGCGCCCCGGCTTCTGAGTTGCTTTGTGGGGGACTCTGGTTTTTCACTGAGGAAAGTGGACGGTCCTCGTGAGGGCTCAGCCAGCATTCAGCCCTCAGTCTCCAGCTTGCACTCTCCATAGAGGTGGCAGCTGGGCTCAGACACCACGGGAGGCTCTCGGGGCCTGAGCCCACCTAATGTGCACAGTGAGCCCCCGAGACCTGCACCCTGTGCGGGGGTCTCTGGGCAGCGATCAGCAGGCGACAGCTGAATGAACGAGCGGCTGAAGGGGCTGGCGAGAAGCAGGGCCCTAAGAAGCCGGGCTCTCCTTTCCTGGCCCACTCCGGCAGCCCCGTCTCACCAGAGGGCTTGGCCAGGCCGCCCTGCGTGCACACAGGCCCGAAGCCACGCAGCCAGCACCGCGTAGCCAGGCAGAGCACGCGGCACAGGCTTCTCCACCATGTGAGTCATAAACACTTGAAACTGTGGGCGACACACATGCTCTGGCCAAGATGCACTTTGAGATTCCACTTCTGAGAAGAAAACCCTGGTGTGACTCCACCATGCTTGCCTAGTCGGCCCGAGACGCCCTGAGCACGCAGCCGCCAGCCTCTCCAAGGTCTCCGCAGACTTCGCCCTTCAGCTGGCAGTGGCTGCCGGGAGGATGGGCTGTGATCACAGGTACTCAGAAGAAAATTAGGGCATCAGCTTCCAGTGAAGAAGGGTGCCTTATTCACACTCTACAGTACTGCTAGGATAATTAAAAAATACTTCAAAGGCTCCTAAAAGCAGTGTTCTCCTAATGGGAACCAGGGCTCCTGGGAGAAACAGCTAACGCCAGGGCTAAGGCCGGAAATGCAGAGAGCCTGGGGCTTCCTGCAGTGCCAGGAAGCAGGGAGGGGCCCAGAGAAGGATCAGAGGAGGCCAAAGAACAAAGATCCCGCCTGAGGGGGCTCCCTCTGGCCAAATCTGGAATAATTTGAGTGAAAAAATAACATTCATAAGGGATTCTGACCCAAGGAAAAAAATAGGAAATTGTTTAGGAGAAATACCTAATGTTAAATGACGAGTCAATGGGTGCAGCACACCAACATGGCACACGGATACATATGTAACAAACCTGCACATTGCGCACATGTACCCTAAAACTTAAAGTATAATTAAAATAAATAAATAAATAAAATAGGAAATTGTTTAGGAGAAATACCTAATGTTAAATGATGAGTCAATGGGTCCGGCACACCAACATGGCACACGGATACATATGTAACAAACCTGCACGTTGTGCACATGTACCCTAAAACTTAAAATATAATTAAGATAAATAAATAAATAAAATAGGAAATTGTTTAGGAGAAATACCTAATGTTAAATGACGAGTCAATGGGTGCAGCACACCAACATGGCACACGGATACATATGTAACAAACCTGCACGTTGTGCACATGTACCCTAAAACTTAAAGTATAATTAAAATAAATAAATAAATAAATAAAATAGGAAATTGTTTAGGAGATATACCTAATGCTAAATGAGTTAATGGGTGCAGCACACCAACATGGCACATGGATACATATGTAACAAACCTGCACGTTGTGCACATGTACCCTAAAACTTAAAATATAATTAAAATAAATAAATAAATAAATAAAATAGGAAATTGTAAATCCACATTGCTGGGGAAGTCGGATAAACTCAGGGGCTGACAAGGGCGGGATCTTCACGTGGTCCTGGGGTGCCTCCCACACAGGACATATTTTAGTTCCCGGGGAACAGCCAGGCAGAGCCCGCCGTGAGGGACGAGCAAGTCACACCACTAGCCCTGCACTGGGTAAACCTGCGCTGGGTGGAATCTGCGGTGGTGGCATCTGCCTGGGTAAAATGCGGGGGCCCTGCCAGCAGCCCCGGGGAAACTCAGCCCTACCCTGCAAGGCCACGTCAGCAGCCCCACCAGGTCCCTGACCAGAACATACCCTAGGAGCAAGATGGGGACCCCTCCAGGCCAAGGGAGGCAAGGCCATGGAGGGCCAGTGACCCCGGCCTGGATGCTGCGGACTCAGACGGGCTCCAAGCAGGGTACAGCCCCAACGCGTCAGTGTCAGCTTCATCTAGATGGCCGTACTGTGCCAGGGACGCCCCTGCTTATTGGAAACGCATGCCTGGGCATGGGGGCTGGGGGCTCCGGTGGGGCGTCAGGTGGACGAGTCCTCACAGGCTCTGGCAGATGTTCCTGCATCTCCTTGGGAACTTTTCTATGAAGTGCGGGGCTGTTCCAAAATTTACAATGTCTATCAAAAGAAAATTTCAAAGTTTGTCTAGCCTTTCCTAAAATAAACGTTTTAGAGCAAACTTGAAAGGCATCTACAAAGAGAATTAGGGATAGGAACCAGAAAGAGGTAAGCCAATCAATGTTATCTGTCATCTGAATGCTCTTTCAGCCAGATACACCCTGGCGCTGTATCCAGTTGATGGAACTGCACCCCCCAAAAAGACAGCCACAGAGCGCCCGGCCCAGAAGTTGGAGGAGACGGGGAGGATCCTCCTCACAGCCTTGACGAGTGAGTGGCCCTGCCTACGGGGCTTCGACTTCCAGCCTCAGGAAGCTGGAGGGCCTGGGTCTCTGTTCTTTCAGGTTGGCCATTGGCCTCCAACTCAGGACAACCAGACAGAACTTCACTAGCCCCATGAACTGCACATCACAGAAGGCACTTTGACCCCACGACGGCGGCTCTGGGCTGTCCCAGTTACAAATCAGAACCTCCAGGAGCCACTCTGGGGGGCAGCCAGGGCGCATCAGGGCCCCCAGGGCAGCAGAGCTCCCCTGGCCAGGCTCCAGGCTCAGGAACAGCTGTGGGGCTCCCATGCTCGCCCCCGTTTCTCTGCCAAGGTGCTGGCTCTTCCACTTACCCAGATGCCCACCCTCCTCTAACTCTGAACGCCTCAAGGCTGCTTCTGCGTTTCTGGCTCACCTGTGGTCACCTCCTAGGAAGCATTCTTTCCTCGGTGACGGGGTGCAGGTGCTACCTCTGCTGGGCTGGTGGTTTTCTTTTTTTTTTTGAGATGGAGTCTTGCTCTGTCACCCAGGCTGGAGTGCAGTGGCGCAATCTCGGCTCACTGCAAGCTCCACCTCCTGGGTTCACACCATTCTCCTGCCTCAGCCTCCCGAGCAGCTGGGACTACAGGCGCCCACCACCGCGCCCGGCTAATTTGTTTGTATTTTTAGTAGAGACGGGGTTTCACCGTGTTGGCCAGGATGGTCTTGATCTCCTGACCTCACGATCTGCCCGCCTTGGCCTCCCAAGGTGCCGGGATTAGAGGCATGAGCCCCCACACCCACCCCCAGGCTGGTGGTTTTCTAAGACACTGGACACCACAGAGGCCCTCTCAGACACACGCTCTGCTCTTTCCTCTGGAGAAAGGCAGCCCTGGCACCTGCGCGGGCGGCTTCACATGGAAACAGAGTCTATAATGTGAGCAAGTGAGGGCGAGGCCATGCTGTTCTCACAGGCAGTTTTGTCCGAGAATGTCCTGAACACCAGTGGACAGCCCAGAGTCTCCCAGTGCCGTCTCCTCCTTCCCATCGTCAGGGCTGGGTTTCAGGCCACATCAGGTGGGTCTAGGGCGAGGTCCCGACTCCCAAGGTGGCCTTTCTGCATCTGTGCAGGATGCTGGCAGGACTGGGGTGCTGACCAGGCCTCTCCACTCCAGCTGGGCTGGACACCAGCACTGGCCTCACAGCACTCTCGCCTGCCAGCAGCTCTGTCCCGCCCCAACCCCAAAGCAGCCCCTGAGCACAAGCAGCCGGGGCCTCATGCAGCCCCGAGACCCTCCCCTAACACCACCTCCCCCAACACCACCACGCATCCCTAGCGCCCTGCCCGCAACTTGGCCACTTCCATGGCCTGGGCCTCTGGCCTCCACCCTCCGTGCAGAGGGACCAGTGCTCTGCCTGGACACCAGCTCCCCAGAACGAGAGAGGCCACCTCAGCAGGAGAACCAGGGTGACCACAGGCTCCCCCCTAGCACCTCCTCTCAGGGGCTGCGGTCTCCCCGCCTGCTAAAGACGGCTGGGCCCATCCATGGTGGGGGCCGGTCTTGCACCAGCAGCTACCACAGTCACAGCTGGACCGAAAATGCAACAGCATGAAAAGCGACATCCCAGCTTGGTGTTGCTGCAGCCACAGGCTGCTCACTCCTAACAGTGACACACGACAACAGACGCAACAGCGCAGTAGAGAGCACGCATCACCCAACAGGAGCGTGAGGTTCAGACACAACGGCGCAGCGCAGGGCACGCGTCACCCAATGGGCGTGAGGTTCGGACACGACGGCACAGTGCAGAGCACGTGTCACCTGACAGGGGCGTGAGGTTCTCCTGCACAGAGCTGGGCACAACGGGGTTTCAAAGCCACATTTCCACATCTCTGAAAATTTCAACTCACCTCATTTCTGCCAACAATTAGAAAAAAAAAAAAAAAACAATTCTATTTTCTAGATATGCAAACAAAATTCAAACGTAAGCCTTGGCTTCCTGGCCTGAAAGGATCTGTGTGCGGTCAGCACGTCTACAGGATTCTAGAATGGATGACGTCCCCACCCCGGCGCTCTAAGCCCCGTTCCCTCCTCCCGCACCTGCCCTAGGCCCTGGGGTTTCTACCAGGGGAGAGGCACCCAGGGAGGGAGCACACGCACCTGTGATGGGCACATAGCCAACGCCCTGCTGGTACACTGTTGGCATCAGGACCACGGGCTGGGGTGGCATCACCATGGCAGCTGGAAGCAGCTGAAACACAGCGGAGATGGTCCCGGGGTCAAGGAGGAACATCCACCCATCAGAACCTCGGGAATCGCCCTCCCCACAATTGCCCTCCCCACGCCAGCCCAGAATCGCCCTCCCCATGCCAGCCCAGAATCACCCTCGCTACACGAGCCCTGAGTGCACAGGGGACGCTGGGCCCTGCTCCCACCCCTGCACCACCTCCTCAAATCCAGGAGGTGACATGGCTCGGGCTTACAGACCCCCTTCTAACTGGGATGTGACTGAGAGAGGATGGTGACAGGAGGGACATCCCAGTGTAGGTGTCGAGTCGGCCTGGGGGGAACCACACTGCACTGCTGTGGTGTCTGAGTTTGAAAGTGTCAACTTCACATAAGTCACTGCACTGCTGTCAACTCTGAGTTCAAAACTGTCCACTGTGGATAAGTCACTGCACCACTGTCACCTCTGAGTTCAAAACTGTCAACTGCGGATAAGTCACTGCACCGCTGTCGTCTCTGAGTTTAGTTCAAAACTGTCCACTGCGGATAAGTCACTGCACTGCTGTCTCCTGAGTTCAAAACTGTCAACTGTGGATAAGTCACTGCACCGCTGTCATCTCTAAGTTTAGTTCAAAACTGTCCACTGTGGATAAGTCACTGCACTGCTGTCTCCTGAGTTCAAAACTGTCCACTGCGGATAAGTCATTGCACTGCTGTTGTCTCTGAGTTCAAAACTGTCAACCGTGGATAAGTCACTGCACTGCTGTCGTCTCTGAGTTTAGTTCAAAACTGTCCACTGCAGATAAGTCACTGCACTGCTGTCTCCTGAGTTCAAAACTGTCCACTGCGGATAAGTCACTGCACTGCTGTTGTCTCTGAGTTCAAAACTGTCAACTGTGGATAAGTCACTGCACCGCGGTTGTCTCTGAGTTCGAAACTGTCAGCTGCGGATAAGTCACTGCACCACTGTCGCCTCTGAGTTCAAAACTGTCAGCTGCGGATAAGTCACTGCACCGCTGCCGTCTCTGAGTTCAAAACTGTCAGCTGTGGATAAGTCACTGCACCGCTGTCTTCTGAGTTCGAAACTGTCAACTGCGGATAAGTCACTGCACCACTGTCGTCTCTGAGTTCGAAACTGTCAACTGCAGGTAAAATCACTGGAGCGTCATGATGGTTCTGTGTTTGTATGAAAGCGTCTGTTAAAGACGTGTCATGAGACATTTACACATCGTCACTCACGGCCGGGACATGATTTAAAATATCCCAGCTTTAACAAAAAGGGGGTGGGAGGAGCCAAGATGGCCCAGAAAAGCAGCTCCCTGCTGCTGCCTCCCCGCCGCAGCCTCCCCGCCGCACCCTCCCCGCCGCAGCCTCCCCGCCGCACCCTCCCCGCCGCAGCCTCCCCGCCGCACCCTCCCCGCCGCACCCTCCCCGCCGCAGCCTCCCCGCCGCAGCCTCCCCGCCGCAGCCTCACCGCCGCAGCCTCCCCGCCGCAGCCTCCCCGCCGCACCCTCCCCGCCGCAGCCTCCCCGCCGCACCCTCCCCGCCGCAGCCTCCCCGCCGCAGCCTCCCCGCCGCACCCTCCCCGCCGCAGCCTCCCCGCCGCACCCTCCCCGCCGCAGCCTCCCCGCCGCAGCCTCCCCGCTGCACCCTCTCTGCCGCAGCCTCCCCGCCGCAGCCTCCCCGCCGCACCCTCCCCGCCGCAGCCTCCCCGCCGCACCCTCCCTGCCGCAGCCTCCCCGCCGCAGCCTCCCCGCCGCACCCTCCCCGCCGCAGCCTCCCTGCCGCACCCTCTCTGCTGCAGCCTCCCTGCTGCACCCTCCCTGCTGCACCCTCTCTGCTGCACCCTCTCTGCTGTCACATCTGCCTGGCATTTCCCACAGCACCATTTTTCAGTAACAGCCTGAAAATCCTCTGGTTGATGATACAGACGAGACGGCAGGAGCTCTGCGTCTTGGAGCCTCTAACTGGCCCTCCTGATGCCCCCAGGAGCTGCAGGTGCCCTGAGAATGGAGATGGCTGGGAGCCAGGGCGCTGACGTGCTGGCCCCACAGCCAGGCCTCGACTTCCTGACCCTGAGCACAGCAGCCCCCAGGCTTCCCCGACATCTCCAGAGATGCCCTGCCACACCACGGCCAATGCCTGCCCTGTGGGGAGGAGCCTGGTGTCCTGCAGGGCCCAGGGCTGTATCTCAGACCCTGGAGGGCTGCTCAGCTGGACCCTAAGGGCAGAGCTTGGAAGGGCTGTGGGGGTCCTCCGAGGACACAGGGGCCTGCAGTGGAGACCACCACAAAGGGTTGGCTCATCTTAGGAACACAAACAACCCCTATGCTGTTTCCCCAGACAGAGAACATGGGCAGGAGCAGTGGGCAGGGCAGCCCCTCTCTGCCACCAAACCACCCAGGGCCCCTGCCCTCTGTCCTCAGAACGTGAGCCCTGCTGTTTTATGGGCTCAGTGCCTCCAGGAAAGAGACAAGGGTGTCTGTGGGGCGGCATAGCCCCGACGTGCTCCAACATACCCCAATGCGCCCCACCCCGCCCAGGCGTGCAGCTCACCGCGTAGGACATGACGAGGTTGATCATGCCCTCCTTGTCGTCCCCCTGCCTCCCGCTCAGGCTGTACCACTTGTCCTCCACCTTGCCCTGCCTCAGGGACTCCGGGATGGTGATGTGGGTCCAGGCAATGCGGTCGTCCATGGAGAAGGCTCTCTGCGGGAGACAAGAGGGAGAGGCCCCAGGCATCAGGGAAGGGGCCACCCTGCCCCTGCAGCCGCACCATCGTGGGCCCGCCTCGAGTCCCCGTCTTATCTGTGGAACAGGGCTCCCACCTGCACCAACACCCCATCGATGAGACCCCTCGGGCAGCGCAGGCTTCACGATCGTATATCAGCCTCCGTAGGGGACTTCTTCCCTCTCTCCACCAGGATGGGCCAGGGCCAGGGCCAGGGCCAGGTCTGGGGCTGGGGAAAGCGAGGGCCCTGGGCTGCTGTCCTCCTTCAGTTCCACTTCAGGGACACTGGCTGCTCCTCCCCAGCCCTCGGGGCCCCATCCTTGCTCCACCGGCTGCCACCTGTCAAGCCCCAGAGCAGCCGGGGTGCAGACTGGAAAGGACACGGGGTCTGCCTCCCACAGCTGACTCTGCACTTCCCATGCGCTCTCTACTCTTCTGAGGGCCAGGGAGGGGAAAGCAGGTAGGGACGGGGAGAGAAAAGCCGGGAGGAAAAGGCAGGGCCCAGGCAGGGAGGGCTGGCCGTCTGCTGGCCTGGCTGCCCCACACTGCTCCCCGGCCCCCACCCAGTCTCTAGCCTCACAATGCCACAGGTGCGAGGTGCCAGGACCACACTGAGCAGCAGCCTCGCCACATCCCCTCTGACCTTCTGACTCTGCCTCAGAAGCGCTGCAGGTGCAGCCACGGACGGGACTCAGGACCCTCAAGGGTCACGACCATTCGCACCACCAAGAACAGCTTTCCCACCCAGTAGGCAGCCGCACTCTCTGGAAATCCCACCTGCTGGTGAGCGGCCGGACCCTGTGCGCCCAGCGGGGCGGACACATGCACGCTCTGTCCCTGGAAATCCCACCTGCTGGTGAGCGGCCAGACGAGTGCCCAGTGGACACGTGCACACTCTGTCCCTGGAAATCCCACCTGCTGGTGTGCGGCAAGACCCTGTGCGCCCAGCGGGGCGGACACATGCATGCTCTGTCCCTGGAAATCCCACCTGCTGGTGAGCGGCCAGACGAGTGCCCAGTGGCGGGGGACACATGCATGCTCTGTCCCTGGAAATCCCACCTGCTGGTGAGCGGCCAGATCAGTGCCCAGCGGAGGGGACACGTGCACGCTCTGTCCCTGGAAATCCCACCTGCTGGTGAGCGGCCAGACCCTGTGCGCCCAGCGGAGGGGACACGTGCACGCTGTATCCCTGGGTCATGCTTGTCACTGGGGATGTTTCCAAATGTAAGTATGTTCAAGGAGCTGGAAACAATCCCTTTTTCACATTCCTTGGGGAGAGCAGGACCCTGTCATGCACCCAATGAAACACCAGGTGGGGAGCCACGCCTCGAAGCCAGCCAGGAACGTGGCTGTGTTGGCAGGTGTGTCCCCACGGCAGCCACGCTCAGCCACGTGCAGCCTCCATAATAGCTGGCACGTCCCTCTCACCTCATCGAAGATCTCGAGATAGAAAGAGTCCACGCCTGGGGGCACCGTGCAGTGGATGACCTTATTCCAGCGGGGATTCTTGGCGCCATTGTGTGCCGTGGGCGTCTCGTACACCGCGTAGCCCAGGCGCAGTCGGCAGTAGGGGTCCATGCGGGTCATGCCGTAATTCTTGGCCAACTTTGCCTGGAATGAAGCCAATGTCAGGAAAAGGAGGTGCCAACCATCAGGAGAGGGTGGGTTCTCTAGGCCGTCTGCCTCCCTGAACCCTTCCACGAGGCCTTTTCCTAACACATAGACTACAGCCACTCAGAGTCGCCTGAACACGGCTGTGACCTGCTTCCCAGGAGGCCAGGAGCAAGAAGAGTGAGCCACAGATGGATCGTGCAGTTCTGAGACAAAGCACGTGGCTCGTCCTTGACAGCAGAAACCTACGACGCTCACAGACACAGCTGAGGCCGCCACTCACCCACCATGAAGGGCGCACTCTCTAATGCCCTCCTCAGAAGTGGCTGAGGAGGGAAAGAGGAGGAGGTCCCGGGACAGAGCTGAGAGCCAGAGCATGACATGGAGTGTGAACCTGCCCCCGGAGCATGATGACCCGGGAGAGGTGCATCCTCGCTCTAGGTGAGAGTGAGGACACCTGCTGCACATAATTCAGACGCCACGTGGCTGCTTTCCTCCCTCGTGAAGGCAGCAGCCCTGCCTGTGCTATCGGAGTACGTGGGGTTTTGGGGACTGGAACTTGTCTTTCTTGTGTCTCCCAATCACAAGGAGCCACATCACATGTAGACCATGAGATTCGACTTCAGGCCAGGTGCTCAGCTGGGCAGGGACATTTGAGGTCCTCGGGGTGGGAGTGAACGTGTGTTCAGAATAAGACAGAAGACCGTGGCAAGTAAGATGATTGTTCAGCAAACAAACTCAACATGGATGGCAGGTTCAAATATAAAACCTAAAACTGTAAAACCTTTACAAGAAAAAACCAGGAGAAAAGCCCTCGTAAGCTGGGTTGGGTTCAGCCCTGCAGCTCCGGCTGCCTGTAAAGCGTCCTGCCTGGAATGCAGACGGCCTCCCTGTACCACTGCCACCCGCTCTCCTGCAGCCAACCCGGCTCACCCCCAGGAGCTGGTGATAGAGACCCCGGGAGCCATCCCGGCCCTCCCACCCACATGGAGCCCGCCAGTTCCTCCTTCCCAGTGGAACAGAGTCCAGACACTGCCCCCCGACCCCCTCTGAGGGAACGGCCAACCTGTCCACACCAACCCCCCTCTGAGAGTACTGCCACCCTGTCCTCACCACCCACCCCCCGAAGGCACGGCCACCCCATCCTCACTGACGCCCCTCTGAGGGCACGGCCACCCTGTCCTCACTGAACCCTCTCTGAGGGCACCGCCGCCCTGTTCTCACCGCACCCCTCTGAGGGCACGGCCGCCCCGTCCTCGCTGACCCCCCGCTGAGGGCACGGCCGCCCCGTCCTCGCTGACCCCCCTCTGAGGGCACGGCCGCCCCGTCCTCACCGACCCACCTCTGAGGGCACGGCCGCCCCGTCCTCACCGACCCACCTCTGAGGGCACGGCCGCCCCGTCCTCACCGACCCACCTCTGAGGGCACGGCCGCCCCGTCCTCACCGACCCCCGAGGGCACGGCTGTCCCGTCCACGCCAACCCTCGCCGCACAGCTGAACTCTCCCCTCCTGTGCCCACATCTCTGGACTGCCAGGTCCTCTGTTTTCTATTCTTGTCCACATACAAGTTCCCTCCTTTCACTTCTAATCAAAGCTGTGGCCGGTCCTTTTAGGTCAAAACTGCCCCATTCTTGGGTCCTTAATTTTAGCGTGTTTCTTGGGTGGCCACAGCGTACTCCGGAATGCTATGGAGTGACAGTTTTCCGGAAGCTCCTGGGCGACAGGCATGCTCAGCCTCTAGCAGCTTCCAATTCCCTTCTGCTGCACACCCACACATCTGCTAGATCAGCTCTTACACTCCAAACTCTGCCCCTGTAAACTCCTTAGCAACTGCCCTATTTTCTGGAGAGTATGTAGCAGGAAAGTCTGAGACCAGCATGATTTTCCAAAGCTTTCAGGTAACTGTGCTGTCTCTGCCTAGCTGCTATGACTTATTTTTATTAATAACTTTAAAGGCTTTGAGCAAAGCCAGCTTTCTGGGTGGCACATGGGACTCCCCTGCCAGCATGCCCGTGCCTGTCACCGATGCCTGCTCACATTGGATCCTGCCTGCTTCTGCCACACTCAGCGTCATCCTCTCATTCCCATCTCCTCCCACTGCCCTCTGCACTGTGGCTAGAAAACTCTAGGATGAGCGTCCTGTGACATCAACTGCTCTGCTGAAGTGACCTCCTCGATGTTTATGGAAGCATCTGCCCATTCACTATGACTGCACACAACCACATGCTGTTCTGGTGCAGGAGACACTGTGGACACCGTGGGGACACACGGGCACCGCTGCCTCCCCCACAACGGGCAAGAGACGCACGTCAGACAGCAGACACCGTGGGGACACACGGGCACCGCTGCTTTCCCCACAATGGGCAAGAGATGCGCGGCAGACACACAGCGCAGCAGACGGCGTTACCACTGCAGGGAGTGACCAGCTAGGAGGACCGGGTATGCGGGCTGCAGGATCTGGAGGAAGAGCTGCAGGAAGCGGGAGGAGAACGGCCAGGGAAGAGGAAGGTCAGGAGTGACTAGGGTGAGGAAAACATGGGCCCAGCTGGAGCAGGCTCGGCAGGACAGTGCCCACGAGAAAGGCCCACGCGGGAACGGACCTACTCTGGCCACGCTGCAGGGGCTGAGCGGGGGCAGTGGGTGGGTGCGGGGGGCTCCAGGCCTGGACGGGCTGAAGGTGGCGCCTGTGCTGAGGGTCAGGCCTGAAGGGCAAGAGGTGGACATGAACCTGGAGCACCAGCAGCACGAGGGCTTTGGGCCTCAGCTTCCAGAGTGTGGGGCAGCCACCTGCGGACACGGGGGAGAAGCCGGGAGGGTGGCCCGAGAGCTCCACCTTGGGCACACGGAGTCCGGAGTGCCCACGGAACACCTGGGGAGGCCATGTGGCCATGGTCCGTACCTAGGGATCTGGGGTGGAGCTGAGTGGTCGGCTCAGGCTGGGGCCAGCACATGGGTGTTTAGACCCACAGGGATGCAGAAGTCACCGGGATGTGTGGGCAGAGAGGGGAGGAGGGCTGAGGACCAGACCCCTTGGCATCCCACTGGGGCCCCAGGAGACAACAAGGGGAAGCAGCGAGGGGACGCAAGCAGGGAACCACCTGTGTGGCCGCCCAGAAGCCAAGAGAAGCAGGAAACAGGGGCTGAGCTACCTGGCCCAGTGAGGAGGCAGGAATGTTTCCCACCACTGGAGCTGCGCCACAGAAGGCTGGGTGAGCTCACGTGGAGGAAACAGGCTGCCTGTGGTGGGCTCCAGGGTGCGGGAGAGGACCAAGGGGGGCCAGAGGCGTGGGCAACGCCAGGGCCACCTCCAAGGCCCAGCCAGCTCTGGAGCTTGAACTGTGTGAGGTGGAGTGCCCTGCGGTCACCAGGCCCTGCCAGGAGGTGGCGGCTGAGGACGGGTGATGGCACTGGCTGGCCTGGTGGCAGCTGGCACAGGAATGCATGGGCTTACGGGAGTTCACTGGGTGGGCAGAGGGATCGGCCACACCAGCACAGTAACAGCTGCACAAGCAAGGGTCTGAGACACGCCGCGAGGAAGGGGTGACGGTGTAGCTGTGCTCACCACACCATGAAGCCCCTGAAAGCAAGTCTTATTTGTGAGGTCCACGGCGATTCTTCTGCCTGCTGTATTTGTGCATTTCTATGAAAGCCGCGTGGCTCACAGTGTGTCTCCTTTCCCTGCATTTCTACGAAAGCCCGCGTGGCTCACAGTGTGTCTCCTTTCCCTGCATTTCTACAAAAGCCCGCATGGCTCAGTGTGTCTCCTTTCCCTGCATTTCTATGAAAGCCGTGTGGCTCACAGTGTGTCTCCTTTCCCTGCATTTCTACGAAAGCCCGCGTGGCTCACAGTGTGTCTCCTTTCCCTGCATTTCTACGAAAGCCCGCGTGGCTCACAGTGTGTCTCCTTTCCCTGCATTTCTACGAAAGCCCGCGTGGCTCACGGTGTGTCTCCTTTCCCTGCATTTCTACGAAAGCCCGCATGGCTCAGTGTGTCTCCTTTCCCTGCATTTCTACGAAAGCCGCGTGGCTCACAGTGTGTCTCCTTTCCCTGCATTTCTACGAAAGCCCGCGTGGCTCACAGTGTGTCTCCTTTCCCTGCATTTCTACGAAAGCCCGCGTGGCTCACGGTGTGTCTCCTTTCCCTGCATTTCTACGAAAGCCCGCGTGGCTCACGGTGTGTCTCCTTTCCCTGCATTTCTACGAAAGCCCGCGTGGCTCACGGTGTGTCTCCTTTCCCTGCATTTCTACGAAAGCCCGCGTGGCTCACGGTGTGTCTCCTTTCCCTGCATTTCTACGAAAGCCCGCGTGGCTCACGGTGTGTCTCCTTTCCCTGCATTTCTACGAAAGCCCGCGTGGCTCACGGTGTGTCTCCTTTTCCTGCATTTCTACGAAAGCCCGCGTGGCTCACGGTGTGTCTCCTTTTCCTGCATTTCTACGAAAGCCCGCGTGGCTCACGGTGTGTCTCCTTTCCCTGCATTTCTACGAAAGCCCGGGTGGCTCACGGTGTGTCTCCTTTCCCTGCATTTCTACGAAAGCCCGCGTGGCTCACGGTGTGTCTCCTTTCCCTGCATTTCTACGAAAGCCCGCGTGGCTCACGGTGTGTCTCCTTTCCCTGCATTTCTACGAAAGCCTGCGTGGCTCACAGTGTGTCTCCTTTCCCTGCATTTCTACGAAAGCCTGCGTGGCTCACAGTGTGTTTCCTTTTCCTGCAGTCTTACAGACGGTTTTCGTGTGATCAAAATCGGCGTTCAATCTGCCGATTTTGGCTTTCACTTGAAAGACCACTAAGCAACCACGGGCCGGCCCCGAGGCTGACCGAGGGCTGCTCTGTGGGGAGGGAGGGTGCAGGCACCGGCACTGAGGCCAACAGGAAGCCACTCACGCAGCACACACCAGGTGGCGGGGGTGCCGGCCGCGCCTCCTCCAGCTGCCGGCGGGGGTCCGGGAGGTGTCCTTGGGCGTACTCAAGCCTGGTGGAAGAGCCAGGCCCTACACAGAGCAGACGCCCACCTACACCCACTACTCATCACTTGAGTTATGTTTGGTAGAACCCGGGGTCAATGCCAATATCTTTCACACAGATCGTTTTCAACATCACAC
Source organism: Homo sapiens (assembly GCF_000001405.40). NCBI lineage: Eukaryota > Metazoa > Chordata > Mammalia > Primates > Hominidae > Homo > Homo sapiens. The sequence continues at coordinate 29,777 of NW_025791792.1, forward strand.
AGGTTTCAGGAAAAGCGGGAATCAGAAGTTCTGTTTGCCCGCTTAGGAAATGCAGTATAAACGCCGAAATCCGAAATCCCACCCCCACCGAGCGCACCAGCCCCAGGCAGGCAGGAGGGTGCCCCAAGGCCCACCTGTACCACCGTGATGTTCAGTCGGCCCACGGTGCCCACTGCGCCTCCGTACTGCAGCTGCTGGGCCGCCTGGGCGTCCAGCTGGACCTGCCGCTGCTGCTGTGTGGGCGTGATGCGGAGGAAGTCCTGCGGGAGCTCACCGATGTACACCTGCGGGGCCGGGGACCAGAGAGGCCAGTGAGTCAGGGTGGGGGCACAAAGCAGCCCGACAGCAGCTGCCCCCGGCATTCCCGCGGCCCCGCCCCCACCCATGTCCTTATCAAGTCCTGGACTGTGCTCAGCCTCAGTTTCCTCATCTCTAAACGGAGGGGTCAAGGGTGTCCAGCCTGGGGCCTGGCCCCCAGCGGTACAGGTGCAGCCCTCACTCAGGAGATCCCCAAATGCAGGTTTCTGCCGCTAAAAATGGGTTCCTGTCCTCAAAGCCTGCTCAGGTGGGTTTTCAGGTCATTTTAAAGGGTCTCCCTTGCACCATGTGTGCCCACGGCTTCTTTCTCCTTGTCCACAGCTAAAGGCAGGGCCACTGAACTGCAGGTCACTTGGTCAAACGAATGAGACAAAAGCTGAGCCTCAGGTCTAAAGTGATTTGGAAAACCCTCTGCTGATATACTTCAAATGTTTCCACATGAAACAGCTGAAATTCAAAAGTATCCCAGAAGAACGCAGGAAGTAAATCGATTCCAAACAACCACGAAAGACCTCCCCACTCTGCATCCTATGTCTCCTCGACCCTCTGTCCACCACTGCCACTTCTGAGGGGAAGAGAGAGGATGGGCCCAGGCAGGACAATGCCATCCCGAAACCACCCGCACACCTGCAGCGGCCGAAGGGGCCTGGGGTAAACCATGCTCCACAGGTGAAAGGTCGCTGATGAGGCCCTGAGCATGGGTCTGGCTGCTGGTGGAGTGGGGTGGAGGCCTGGTTGCTGGAGGAGTGGGGTGGAGGCCTGGTTGCTGGTGGAGTGGGGTGGAGGCCTGGTTGCTGGTGGAGGCCTGGTTGCTGGAGGAGTGGGATGGAGGCCTGGTTGCTGGTGGAGTGGGGTGGAGGCCTGGTTGCTGGTGGAGTGGGGTGGAGGCCTGGTTGCTGGAGGAGTGGGGTGGAGGCCTGGTTGCTGGTGGAGTGGGGTGGAGGCCTGGTTGCTGGTGGAGTGGGGTGGAGGCCTGGTTGATGGAGGAGTGGGGTGGAGGCCTGGTTGCTGGTGGAGTGGGGTGGAGGCCTGGTTGCTGGTGGAGTGGGGTGGAGGCCTGGTTGCTGGTGGAGTGGGGTGGAGGCCTGGTTGCTGGTGGAGTGGGGTGGAGGCCTGGTTGCTGGTGGAGTGGGGTGGAGGCCTGGTTGCTGGTGGAGTGGGGTGGAGGCCTGGTTGCTGGTGGAGTGGGGTGGAGGCCTGGTTGCTGGTGGAGTGGGGTGGAGACCCAGCCGTCTGCAGGGGCCCCGGTCAGCGCCAGTGCCCTGGGCAGTTGTTTTCAGGAAATACCGAGTGGAACCTGGAACCCTCGGTGTGTCGGACGTGAGCTTAGGCAAAGTGCACGTGCTGAGGCCGCCAGAACGCCTCTGCCATGCACACCAGAAACCCGTACCTGCCTGTGCCATGGACTCCCAATGACACGGTGCCAGGCAGGGCTCCAGGAGGTTCTGAGTTAAGCCCTGCACCTGCTGTGCTCTGGGCGCCTGGCACTTCAAAGGACCCCGAGAGGGTCTAGCTCCTCACCTGTGTCCCCATCTAAGGCCTGGAGCGCACAAGCCAGTCAGCGCTCCACAACCAATGTGAGTAAACAGAAGGGACCCGGACGATCCAGGCACCGCTTCGAGCAGTTACGGACTCAGGACCCCCAAGTTCGGGAAGCTCTCTGCAGGCTGCACCCCAACCTGAGCAGCCAGCATGGCGTGTGCTCAACCGCTCTTCTCTAAAAAGCAAAACACACTTTGTGCGTTTCCCCACACTTTACCCCGTTTTTGACTGGGACACGTCACGAGTGACCTTTGCCCTGTGAGAGAAGCCGTACTGCGAGAACAAGCAGAGCACCCCGGCTTCACCTCCGGAGGGTGTGGCATAGGCCAGGGCCCGGAGGGACCCCCTGCCCTTACGGACAATCGAGGAGGGTGCAGAGGTGCCTGAGCGGAGTGGGCCCATGCCAGGAGTCCCAGGCCAGCCTCCCCCAGGCAGCCTCTCTCGAGGCGCTGTACAGCTCAACAGCAAGCTCTGGCTCAGGAGGGCGCTGAGAGGCCCCATGGCACGAGATGCTAAGCACCTGTTCCTGTTGGCACACAGGAAACACTGGGGTACAGAAGGCCAGGGCCCTTCGCCTGCCTCCCAGAAGGATTCACAGCCCAGAGCTCTCTCCCCGGGGGACACCTGGCCACACAGGACGTGCTTCCCTGCCAACCCCACAGGGCCCTGGCACAGCCCATGCCAGCAGGCTCTATGACTAGCTCTGTCTGCTCACCAGGAACGGGTTATCTTGCAGAAACAGACTCGTGCTAACCAAGTTCTCAGGACTAACATACACAGGCCAAATTCCTGTTTATTTGTGACAACTGCTTCCTGTGTGCCACATGCACAGCTCTGAGGACATGGCAGGAAAAGCACCGTATCTCCTGGGCACACATGGCAGACAGACAGGCGGCTCGTGCCCTCCTGGGCACACGTAGGGGACAGACAGGTGGCTCATGCCCTCCTGGCCACACGTGGGGGACAGACAGGCGACTCATGTCCCGGAGACAGCAGCATGGAGAAGCCAGTCGGGGGAGGGTGTGGGTGGTCACAGGGACGTGTGGGCGTGGGGTCCAGAGGCCTCTGAGGGAGCACTGTGGGTCCCTCGCTGCTCTGGATCCTGGTTGTCCCGGTATTTGAAGGCGTCCAGCGCTCCATCTCCTTGCTCTGCACTCTTTAGGTGTCCGTTAAAGACAGTGGGACTGCTCATTACTGGGAGAAAATAAAATTATATCCAAAGGCCTAATGATCAAGTGTCATTTTTCAACAAGGATTTAACCATAAAATGGCAAATAGGAAAAGAGGGTTTTTAAACATAAACCGTGTGGATAGAACACGAAAAGGGGAGAAGCAGCTCCCTGCGGATGGAGCTCATCAGCCCCACGCAGCCCGGGGACCGCAGCCAGCGCCATGTGGCGGGGCAGGTGCGCGTCCAGCTCCCCGAGATGACACACGCCTCACATCTGGGTTTTCTTCCCAAAAACCCACACCCCAATTAAGAGACATCTGACAAAATCCCTGACCAGTCAGTCGTCCTCAAACCGTCAAGGTCCCAAAAACACAAGGAAAGCCTGAGAGACGGTCCCAGATTGGAGATGGCAGACATGATGGCTAAACGCAAGGCAGGGTGCTGGGACAGCAGGGGACAGTCATCGAAAAACCAGGACAGCCAAATAAAACCTGGAGCCAACAGTCATGCCCCCAGCTCAGCGCCACAGCTGTGAGAGCTGTTCCCGGGGAGGGGAGCGTCGGCCAGGGGACATGGGTGAGACACACAGGACCTCTTCGTGCCAGCTTTTCAATTCGTCATAAGACTGAACACTACAAAATTCAAGGTTTTTCAGAAAAATATTCCATTTAACCTGAAGACAGGAAGAGCAAGAGAGGAGACGGAGACCAGGCTTCAGTCCTCCCCGTACAAATACTGGTTACGCAACCTGCTGCCCCGCCTACCAGGGAGAGGCGGCTTGCCTGCTGCTGCAATGCCCTCGTTTCTCAACTTAGAGCAAAGCCCTTCAAACGAGGAGGGAGTGCTACCAGTTCATGCTTCACGAGTCACAGGGGAGAGAGTCCAGGTGCTGAAGTAAACCCTATCGTTTCAGTGACGACACTCGGTCCTTCAGTAAATGTCTATTTTGAATTTATTTTTTAAATTCAGTGCTAATCCTAAAATTTATTTTTGCCATATGATGATGGAGGAACTATTTCAATGGTCACATAAAAATATATGCTTTACCCTGGTTCAAAGGCTTGGAAATATGAAAACAAAAATGATTACTCCCGATACATAATGGATATTTTTCTAGAATTTTGCTTCCATGTACAAGATGCACATACTGAGTTCAACACTAACAAGTCTAAATGCCCGTGTGAAGGCCAACAATTCCACTTCAGGAGCCAGTCCCCTGTCAATGCTCACTCGGGCACGTGAGCACAGGATGCCTGAGGCTGCGTCACCTGTGCCGTCAAAACGCCCCGTCCACCAGCCAGGCACATCCACCCAGCGCATCGCCACGCGGCCTCACCAGGAGCCGGCGGTCCCTGCCGCGAACACATGGAGACTCGGGGGACGGAGGCGGAGGCGGAGGTGCGGCACGACCTGCTGCAGGGAGCCATAAGGAGGCCTCTGTCGACACCAACTCTGGAGGAGCATTCAGGAATGGAACTCGAGGGAAACAGGCAGGGAAGATTCTATTTCAATTTATTTATACTTTTATATCCTGCTAGTTATTTTTAGAAACTTTTTAAAAACATTCGTGAATTACTTTTAAAATAAAAAGGACAGGGTAGGGCTCTCATCCCACAGAGCTCACAGCATTTTATCTTCTCTGAAAATAAAAGCTACTTTTATAAATATTAGTCTGTTTTAAATATAGTTTTAAAATGTAACTTCAAATTTCTTGGAATTGCTGATTCTCCTCCCCCATGTGCCGCTCTCAGAGGATCACGACGCAAGCCTGTGACTGACGACCATTCCTCCCTCACTGACGCCAGAGCTCTAAACCACTGCAGCGTACCTTTCCACACGAAAGAAAAGAGGTCTCCAACATTCACTTCTATTTAAAACAATTTCTCTTCAAGTCTAAGTTTTAGTTTTGGCACAGAAATAAAGTCTTAATTCTTCTTTTTTGTCATGCAATGTGTGTAGTCAATCCAAAGCTAATTTTTCTTTTTAAGCACACAAATTAAACACCCACTGTGAATATTCCTGTTGGTGACACGTCTCCAACGGAGAGAGCCGCTGCTTCCTTGGGCCACACTTTCTGCCCGACACCTGTTAGGAATACGTTTCCGACTGAGAGTGCCGCTGCTTCCTTGGGCCACACTTTCTGCCTTGACAGAGCCCCGGAAGAGCCCAGCTCAGCCCAGGACGTGGAGTCCTGAACACATGCAGTCCTGGCCTCACGCCTGCCAGGAGACATCACCCCAAGGAGCCGCACCACAGTCGCCCCTGAAGCACGGCTGGCCACACGCAGGCGGCAGGAGACCAGGGTTTCCTGGCCACTTCCATGACTGGCCCCCTGCGGAGCCTTTTTAAACCTTCTCACCGTTCCCACCCCATGACGCTGCGAGGCTGTGGAGGTGCTGTTTGTGTCTGTGTGCCACGCATGCACCTGCACTTGGCATGTAAACACTGCAAGCAAGGCTCAACGAGTCTCAGCGCTAACGCCAGGTTAGCATAACTAAGTCGAACGAAGTTCAATTAAAAACTAAAATGCTTCTAGCACTTCATGACTATGCGCTGAGCAGCGCTGAGTGTAATTTATTTACATAAATTGTAATGTATCAAATCACACGTAGAAATAAACAACTTATATAAACACAATAAAAAATATCCTTAGTGAACTGAAGCTTTTGCTTGATGTGAGAAAGTACCTTTTAACTGGCTGGCTGGTATTCTTTCAGCAAACTGACATCATTAGCGATGGGCTAAATACGTTCTGTGGAATTAAATCACAAAATGTCGACGATTCTCATTCAATTCTCCAAGCCAGAGTCTCACACCAGCACTGAGGATCCCACACAAACGGCATCCGCAGGCGCCTGCCCACCCTCCCCACCCACCTCACAGCAGGTCTGAGATCGCACATGTGTCGCGGGCTTCCGAGAACTCCGTATCCATGTGCTGGGACACCCAGAAAACCCAGGGACAATGAAATACTAAGGAGCAAGAAATCCAGGAGCTGTGCTGGGGAGGCACACACGGCCGCCAAACCCCAGAAGTTTCCTCCCCCAAGAACCCCTTGTGCCCTCTCAGGGTCAATATCACCCCCACATTGAGAACAAGCGTCAAGGACTCCTGAAGCCACAAAGCCAGCCCACGGAGGCCCCAACACAGAAGCCCAACTAGTGAAACTCTGTACCCTGAGCCCTAGGTTTCTCCAGTTCCTAACATGGCCATGATTCAACGTGACTTTCAGAGCTGGGACCCACAGCAGGAAGACCTGGGCTGGGCTCGTGGCTAAAGGGACAGAGGAAGCTAATGAAACAGAGAGAAATAAATCCCCCGTAGTAGGAACATCTAGGGATATGGGCGGAAGTCAGTCTCAAAGCCTCTTGGGCGAGGTCTGAGTGTCTGCTAGGAAGGGAGCCCCAGACTCGGTCAGGGCCCCAGGACTCACATAGAACAGCACAGTTGGTCCAGATGAAGCTGAGAACCTGGAGCCCAGGTCATCACCAGCCTCCCTGCTGTGTCTGAGGGGCTGGCCCTGCCTTGAAGGCCCTGCAAGGGGCCTGCTCCAGGCCACTGTCCTACAGGGGATGTCTGCTGCTAGGTTCACACCCAGGTCAGAGCTCAGTCTGGCCCAGGAGAAATGGCCCATCCACCCGATGCCCGCACACCTGTGTGATTCACATCCAGATCCGGGCGTGCAAGAGGGCGGGAACGCGCACCAGGGCTGAGACACAGGGCCGTGGGCAGTCAGGACAGACCCTGGGTGGCCCTGGCGGTCCCTCTGCCCAGCTGACTGACCCCTCAGTGCGCAGGGTTTCAGAGACTGAAGTGCCAGCCTGCACATGCCCCAGGCCTGCACACTCACGGCCAAGAGGGGAGCCCCGTGGAGGTGAAGGACTCACCGACACTCACTGGTGGCCACTGCCATTGCCCTGTAAGTTTAGCATTTTCCAAAATAAGGCTAGAAGGAAAACTGCAATTCCCCATGCCCACTCAGCTGCTGGCTCCCTCACCCACCACCCTTCACAGCACCAGCATCCAAAAGCTGGACCAGTACCTGACCCTGCAGCCCCTGGCACTCCAGCCAGCCTCGGCCTCACGCTCCACACCAGCCTCCTGACACTCCCCAAAACCCACTCCAGCCAGCCTCGGCCTCATGCTCCACGCCAGTCTCCTGGCACTGGCATGTTCAATAAACAACCCTTGAGCAAATAAGTGGCATTTCATGCAACTGCTCTTGGCAAGGCAGCTCCCACGCCAGTGTGGACGGGCAGTGGTGACTTTGTCCCCAGTTCCCACATCCTCCTCCCACGGCCGCTCAGCAGCCCCCTCCCAGGAGCCCTCGCTGAGCACTCATTCGCCGTGCCTTGTCTCCCCTTCCGGGGCCTTCCTCAGACAGGGCTTTCCTTCCCTCTTCCTATCACCCCCTCCCCTCTTCCTTTAATTATACAAAACACAACAGGCGCTTCAAAGCCAACATGCCGGGAGGTTCCCTGGCTCTGCTAAAGTCTCAAAGCAAACACTAGAATTTGTGTAAGGGAAGCTGGGAGATGACAGTATTGAAACGAACCCGTGTAAGCTGAAGAGCGGTGAAAGGGAAGAGTACAGGACAGAATGAGAATAAGCATAGATTATAAAAGCTGACTACAGAACAAGCGACTTTAAATGGGGTCTCTGCCAGGAACTCCACTGCAGGCAGCCTTGCATCCTAAGTGCTGGGACGGTCAAGCAAGGCAGAGGCGGAAAACCCCTTCTCATTCAGATGAAACAAAAGCCAGTCAAGCAGCAGGCCAAGGGCGGACAGAGATCCAGAGAGGGACGGCATGTGACGTGGCAGGCCCTGGGCGCCGGGCACAGGGCGCGCGCTGCGGCAGCCTCTGCGTGTCACTGTGTGCCTGAGGCTTCCATGGTGAGGTGCTGGGGCACCCCTGCTCCTGGGATGCTTACACGTGAGTGGAAGAAGACAAACGGGAAGCATCATGAGTTATGCTGTATGCTAACGGCAGGAGGCGCTGTGCAAAGAAACAGGGCAAGGCCGGGTGGCAGGGGCACGCTGCACTTCCCACAGGGCAGCAAGGCAGGCCTCACCAGCACGGTGCCAGGGCAGGGCCCGCAGGATCTGGAGACAGTGACTCAGGGACAGGAAACACTTGCACAGCAGGCCTAACCAGGGGCCTGTCGGGCAGGTCAAGGGACAGTGTTAGAGGCCCAGATGAACAGAGGTTAGGGCCGGGTGCAGTGGCTCACGCCTGTAATCCCAAAACTTTGGGAGGCTGAGGTGGGCGGATCACTTGAGACCAGGAGTTCGAGAACAGCCTGGCCAACATGGTGAAACCCCATCTCTACTAAAAATACAAAAATTAGCTGGGCGTGGTGGTGGACGCCTGTAATCCCAGCTACTCGGGAGTCTGAGGCAGGAAAATCGCTTGAACCTGGGAGGAAGAGGTTGCAGTGAGTTGAGATTGTGCCACTGCACTCCAGCCTGGGCTACAGAGCGAGCCTCCATGTAAAAAAAAAAAAAAAAAAAAAGACCTCAAGTGAACTGGGAGGCAGGCCAGAAGCAGCGTATTCAGAAGGCAGCAAACAGAGGGCCAAAAACGAAGGAAAGCCGGAGGAAGGGACATCCACTCCCGGGCTGCTCAGCAGCCACTCCAGGAGCCAGGAGAGGGCGGGGTCCCACCTTCGAGGCACTGAGGACAAGTGACCGTCCACCGGGAGTACTGTCCACCTGGAGTACCGCCCACCTGGAGTTCCACACACACAAAAATAGCTGTCAGGACACAGAGAAAAGGCATGTACAAGCAAAAATCAAGTTTGCCAGCAAGGAAAATTCTAGATGAACCTGAAGCTAAAGGAAAGTGACCCCAAATGGAAGGCCCGAGACACCAGAAGGGATAAGAAAAGAGAAACACAGAAGGAAATCTAAACAAGCGCTGACTCGAGAGAAGTAACACATTCCTGCGGGAGCCCCAAGGGGAGGTAGCACCCACACAAGGCACAGCAGCACCCGCGCCAGGACGGGGCGGCCGAGGTCTCCGCGTGGATCCGGAGGTGGCACAGACAATGATTAACTTCTTCTTTATTTATTCTTTAGCCGGGCAGCCTCCGGAGCCAGAGTTCACTCAGAGACTCCCTCATGGCAGAAGCTGATAAGTGCATGTTACCATTTCCAGGGGAGCCCCTGTACTTTCCCAGCACAGTGTGTATGTACTTGAGATAAAACAACTGAATTTTTTAAAACTCCATTTAATAAATTCAAAAGGCAATGAGAGAAAAAAAATAAGAAAATGTAGGACAAATAAAAGCACCAAAGAAAACATGTAAAAAATCTGTAAATCTGTGTATCCATCTAGGCATCTCTTAACTAGAAAGATGAAACTAGCGCATTCCCATCAAAAGACTTAGTCTTCTTAGATTTGACTTTTTAAAAATCCAGCTACGTGCTATCGATGGTGCACGTGTCTTAAACAAAAGTTTTCAGAAAAATGTAAAATCATAGAAGGAAAAAGTACTAGGTGAATACTCTCTAAAAGACAGCTGGGGTGGCCATGCCAGTATCAGACAAAATAATCAAAGGCAAGAGGCCTTTATCTTCCAAGAGGCCCGTGGGTCCCCACACAGTGAAAAGATGTGATTTCCAGGCAAGCACAGCAATTCCACACCTGTACAGACTCACAACCCGGCCTAAAAAATCCAGCGCAAAGGTTCACAGGAACCCAGAGAGAAAGGACTCGTGAGGAGGCGGTGAGTGCGTTCCCCGCTGGCTCAGGTGCAGTCAGCAGGAACGGACGCCCTCCCAGGAGCAGCCCACCAGAGCCAGCGGAGACGGGTAAGTGCCACTGGCTCAGACACACAGGATGCAGGAAAATCCACGGGCTCTTCACAACACTCAGGGGAGAGAAAGCCCACACACATCTACAAAGAAAAGCAACTCTCTCCTTGAGGTACGGGAAGATGAGGGAAAAGCATCTCACTTGCCTTTCTTTCACGAATTGTGTTTCAGGACAGCCAGCCGACACCGGTTGATGGGGAAAGCTAATCTTTACAAACAATCCCAGTTAATAAACACCGAAGAAGTGATAAAGTTCAGAAACTACCCTCTGCCATCCCTAATGAAGTCACCGATTCGGCAGGAATTATCAACGATGTGAAGAGTGAGGGGACCTGGACAGGAACAGGCCTCTCAGGGAGGAAGGGAGGGGCCAGGCCGCCTCCAGCTGGACTCCATGGCCAACCAGCACCTCCAGAAGCAGGACAAGGAGTCAGAGCAGCCTGGACACGGCACAGCGCACCCACCTCTACCAAGGAGGCCTCTCTGACGGCACCGCGGTGGCTGCAGCGGAGTCTCCCGCAAACGTCCCGAGATCTCACTGCAGAAGGCAGGGGTCCACACGGTACTCCTCGATACTCCTCGCGGGGGCCCGCACGGTACCCCTCGCAGGGGCCCCCATGATACTCCTCACAGGGGTCCACACAGTACCCCTCGCAGGGGCCCCCACGGTACCCCTCGCAGGGGTCCACATGGTACTCCTTGCAGGTACTCACCCATGCTTTCTGATAATATGCAGACTATATTGAAAAAAGGTTATCTTTCCAAAATACTGGCCTTTTTGAAACGTGAGGGAAGCACTGCACAGGGCTGAAGCATCCCTTAGTGGCTATTCAGGGAACCATTATCCTGAAGATCTAAACACGGTATGATTCTCTCAGAACGATGTCGGGCTGGCTAGCTTCACACGTCCTCTCCACACCTACCCACCCGGGCCCCTGAAGCTCCCTCTACCCAAGGACAAAAGAACCCTCCCAGGACCCCATTAGCGGCCCCTCTGCTCCTTCACGGCCCATGGGATCTTGCCGTCTCCCCTTATCACTAGGGGGAGGCAACGGCTAGACCACAGTCAGGGTCTCCCGAGCCAGAGTCCTGCCCCCGGACCCTGGGGAGCATCTCTTTCTGCTGGAAAGCTGAGCGAGCGCCCTGCTTAACCTCCTGCCTCTCTGGCACCACAGGTGTAACAGAAAGAGGACATGATAAATACTGTGTCAAGACATCCTGCAAAAGCAGGGCTCCTCTAGGTGCTAGTAACTGGGTAAAGGCCCACTATGGGTTAATTCAGAGGGGCTGGGGTGGGTCATGCTCAGCGAAGCAGGCTGGTGCCAAGGCGGGCCCTGCCTTGCGTGTGCCAGGCAACACTTTACAGAGTGCTGCGCTGAGCCGGTAAACTCCAGGGCAAGTCCAGTCCTCCTGTGCCCAGGACCCTCCGGCGGCCTCCAGCTCCTGCCTCCCTCCATCCTCGGCCCCTGGGGCTCCCTCCTCTCCACCTCCAGACCCCACACCTCTCTTTCCGTGCCCTGCCCTCCCAGCCCAACCCCTACTCCCATTCCTCCTCCGAGAGATGTCACGTCCTCACCCCAACACCCAGCCCTGGTGAGGCCCATTTACAAACTCTCCCAGCACCTGACGCTTAAGATCACAGACCCACCGGGCCGTCACCACACAGCTCAGCTGTCCTTATGTGCTGCCATGTCTACCGTGCTGCCCTGGAAGACCCCAGTGGCAGGAACCACCTGGTTGTCCCCTGCATCATGGCCATCCTGAACGCCACAGTTGGTAGCGCTGGTTGATTAAGTCACATGTACTCCAAGCAACACCTGAGACCCCCGTCGCTGACAACACCTTCTTAAGAGACCCTGGCAGCTCCGAGCCAGACCTCATGTTACTATGCGTTTACCGGTCAACGGGGGTGCCCCTGAAATACCTGCTCGTCTACATGATGGAAACAGCCCAGGAGGCACTGGGCAAGAGGAGATTCTAACGACACCTCAGCACTTGCCAGCACAGGCCCTGCGTGTGAGAACATCTCCTGCCGCTCCCACTTCCTCATCGCGGGTGTAACAGCGCTGCACGCCGGTGCCCCTCAGAACAGGAAGGGCCTGCCTCCCACTGCTCCCTGCCTGCTCAGCACCTGATGCATTCAAAATCAGTCCTACACCCCAGTGGGGTTCCAGATGAGGAACAAGTTCCCAGGAGGCAGAGGATGTCTCCCAGACCACACAGCAAGGAAGGGGCCATCCTGCCTGGCCACCATGCCCCCCTGCTCTCCAGGAGGACACAACAGCAGGGTGCTGGTTCCCTTGTTGCTCTGAGTCTCCTGTTAGGCAGAAAGGAGCACTTGGCTGCCACGGCAACTTGCGGGGACTCACTGTGGTGGAGTAAAGATGAAGAGGTAGAGACGCTGCCATCAGAGGCCGTCCAGGACCTCTGCCGACCCGTAGGCTCCACACCTGAGTCTCATAAGTGTCAGGAGGTTTCCTTCAAAGTCCTCAGAAAAAGCAGCTATGCCCAAAACCTGGGGCTTCATTCTAAACTCAGAAAAAATGTTCTACCTGAAGAATTATCTCCTCGGGAGAAACACCAGGACTTGTGGATACAGTGTTAAGGGTGGGGAGCCCTGGTGACCCCTCCACCACGTCCAGTACTGGGCTGCGCGAGGGCAGGGACCTTGGAGCATCGTGAAAAAGGACTTTTTCCACCCACGGCATGTTCAGAGCCACTGTTGATAAAAACTGTACCGCTCACGACAGCCTGCCCCAGCCCAGCCTCAGTGAGTGACACGGTTTGAATCTGTGTCCCCGCCAAATCTCACGCTGAATTATGATCCCCAATGTTGGAGGTGGGGCCTGGCAGGGTGGGTGTGTGGGTCACAGGGACAGATCCCTCGTGGCTTGGTGCTGTCCCGGTGATAGTGAGTTCTCACAAGATCTGGTCATTACAGTGTGTGGCACCTCCCCACCCCCAACTCTCTTGCTGCTTTCGCCATGTGACGTGTAAGCTCCCACTTGGCCTTCCGCCATGACTGGGAGCTTCCAGAGGCCTCCCCAGGAGCAGATGCCGGCACCATGCTACCTGTACAGCCTGCAGAACCGGGAGCCAATTAAATCTCTTTTCTTACAAATTACCCAGTCTCGGTATTCCTTTACAGCAATGCAAGAAGGCCCTAACAGTGAGCCAGGAGGCCACTCACGCCAGGAGCCCATCATCTCTGAGTCAGTCTACACCAGCTCTCCTGCAATATTAATGCTATAGAAGAAACTGCCAGGCAACTCTCAGGAGAGAATTCAGAGCAGGAAAGGTTCTCTGAAGTTCCTGGCGCCTATCCTCTCATTTGCAAATGAAGAAACTGAGGTTTTGCACGGTGGCCACTAACCGGGGACACAATTGGGCCCAAGAAGTGGTCACCACTGCCCTCACTCTGTGTAAATGAGAAAGAGGAAACAGCCATCATCTATGGGACCAACTAGAGTGCAGGCCCGCCTCCACCTGGGGGGCCATCAGGGTGCGGGACCCGCCTCCACCTGGGGGGGCCATCAGGGTGCGGGGCCCGCCTCCATCTAGGGTGCCATCAGGGTGCGGGACCCGCCTCCACCTGGGGGGCCATCAGGGAGCAGGGCCCGCATCCATCTAGGGGACCATTAGGGTTCAGGGCCCGCCTCCACCTGGGGGACCATTAGGGTGCGGGGCCCTCCTCCATTCGGGAGTCAGAGCTCGGGGCCGCCTCCATCTGGGCACCGGGCCCTCCTCCATCTGGAGACCATTGGGGAGCGGGGCCTGCCTCCCTCTGGGGCACCATGGGGCACGGGGCCCGCCTCCATCTGGGGCTCACAACGGGCGCAGGCCCCCTCCCCCGGGGCTGCCTCCCCAAAGCTCTGCCCCGGCACGGCGGTGAGCTCAAGCCTCCTGCAGCGTGGGCGCGTCCGTCCGGCCCGCCCCGCCCCGAGGTGTGGACGCCGCCGCTCCCCTCCGGCCGGCCAGGCGCCCCGCGTGCCCCGGGAGAGCCGCGGAGTCGGCCCGCCAGCCGCAGCTGAGCAGTAGCCCTGACCCAAGGCCCCGCCCGCAACCGCAGGTCACCGCCCCCGCCCGACCCTCGCCCGGCTGCCTCACCGGCCCGCGCTGAGTGCTGACGGTGGTCGCCATGGTGCTGCGGCGGCCCCCGTGGCTCGCCGACCCGACAGTGACGCGCCGGGCGACCTCCTGCGCCCCCGCCGGAGCCTGCGACGGAGACAGTTGTCACCTCGAGGCCGCCGCCGCCACAGTCAGCTGACAGCCGCCGCGCCCCGCCCCCGGCACCGCCCCACTGCGCAGGCGCCGCGCCAGGCACCGCCCCTTCCGGCTCTCGCGCGCACGCGCGCTCCAGGGTAGGGCAGGCGCAGCCTCTCGCCCGGCGCCTGCGCACCTGCTCTCTCCTCGAGCCCTGCAGCCCGGCGAAATGGCTCCCGGCGGGGCCGTTTGCGCATGCCCAGTCATGACGGTTGTCGGCGCGGGCCCTAGCGTGGCGGCGCTGCAGTCTGGGCAGTGGGTTGGTTCCTCCTCGGTCCTCTGTCGAGTGGCGACAGGGCCTAGCCACCTGGCGGGGGTGACCTTCGGACGTGCGACCCGCTCGGAGAAGGGAGGGAACTGTGGCCCGCAACAAAGCAGTGACAGGCCCGACATCCCCTGCAGGGCGATCTTTCCCTCAGCTGCCTGCCGGAGGAAGGGCCTTTCTGTTTCACAGGGCTAAAGATGGGGCGCGGTTCCTCCACGGGGCGGCTGCCGGGTGAACGGAACGGGGATGGAGGCGCTGCCAGAAGAGCCCGAGCTCGAGCCCGCCCTGCCCTCGGCCTCCCCGCCGCGCCGCTCCGCAGGAGCCCCGCTCCTCTCCTGCTCGCTCCGGAGAACCCCAGTCCGGCCTGACCTCGGCCCTCGCGGTCAGGCGCTCCAACCAGAGCGACTCCAGCTCGAACAGCGCTGGGTAAACTGAGGCTGAACCCCGCTGGCTGCATCCCCAGGAGTCGGGCGTTTACGGTCACGGGAACAGGTTAATAAACTTTTACGCAGCAGACCCGGAACTTAGGTCCCGATGTCCGGGTATCTTAAGAACAAGAAGCATTCTTAGTTGAAGTTTCGCTTTAAAGATAATGATACAGATGCTTGCGGAGGACAGGCGTTATGCAAAGATTGGCAATCCTTTGACGAGCCCAGGTAGTACAGCACGTCTCCCCCGTGATGTTTTTTGGCTTTTATCTTACATATAAACAAGCGTACCCAGGTGGACGCCTTCCTCCTCGTGCTTTTGGGAACACCCTGCTCTATGGAGTAGCCATTCTTTTATTCCTTCACTGCCTTAATAAACTTGCTTTCACTTTACTCTGTGGACTGGCCTGGAATTCTTTCTTCCACAAGATCCACGAATCCTCTTTTGGGGTCTGGATCAGGACCCTTTTCCGGTAACACAACCACTCCACTAAAAACTCTTTGTCAGTGATCTCTATATTGTTAGTGGTCAGTTCTCAGTCCTCGTCCTCCGGGAACTACAGCAAAATCGATAGTCATTCTTGCTACACATGCTTTCTTCACTCCCCATCCAGGACACCATGTGCTCTCACTTTCCTCTTATCCCAAAGACCACATCTTTGGGTCTCGGTTACCAGTCTCTCCTTTTAAAACCGGCAGCCTGGCCGCTTGCCTGTTTTGATGGGGTGTAGAGAAAAAGAACGAAAGCCCCTTCCTCAAGTTGTAGCTTAACATCCAGCCAATCCACAGCACAAGACCCAAGAAGCTATTAACCACAAGTTCCTGCTTTGGGGGCCTAGGGACTTCCCCGGGCCCCACATGTGCAGTTAGACTTATACTTCAACTATTGTTACCCCTTCCTCATTTTCACGCTAAAAATCACACCTAGGGGTAGAGATTTAAAATGTGAATGTTGCATGCAATGCATGAAGAAGCATGCAAAGCTACTGAGAAGCACTAGACAAACCCCTCCTATCCATGCCTGGACCAATCCCTTCCCTGTGAAACTAACCCACGTGCCACCCCCTGGCGGCGGGGCCCCCCACCGTTTTCCTTTCATGGTGCTGACTTCCTTGTGCACAAGCTAAATAAAGATTTCTCTTTCTCCTCGCTGCTATGTCTGCTGATCTCTCTTTATTTCTATCCTGGGAGATTACAAGATGCCAGGGCACACTGGTAACACTTTGACTCCTTAACATCGGAGTGCCTTACCTCAGGGCTCAGTCCTTGCACATCTTTTCTATCTACATCCTCAGTGAGCTCATCCAGTTCCATTCCTTTAAATGCCATCCATATGCTGATGATCCTAAAATCTGTATCTCCCACCAGGACCTCCGCTAAACACTAGATTCAGCTCTTGCCTTAATATTATTCCCCTATGGGGTGGACAGGTTGTAAGGTAGACATATGATCCCTGCCTCCTGGTGTTCACATCCTTGAATAATCCTCTTGTCTTGAGGGTGGACAGAGCCTGTGGCTTGCTTTTAAACAACAGAATATGGCAGTGGTGATGGGATGTCCCTCCCATGATTACCTGATGTTATAAAAGACTCCATCTTGCTCTCAGACTTATTCTCAAGGGTCTCTCAGCTGCTGGCTTTGAAGAGGCGAGGTGCCATAATTCCTACAACTTCAAGGAAACAAATTCTGCCAGGAATCTGAGGGGGCTTTGATCCTTCCCCAGTCAAGCCTCCAGATGAGAATGCAACCCAGCTGACAACTTAATTATAGCCTCGTAAGACCCAAGAATAAGCCAGCTAAGCTGTGCCTGAACTCCTACCCCACAAAAACTCTGAGATAAGTGTGTGTTGTTTTAAGCCACTAAGCTTACAGCCACGTGATCTGACTTAAGCATTATTAGAATTCCAGAAGAAAAAAGGAGAATGAGGCAGAAAATCTGAAGAAATAATGGCCAATAATTCTCCAAGTTAATGGTAGGCACCAAACAAAATATTTAGGAAGCAATGGATTCCAAACAAATAAACAAAACACTTAGTCAGGTCATATTCACACTGCTGATAACAGAAAGCAAGGAGAAACTCTTAAAAGCAGACAGAGGAAAATGACACATTACATCCAGAAGAATGAAGATTAGAATAGCAGACTTCTCATTGGAAAGAAGGTAAGTCATGTGAATGGAGTGACATCTTTAAAGTGCTAACAGAAAAAAAATTATATGTCAATTGAAATTTCTTGCAAAATGATATGGCGATGTATTTCAGAACAGTGGTTATCTATGTGTGTTGGAAGTGAGGGACTGGAGATTGACTAGACAGGACCATGAGGGAACTTTCTGGGGTGGTAGAAAGATTATATACCTTGATTGGGATGGAGTGGTTATACCAATGTGTAAATTTATCAAAACTCACATGATTGTAAACTTATGATTTGTGCATTCTGATGTATGTATGTAAGTTTTATCTCAATAAAAGGTTAATGACAAAAAGAAAACACTTTCAATATATATGACAGAGTTAGTCTAAATGTATTAAGAGTGCCTACAAATTTCTAAAAAGAAGACATACAGGCTGGGCGTGGTGGCTCATGCCTGTAATCCCAACACTTTGGGAGGCCAAGGTAGGTGGATCACTTGAGGTCATGAGTTCAAGACCAGCCTGGCCAACATGGTGAAACCCTGTCTCTTCTAAAAATACAAAAAAAAAAAAAAAAAAATAGCCTGGCGTGGTGGCACATGCCTGTAATCCCAGCTACTTGGGAGGCTAAGGAAGGAGAATTGCTTGAACCTGGCAGGCAGAGGTTGCAGTGAGCTGAGATCATGCCACTGCACTCCAGCCTGGGCGACAGAGCAAGACTCTTTCTCAAAAAAAAAAAAAAATGTCTATTCATGTCCTTTGCCCACTTTTAAGTGGGATTTTTTGATTTTTTACTGTTGAGTTGTTTGTATATTCTGGATATTAGTCCCTTGTTGGATGAATACTTCGCAAATATTTTCTCCCATTCAGCAGGTTGTCTCCTCACTCTGCTGATAATTCCCTTTGCTGTGCAGAAACTTTTTAGTTTAATATAGTCCCATTTGTCTATTTTGTTTTTATTGCCTGTGCTTTTAAGATCTTAGCCATAAAATCTTCGCCTAGACCAGTGTCCTTAAGTGTTTTTCCTGTGTTTTCTTCTAGTAGTTTTATACTTTCAGGTCTTACTTTAAGTCTTTAATTCATCTTGATTTGACTTTTGCAGATGGTGGGAGATAGGAGTCCAGTTTCATTCTTCTTCATCTGGATGTCCAATTTTCCAAGCACCATTTATTGAAGAGGGTGTCCTTTCCCCACTGTGTGTTTTTGGTGCCTTTGTCAGAAATCAGTTGGCTGTAAGTATGTGGATTTATTTCTGGATTCTCTCTTCTGTTCCATTGGTCTATGTGTCTGTTTTTGTATGAATACAATGCTGTTTTGGTTATGATACTTTTGTAGTTTATTTTGAAGTTGGATAATGTGATGCCTCCAGCTTTGTTCTTTCTGCTCAGGATTGCTTTGGCTATTTGGGCTCTTTTTGTTCCATAAATATTTTAGGATTGTTTTTTCTATTGCTGTGAAAAATGATGTTGGTATTTTGATAGGCATTGTATTGAATCTATAGATTGTTTTGGGCAGTATAGCCATTTTAATAATATTAATTTTTCCAATCGGTGAGCATGGGACATCTTTCCATTTGTTTGCATCATCTTCAATTTTTTTCATCAGTGTTTTGTAGTTTTACTTGTGGAAGTCTTTCAACTACTTGGTTAAATTTATTCCTATTTTTTTTTGTAGCTGTAGCAAATGGAATTATCTTCTTGATTTCTTTGTCAGCTATTTCATTGTTGGTGTATAGAAGCACTACTGATTTTTGTATGTTTATTTTATATCATGCAACCTTACTGAATTCATTTACCAGATCTAATAACTTTTTGGTGGAGTCCTTAGGTTTTTCCAAATATAAGATTATATCATCTTCAAAGAGGGACAATTTGAATTATTATTTTCCTCTTTTTTTCTTTTTTTTTGCCTTTTATTTCTTTCTCTTGCCTGATTGCCCTGGCTAGGACTTCCAGTATTATGTTGAATAGAAGTGGTGAAAGTAAGCATCCTTGTCTTGTTCCAGATCTTAGAGGAAAGGCTTTCAACTTTTCCCCATTCAGCATGATGTTAGCTGTGGGTTTGCCAGATATGGTCCTTACTATATTGAGGTATGTTCCTTCTGTGCAAGTTTGTTGAGAGTTTTCATCATAAAGGGATGTTGAATTTTATTAAATGCTTTTTTCTGTATCTATTGAGATGATCATATGATTTTTGTCCTTCATTCTGTTGATGTGATGTATCACGTTTATTGATTTACATATGTTGAACCATCCTTGCATCCCTGGGATAACTCCCACTTGGTCATGGCATATTATCTTTTTTGTGTGCTGTTGGATTCAGTTTGCTAGTATTTTATTGAGAATTTTTGTGTCTATGTTCACCAGGGACATTGGCCTATAGTCTTATTTTCTCCTTACATACTTGTCTGGGTATCATGGTGATGCTGGCCTTGTAGAATGAGTTAGGGAGAATTCCCTCCTCTTAATTTTTTTGGGAATAGCTTGAGGAGAATTGGTATTAGTTTTTCTCTGAACGCTTGGTCGAATTTGATAGTGAAGCCATCTGGTCCTGGACTTTTCTGCATTAGGAGACTTTTTTGTTTTGTTTTGTTTTGTTTTGAGATGGAGTCTTGCTCTGTCGCCCAGGCTGGAGTGCAGTGGCGCAATCTCTGCTCACTGCAACCTCCGCCTCCCAGGTTCATGCCATTTTCCTGCCTCAGCCTCCCATGTAGCTGGGACTACAGGCGCCTGCCACCATGACCGGCTAATTTTTTTGCATTTTTAGTAGAGACAGGGTTTCACCATGGTCTCGATCTCTGTACCTCGTCATCTGCCTGCCTTGGCCTCCCTAAGTGCTGGGATTACAGGCATCAGCCACTGCGCCCGGCCTGGGAGACTTTTTATTATAGATTCAATCCCATTACTCATTATTGGTCTGTTCCAGGTTTCTGTTTCTTCCTGATTCAATCTTGGTAAGTTGTATGTGCCTAGGAATTTATCCATTTTCTTTAGGTTTTCCAGTTCATTATTGTGTATAGTTGTTCGTAATAGTTTCTGATGATTTTTTGTCTTCTGTGGTATCAGATGTAATGGTCCCCTTTCTAATTTCTGATTATGCTTATTTGAGTCTCTTTTCTTTTTTCTTTGTTAGTCTAGCAAGAGGTCTATTGATTTTCAATATAACCAACATTTCAAAATAACCAACTTTTTTTTTTTTCAAAATAACCAACATTTTGTTTTGTTGATCCTTTGCTCTTTTTACTCTCTTATTTTGTTTAGTTCTGCTCTGATCTTTATTATTTCTTTCCTCTACTAATTTTGGATTTGGATTGTTCTTGCTTTTCTAATTCCTTGAGGTACATCATTTGATGATTTATTTAAAATCTTTCTATTTTTTGAGGTAAGCATTTACTGCTATGAACTTCCCTCTTAGCTCTGCTTTTGCTGTATAGTTTTTTCTATGTTGTGCTTTTATTTTCATTTATTTCCAGTAAGTTTTTTGGTTTACTCCTAAATGCCTTCCTGATCCAGTGGTTGTTCAGGAGCACATTGTTTTTTGTTTTTGTTTTTGTTTTTTTTCTTTTTTTGAGACGGAGTCTCACTCTGTCGCCCAGGCTGGAGTGCAGTGACATGGTCTTGGCTCACTGCAACCTCCACCTCCCGGGTTCAAGCAATTCTCTTGCCTCAGCCTCCCAAGTACCTGGGATTACAGGCGCCCACCACCATGCCCGGCTAATATTTGTATTTTTGTAGAACATGGTTTCACCATGTTGGCCAGGCTGGTCTTAAACTCCTGACCTCAGGTGATCCCCCCGCCTTGGCTTCCCAAAATGCTGGATTACAGGCATGAGCCACTGCACCCTGCAGGAGCACATTGTTTAATTTCCATGTATTTGTACAGTTTCCAAAGTTCTCGTTATTGATTTCTAGTTTTTATTCTATTGTAGTCTGAGAAGGTTCTTGATATTATTTTGATTTTTAAAAACTTGTTGAGGCTTGTTTTGTGTTCTGACATAGGGTTGAACCTGGAGAATGTTCTGTGTAGCTGATGAGAAGAATGTGTATTCTGTAGCTGCTGCACGGAATGTGCTGTAAACATCTGTCAGGTCCATTTGGTCTAGTGTGTAATTTACATTTGGTCCAATGTTTCTTTGTTAATTTTCTGTCTAGATGATCTGTCTAATGCTGAGAGTGGGCTATTGACGCTCCTATTATTGTATTGGAGTCTACGTCTCCCTTTAGATTAAATGGTGTTGATTTTATATATCTGGGTGCTCTGGTGTTGGGTGCATATTTGTGTAGAATTGCTAGTCCTTTTGCTGAGTTGATCCCTTTATCATTATATAATAACCTTCTTTGTCTCTCTCTCTGTTTTGTTTTGTTTTTTTTGACACAGTCTCACTCTGTTGCCCAGGCTGGAGTACAGTGGCGCAATCTCGGCTCACTGCAACCTCCATCTCCCAGGTTCAAGCGATTCTCCTGCCTCAGCCCCCCAAGTAGCTGGGACTACAGGCACATGCTGCCACGCCCAGCTAACTTTTGTGTTTTTAGTAGAGACAGAGTTTCACCATGTTGGCCAAGCTGGTCTCAAACTCCTGACCTCAGGTGATCCATCCGCCTCCTCCCAAAGTGCTGGGATTACAGGCGTGAGCCCCTGCACCCAGCCACCTTCTTTGTCTCTTTATACTGTTTTTTACTTAGATTCTTATTCTTTGTTCTGGACAAAAAGCCCTGTGTTCCCAGCATAGGAGAAATACAAGGTGCCATTCGCCACCATATTTTCATGGGTGGGTCAACTAAGATATATTGCCACCTACAGCAAGAATTGAAGCATTAGCTACCAACTGTGACTTGTTAGGGAAAACAATAACCAGAAACAGAATATACAACTGCTCTATTCTCCATTTCTGTATCTGTGATGAGGCCTGTGGTGATACTCATAGCTTCCTTAGTCCACCATCCATTTCACGTTCTCCTTTTCTTTGCTAAGTGCCTCAGCCCTATCCGCCCTGAAGGTGGTGTAGATAAGAAGTTCCTGTCAAGTCTGCACTGAGGCTTTCCCAATTTCCATCAGAGAAAGAGGTGAAAAGGCTCTCTTTTAGCGAGGCCTTGGTGTTGCTATGAGCTGGCCTGGCACTCCCAGTTAGGGCGCCGTGTTCTGTTAAACATATCGACTTTGCTGGAGAGTCGCGTCATACAAAGCCAGTCTGTGGTTGTGACGCCTCAGTACAAAAACACACCACTCTCTAATCACGTCTGAATACTGTCCAAGACAAATGACCACATCACCTACCCTGGCCAGTCTGACAGCTGCTGCTTTACTAACTACAACTTTAGCCTCCGCCTACTCTTCCCTCCTTCTAGAGAAAAATTACTAAGAAGCCTAATCAGCTAGGTGCAGTGGCTCACACCTGTGATCCCAGCACTTTGGGAGGCCGAGGTGGGCAGATCACCTGAGGTCGGGAGTTCGTGACCAGCCTGGCCGACATGGTGAAACCCAGTCTCTACTAAAAATACAAAAAATTAGCCGGGCGTGGTGGTAGGTGCCTGTAATCCCAGCTACTCCGGAGGCTGAGGCAGGAGAATTGCTTGAACCCAGGAGGCGGAGGTTGCAGTGAGCTGAGATGGCACGATTGCACTCCAGCCTGGGTAAGGACAGCAAAACTCCTTCACAGAAAAAAAAAAAAAAAAAAGGAAAAACAAAAAGAAGCCTACTCATGGAACTACCCCTGCTTCCTGACTGCATCAAACCCAGAACAAAACCCCACTTCCTTAAACCCTCCCCAGAATACCTCCACAAGCCCCAATGCCACTGTAAGTCCTTTCCGGTGCCCTCTTACGAAGTTAACCTGTAGTTCTCCAGGGTGTGTGTGTGCTCTCCTTCACTGCAACGAGTGATAAACCCAGCTTGCTCCATTACAGGTGTGTTCCCAGTGGTCTTTCGCTGGAGGCATTGGCACATCCGAAGCTTGAATTGTCCTGTTCCTTTGTGAACGCTTTCTGGAGCCGTCAGAGGAAGCCAGCCCATTCCACAGTCTTTGTAATCCCCATTTTTGCTGAAGCAACTGCGTGTCTCAGCCATGTGATTCCCCATCTATTTTCCCTCCACGTGCATGGTGCCCCATGCTGCTGTTGATGAGAACGTGAGGAACTGAGGTGCTACTGTGTGATGTGAGCTCCCAGTGTTCTGTTTCCCCCAGCAAGGATTTATCCCCGTGTTCATCAAATGTATGAGCAATCCAGTCCTGGAATCCCATTCTGAGAGTCTGTTTCTTGGGACCAATTCCGATACCAATGACTGTATCAGTCAAGGGCCCATTATGAAGCCGATGGCATACTCAGAAGGATAACTAATCGGGTCCATCATGTAAGGGGCTTGAAAGTTGATGCTCTGGGCCGGGCACGGTGGCTCATGCCTGTAATCCTAGCACTTTGGGAGGCCAAGGCGGGTGGATCACGAGGTCAGGAGATCAAGACCAACCTGGCTAACACGGTGAAACCCTGTTTCTACTAAAATACAAAAAAATTAGCCAGGCATGGTGGCAGGCACCTGTAGTCCCAGCTACTCAGGAGGCTGAGGCAGGAGAATGGTGTGAACCCAGGAGGCGGAGCTTGCAGTGAGCCAAGATTGCACCATTGCCCTCCACCCTGGGTGACAGAGCGAGACTCTGTCTCAAAAAAAAAAAAAAGTTGATGCTCTGACCTAACAACAAGCAAACAGCTGAAAAAAAAAAAAACCTGAAAAATCAACAGCTTTTCTTAGAACCATCACAGAAGTGAGCTCTCTGGGCAAACTGCTGCCCCGAAAATTAGAGAGATAAACAGGTGGATACAGACAATCACAACTTACCAAAGCGGAGATCCACCTCTGCAAGAACCAGCACTGGAGGAGGAAAACCTGAACTGTAGTTCGTAAATTTCTGGAGGCTCAGTGTCCACAGGTCTGAGAGGGAAAACTTTCAGGAGGAGGAGGGCCCAGGCAGTCATCAGCCCCCACAACAGTCATCAGCCCCCCCATAGTCATCAGGACCCCCCCACCCTGCTCTTTCAGGAGGATCTAGGCAGTCATCAGCCCCCCACAGTCATCAGCCCCCCTCACCCTGCTCTTTCAGGAGGACCGAGTCAGTCTTCAGCACCCCACAGTCATGAGGCGCCCCCCAATTTCTGCTTTTGTGAGTTTTACCTCCAGGAATTCTACCAGATTCTCGCAGTGAAGAGCAGAGAAAAATCTCCCGGGGTTTACAGCAGGCAGAGAGGAAAAGGAACCATTTTGAAATAGGTTAAAACATTCTGTTCTTCTTAAAAAGGCCTCACCTCAGCAGAAACTAGTTTACCAGAGCCTACCCTACTGGGGTTTTATCAGAACCTCACTGACCTGTGGGAAGGAAAATGCCCAGCTCCAGCTCCCTCTAGCTTTCCATGTTGGAGGAGGGAACTCCTCAACTCCAGCTCCCCTTATGGACACTGTGCCGCCTAAAGGGGTGAAAAACAAAAAACAAACCTGAGAAGCACTTATGAGGTTCACAACCCAGCAGGACAGACTCACCGGGAGACCTAATCGCAGGCCTGTAAAATGCTTTCCTTCTCTTCACACCTCACCACTATGTTACTAAAGGCCTATTTACTGTAGTTCCCTTGACTCAGTGAATCATGTCTGCCTTTCAACAAAGAATTACAAGGCGTACTAAAAGTCAAAAACAAAACAAAGAAACAAAAATGCCATTTGCAGAGATGGAATAAGCACCAGAACTGAGCTGGACCCTGGTGTGATAGCAATGTTGGAATTATCAGATCATGAATCTAAAACAACCATGATTAACATGCTAAGGGCCCTAGTGGATAAAGTAGACAACGTGCAAGAACAGATGGAAAATGAAGGCAGAGAGATGAAAATTCTAAGAAAGAATAAAAAAGAAATGCTAAAGATAAGAATAGTGGCTATAAAAATTAAAATTCCCTTTGATGAGCTTATTAGTAGGCTGGACATGGCTGAGGAAAGAATCTCTGAACTTGAGGCTACATTAATAAAGCCTGAAAAAAACAGGACAGAATATCCAAGAACTGTGGGACAACTACAGAGGTGTAAATATGTGTAATGGGAATGGGAATACCGGCAGGAGAAGAAAGAAAGGAACAGGGCCGGGTGCAGCGGCTCACGCCTGTAATCCCAGAACTTTGGGAGGCCGAGGCGGGTGGATCATGAGGTCAGGAGATCGAGACCATCCTGGCTAACACGGTGAAACACTGTCTCTACTAAAAATACAAAAAAAACCTAGCCGGGCGTGGTGGCGGGCGCCTGTAGTCCCAGCTACTCAGGAGGCTGAAGCAGGAGAATGGCGTGAACCCAGGAGGCAGGGCTTGCAGTGAGCTGAGATCACACCACTGCACTCCAGCCTGGGCAACAGAGTGAGACTCCGTCTCAAAAAAAATAAAATAAAATAAAAATACAAAAATTAGCCAGGCTTGGTGGTGGACACCTGTAATCCCAGCTACTCAGGAGACTGAGGCAGGAGAATCACTTGAACCTGGGAGGTGGAGGTTGCAGTGAGCCAAGATCACACCATTGCACTCCAGCCTAGGCAACAAGATCAAGACTCCATCTCAAAAAAAAAAAAAAAAAAAAAGAACAGAAGCAACATTTGAGGTAATTATGCCTGAGAATTTCTCCTAACTAATTGTCACACACCAAACAACAGATTCAGGAGGATCAGAGAACACCAAGAAGGATAAACAAAAAACAAAAACAATACAAAATAACTATACCTAGTTATATCATATGCAACCTACAGAAAGTGAAAGATCCCTGAGGGAAGCTAGAGTAATACACCTATAGAGGGGCAAAGATAATGATTCCATCTGACTTCTCCTTGGAAACCATGCAAGTAAGAGGAAAGTAGAGTGAAATATTTAAAGTGTTGAAAGGAAAATAAAACTGAACCAAGCTAGAATTCTGTATCCTGTGAAAATCCTTCACAAGTAATGCAGAAACACAGACTTTCTCAGGCAAACAAAAATCGAGAGAATTTGTTGCCAGTACACTTGCCTTGCTAGAAATGCTAAAAGAAGTTCTTCAGACACAAGGAAAATAATACAGGTCAGAAACTCAGATCCACATAAAGAAAGGAAGAGCATCTGAGAAGAAATAATTGAGGGTAAAATAGCTTTTTCTTATTCTTAGTTCATCTAACAGATAATAGCTTGTTCAAAATAATAGCAACAATATATTTGATGATTATAGTTTAAGTGTAAGTGTAATTACACAGTAATTACACAAAATAAAGCAATAATGCAGGGCTGGAAGGGAATAATTAGAATTATGTTGTTATTATAACATACTTGCACTATTCATGAAACAGTATAGTTTTATTTGAAAGAGGACTTTTATGTTAGTTGTAAATGTATATTGTGAACTCTAGGGCAACCATTAAAAAAAAGTAATCTAAAAAGAAGTATAATTGATATGCTAAGAAAGGAGAGAAAATGGAATCATATAAAATTCTTGGTAAAAACCACAAAAGGCAGAAAAAGAGTAGAGACAAAAATAGTAACAAAGAACAAGGGCAATGTATTAGTTTGATTTTATGCTGCTGATGAAGAACATACCTGAGACTGGGTGATTTATATACAAAAAGAGGTTTAATGGACTCTCAGTCCCACATGGCTGGAGAGGCCTCACAATCATGGCAGAAGGCAAAAGCATGTCTTACATAGTGGCAGGCAAGAGAGAGAAGGAAAACCAAATGAAAGGGGTTTCCACTAAAATACCATCAGATCTCATAAAACTTATTCACTACCACGAGAACAGTGTGGGCAAAACCACCCCCATGAGTCAATTAACTCCACCGGGTCCCTCCCACAACATGTGGGAATTATGGGAGCTACAATTCAAGATGAGATTTGGGTGGGGACACAGCCAAACCATATCAGGCAACAAATAGAAAATAGCAACAAACATGGTAGATATTAATCCAACTATAGCAATAATCATTTTAAACATCAATAGTCTAAAAATACCAATTAAAGACAGGGATTGTCAAAGTGGATTAAAAAATAAGACCCAACTATATGGTGACTACAAGAAACTCACTTTAAATATAAAGACATATATAGGCCGGGTGCGGTGGCTCACTCCTGTAATCCCAGCACTTTGGGAGGCCAAGGTGGTAGATCACCTGAGGTCAGGAGTTCAAGACCAGCCTGACCAACATGGAGAAACCCAGTCTCTACTAAAAATACAAAATTAGCCGGGCATGGTGGTGCATGCCTGTAATCCCAGCTACTTGGGAGGCTGAGGCAGGAGAATCGCTTGAACCCAGGAGGTGGAGGTTGCGGTGAGCTGAGATCACGCCATTGCACTCCAGCCTTGACAACAAGAATGAAACTCTGTCTCAAAATGAATAAATAATAAATAAATAAATAAATAAATAAATAAAAAGACATATATAGATTAAAGGTAAATGGAAAGAGAAAGATATACCATGATGAAAAAGAAAACTAGAGTAGCTATACTAATTTCAGACAGAGCAAACTTCAGAGCAAGGAAAATTATTAGGGATAAAGAAGGATATTACGTGATGATAAAGGAATCACTTCTCCAAGAGGATATAACGATCCTTAAAACATATCTGTCTAAAAACAGCACATCAAAATACATGAGGAAAAAACTAATCGGCCGGGTGCGGTGGCTCACACCTATAATCCCAGCACTTTGGGAGGCCAAGGCAAGTGGATCACGAGGTCAGGAGTTCAAGACCAGCCTGGCCAAGATGGTGAAAACCCATCTCTACTACAAATACAAAAATTAGCTGGGCACGATGGCAGGCACCTGTGATCCCAGCTACTTGGGAGGCTGAGGCAGGAGAATCGCTTGAACTTGCAGGGTGGAGGTTGCAGTGAGCCGAGATCAGGCCACTGCATTCCAGCCTTGACAACAGAGTGAGACTCTGTCTCAAAAAACAAACAAACAAAAACAACAACAACAACAAAGACTAATTAAAACTGAGGAATACACTTTAGAGACGTCAACACCCTTTGTCAGAAATAGACAGATACCGCCAGCAGAAAATAAGTAAGGACATAGCTGAACTCCACAGGACCATCAATCAGCTGAATATAATGGACTCCTATAGATTAAATCACCCAACAACAGCAAAATGCACATTTTTCTCAAGCTCTCATGGAATATTTACTAAGATAGACCATATTCTGGGCCATGAAGCACACCTTCACAAATTTAAAACCATAGTACAGTAAGATCAGACCACAGTTAAATTAAATGAGAAATCAATAATATAAAGAAAGCCGGAAAAGATGACTGGGAAGATTGTAATGAATGGACTCTTTACAAAGGAGGGGCAGAGTTCAGTGAATGAACAAGGTGTAGTGAAGCCTCGGGACATTTTTAGCTTCAGGAAGCTGCTACCACTCCTGGCCTTGAAAGGACAAGGGAAGGTCATAGTTACCAGAGAAAGGGACTTATTTGGGGGAAGTTGTGGTCTCACATAGAGGAATAAAGTCACTGCCAAACCACAAGCCTACAAGGAGGGATCTCAGGAAATAGAGAACTCTGACCTCTCTCCTCGCCGCTCATCTCCTGCAGGTGCCTCTCATTAGCCTAACCAGGTGATGCAGCTTGTTAGACACCAGGTTCCTGGGTCACAAAGAAAGGCAGAGAAAGACAGAGAGTGAATTGAGAAACTATACTACACATGCATCCAAATATCAGCCATAACCAGAAGATACAATTTTGTAATGTATCACTGAAAAAAGCAACACAAATAAGGAGGGAACAGAAAATAAGATATTTTCAAAGTGGGCAAAAGTGTGAAGGAAAAATTATAAAACTTTATTGAAAGACATTAATGAAGACCTGAATAAATTGAGGACTATAAACCAGATTCATGGATAGAAAGAGTCAGTATTAAAAATATGTCAATTCTCCCCTAAATCATTCTGCAAAAAGCAATTTCCATTAAAACTCCATAAATGTTTTTAAAAGGAATTTAACAAATGGATTCTAAAATTCATACAAAAAAACCAAAGGCTGAATAATAGCCAAAACATAAAAGAAAGAAAAGGAGAAGGAGGCAGTGGAAGGAAAATGTCAGAGGAGATATAAAAATGTATTATAAAACTATAATTAAGACTGTGATATGGGGATAGACAAATTTCACCAGTGCAACAGAACATGACTATTTGATTTATCAGAGTACAGTCACTGTTGAACAGTTTGGAAAGGAAATATTTTTCAATACATGCTCCACAACAATTAATTGTACGTATGAAAAAAATCCATTTGCACCTCTACCTTATGCCAAACAGAAAAGCAATTCTTAATGGAATTAATCCAATAAATATTTGATGAATTCAGCGTCTACATCATGTTTGGAAAGGATAAAATCAGGAAAAACTGTTGCCTCTCCTCTGATCCATCTCAGAAAGTTTGAGCAGCCACTGAGGTGTCAGGAGATACCCTCCATGAGCAAAGGAGAGCCACTTGGTAGACCAAACATGACAGAAAGGCATTCAGCAGACCAAATGCAGGAGAAAGGCGTCCAGCAGACCAAACGCGGCAGAAAGGTGTCCAGCAGACCAAACGCGGGAGAAAGGCAGCGGGGCGAATGGGTGGAAGAATAAGAGTGAGGTAGGCCAGAAAGAGGGTTTTCAATGCTAGCGTGGAGCATCAGGAACCATCACAATGTATAACAATGAGCCGTATCATGGGGCTTTAAGGAGTGGAGTGGTGTGGCCTTAGAGGTAAGCAGAGATGACATCTTTGTCAAGATAATTAAAGAAGGGGCGGCAGGGTGTGGTGGCTCACGTCTGTAATCCCAGCACTTCGGGAGGCTGAGGCGGGCTGATCACGAGGTCAGGAGTTCAAGACCAGCCTGACCAACATGGTGAAACCCTGTCTCTACTAAAAATACAAAAATTAGCCGGGTGTGGTGGAAGATGCCTGTAATCCCAGCTACTCAGGAGGCTGAGGTAGGAGAATCGCTTGAACCCGGGAGGCAAGGGTGCAGTGAGCTGAGATCGTGCCACTGCACTCCAGCCTGGGCTACAGAGTGAGATTTCATCTCAAAAAAAAAAAAAAAAAAAAAAAAAGAAGGGGCAATTCTGGAGGCCTGGGGTCCAGCCAGATATATTTCTGTTGTACTCTTAGACCACAGTTACGTTAAAATTAGAAATCAATAATATGAAGATAGCTGGAAAAGATGACTGGAAAGATTGTAATGGATGGACTGTTTACAAAGGAGGGGGGGCAAAGTTAAGTGAATGAGTTAAGTGAATGTTCTAAGTGTAGACTGTAAAGGAAATTCTGACTTAAATGTTAGATGCTCCAAGTAATTGCTCCCATTCCCTTAGATAGCAGATGCCAACATCCAGAGCTTGATATGCATGCACATTGACCCTGTGAATCACCTGAGTGAGGTCATCTGCCTGTGGAACCGTCATTGCTTCCAGCCCCGTTCCACGTTGTCATGGGCGTTCCACTCCCCTTGATCTTTCTATTTCTAGATTTCAACTCATAATGGCACACACGGGTCTGAGTAGTCATGGAACATTCTAATGTACCAAGAGCCCCAGACAAGTTTTCTGCATAACGTTAGTGGGATTCTTGAGTGATAATGATACAAAACACCTTCGAGTGTTTAATATGTGCCACCACCGCGCCCGGCTAATTTTTTTGTATTTTTAATAGAGACGGGGTTTCACCGTGTTAGCCAGGATGGTCTCTATCTCCTGACTTCGTGATCCGCCGGCCTCGGCCTCCCAAAGTGCTGGGATTACAGGCATGAGCCACTGCGCCCGGCCAGCAAGACTTTTAATGGCAGTCTTGCAAGACCGGGTGTCTGGTAGGCAGGCACACCCCGGGCAGTTACAGCAGGTAATTGATCTCCTAGCACACAAGCCCTCCCCCAGGTCCTCATTGGTCAAGTACTATGGGTTTACAACCTTCCCCAATGTCACCTGAGTTTCATTTTCCCCCTTATAAGGTTATACCCCGTCCCCTTCCCCGCTTAAGTTTTGATTTTCCAATAACAAAACTTTCTTCCCTTTTATGGGCTGACCCCTCCTCTACATTCTGTTCGCTTATCGTGACCTTCCAGGCGCATGAGCCGTGTGGTTTGTTACATCCTCAGGCTGGCTGCCAGTGCTTAGATTTATCATGCCTTGAAAATGGACCATTTAAAATGTTTTCTCACAATATGATAAAGAAAACAACACTGACATACCACTTTACATCCCTCAGAATAGTAAAAATTAGAAAGGGGTTGGAAATCAAGTTTGGATGAGAGTTGAGGAGATGGGAGGCTCTTGCATCCCTGAGTAGGAACTGGCAGAGGATCTCTGAGAAGTAATATGGACGTGCTTAGTGAAAGTAAATGTGCCCTGTGAGCGCTGTCTCTCGAGAGCATATCCTGTAAACATGCTCACACTGACTCACCGGGGAATGCATTCAAGGCTGTTTTTGCACAGCTGTTTGTGTAGCAGAAATTGGTAGCCTAATTATTCGTCTTTAGAAGAATGAATAAACAAAATGTGATAAATATGCACTCTGGGACACTGTGCAGTGCAGAGAGACAATAAAGTCGGTGTTCACAGAACCACTTGCATATGTTTATAAAATCCAGGAAAATATCTTAAGCAGCAGTTTTCAAGACATCAGATGTAAAAGGCAGTAAAGTTCAGCAACCCCCGAGAGAGAAAGCAAATGAGGTGAGCCCTGTGATTGCCTCTGTGCACCACCTAGAATTTCCAGGCTGCAGCACAGGGATGTGTAACATAGGCAAAGACACGTGGTCTCCTTGAGCTGAGGAGACTTCGCTGGGAGTCCAAGGAGGACAGGAAAGCTGGAGTTCTCAGGGCCGAGTGCCAGGGAGGAGAGAGCTGCACAGTGAAAGAGGAGCAGAGGCCTACAGAGGCTCCTCCTTGCATCTTCAGCTCAGTACTGATGAGTACATGCATCTGGTGAAGCCAGCCAAGGAAAGAATTTCAGAAATAACATTGTTAGCTAACACAGGGCCAGGAATAGTTCCTATTCCCACCATTTAGAGTGAAAAACCACAGAATTGACAGGATACTGAGTAGAGTACTCGAAAGTGTTTTGCCTTCATGTTGCCAGGGATAAGTGGGCCATTTTATAATGATAATGGGAGAAACAAATCAGAGGACATATAAATCCTAAACGTTTGTACACTTAGTTATACAGCTTCAAAATACTTTTGAAGTTTTGCTTCAAAAGAGCAAAACCTGATAGAACTGCAAGGAGAAGCAGACAAATTCACAACTGTAGCTGGAGATTTCAACAATCTTTTCTCAGCATTCCATAAAACAAACAGAGAACCTTAGTACAGGTAGAAAAGATTTGAACAACACTATCAAACAACTTGATCCAGCTGATATTTATAGAAAACTCCACCCAAGACCAGCAGAATACACTGAACGTGTATCAAGATAGACTACATTCTGGGCCAGAAAAGAAGTCTAAAATGAGTACGTTCTCTAGCCAAAATGGAATTAAATTAGAAATCAACAGTAAGAAGTGATCTGCAAAATTCCCGTTATATTTGGAAACTAACATACTACTAAATATCCCATGCATCAAAGAAGAAATCAAAAGGAAAATTAGGTAGTATTTTGCATTGAATGAAGATAAAAACATATATTATGTTTTGTGGGACGCAGCTAATGCTGTATTTAAGGGGAAATTCATAGCACTAAATATCTACATTAAAAAAGAGGGAAGGTCTGAAATAACTGATATTAGCATTTTTCTTTGGACATTAGAAAAAGAAGAGAAAATTAAATTCTAAGGAAGCAGAAAGTGATACGTAAAGGTCATAGCAGAAATCAAATGAACTAGAAAACAGAAAGACCACAGAGAAAATCAATAAAAACAAAAGCTTATTTTTGAGAAGGTCAATAAAATTGATAAACCTCTGGGTAGACTGACCAGGAAAAAAAAAAAGACAGAAAACACAAATTGCTAGCACCAGCAATGAGAAAGGAGGCATCATTACAGATTCTACAGACATTAAAAGAATAATAAGGGAATGTTATGAACAGCTTTACTTAAGTTAAACATAATGAAATAGACGCATTTCTTGAATGACATAAATTATCAAAACTCACTCAAGAAAAAATAGAAAAAATATTCATTTATCTACTAAAGAAGTTAAAAAAAAAAAAAAAAAAACCTTTCTACAAACAAAACTCCAGACTCAAAGTCTTCACTGGTGAGTCCCAAATAATAAGTCTCAAACATATACAAATATTTGAGAAAGAAATAACACCAATTTTACAGAGACTGTTCCAGAAAATAGTGTAGGAGGAAATACTTTCCAACTCATTCCATAAGGCTATAGCATATGCTGGTACTATCATCAGACAAATACATGGTAAGAAAAGAAAAGAGCAAACCAACAGCCTTCACAAACCCACAAGCAAAATTCTCAACAAAAATTCGAGCAAAATGAATTTATCAGTGTATAGTAAGGATAATACATCATGACAAAGTGGCATTTATTTCAGGAATGCAAGAGTGGTTTAACACTTGCAAATTATCCTGCAAAGTAATTTACCACGTTAATAGAAAAACCAGATGATCATCGGAATAGAGGCGGAAAAAGCATTTGACAAAATCCAAAATCCATTCCAGATATTAGCTTTCTGCAAAATAGGAATAGAAGGGAATTCCCTCAATCTGATAAAGGGCATCTGCAAAAAAACATACAGCTGGCATTGTACCCAATAGTGAAAGAAGGAATGCTTTCCCCTAAGATCAGGAACAAGGCAGGGATGTCCACTTTAATTACTTCTACTAAAAATTGCAATGCAGGCTGGAAACAGGCCAATCAGGCAAGAAAAAGGAAAAAAAAGTGCCCAATTGAAAAATAAGTAAAACTGTTTTCATTCACAGACAAATGATTGCCTATGTAGAAAATCCTACAAAATCTGTAGAATGCAGTAGCTACTAGAAGTAATTAGTGAGTTTAGCAAGTTTGCATACTTTAAGGGAAGTAAAAAAAAATCTGTTGTATTTCTACAGTAATAAACAATCATACATTAAATAAAAAGCAATTCTATTAACAGTAACATCAAAAACTTAAATACTTAGAAATAAATCTGACAAAAATGTGCAAAACTTATATATTGAAAATTGTAGGCTGGGAGTGGTGGTTCACGACTGTAATCCCAGCACTTTGGGAGGCAGAGGTGGGCAGATCACCTGAGCTCAGGAGTTTGAGACCACCCAGGGCAACGTGGTGAAACCCTGTCTCTATTAAAATACAAAAAAATTAGCCAGGCATGGTGGCACATGCCTGCAATCCCAGCTACTCAGGAGGCTGAGGCACAAGAGTCCCTTGAGCCCCAGAGGCGGAGGTTTCAGTGAGCCAAGATGGCACCACTGCACTCCAGCCTGGGCGACAGACCAAGACTCCGTCTCAAAAAAAAAAAAAATTTTTTTTACAAAATATGGCTGAGGGATTAAAGAATAGCTAAATAAATGGAAAGATACATTTTGTTCATGTTAAGACTCAATATCTTTAAGATGTTAATTCTCCCCTTATTGGTCTAGAGAGTCAATACAACTCCAACCAAAATCCCAGTGGCTCTTTTTAAGGGATTGATAAATTGTTGCTGAAATTCATATGAAAATGCAACAGATCTAGAAAATCCAAAACAACTTTGAAAAAGAAGAATGGCCAGGTGCGGTGGCTCACACCTGTAATCCCAGCACTTTGGGAGGCCAAAGCAGGTGGATCACCTGAGGTCAGGAGTTCGAGACCAGTCTGGCCAACATGGTGAAACTCCATCTGCACTAAAAAATACAAAAAAATTAGCCAGGCATGGTGGCGTGTGCCTGTAATCCCAGCTACTTGGGAGGCTGAAGCAAGGGAATTGCTTGAACCAGGGAGTTGGAGGTTGCCGTGAGCTGAGATCGCGCCATTGCACTCCAGCCTGGGTGACAGAGTGAGACTCTGTCTCAAAAAAAAAAAAAAGAAAAAAGAAAAAGAAGGATACAATTGGAAGAGTTATGCTAATTTATTTCAAGAGATATTATAAAATTACAGTCATCAAGCCACTGTGGCACTGATGATGTCAATATCAACAGTAGGTCGGCAGGACAACATAGAGGACAGAAACCGATTCACAGATACGTGGTTAATTGTGGTTAAAAAATGCATAGCATAAAATGTACCACCTTAATCATTTTTTCTGAGACACAGTCTTACTCTGTTACCTAGGCTGGAGTGTGGTGGCATGATCATGGCTCACTGCAGCCTCAACTTCCTGGGCTCACGTGATCCTCCCACTTCTGCCTCCCGAGTAGGTGGAACCACTGTGCTTGGCTAACTGTTTTTTTTTTTTTTCTTTTTTCTTTTAGTAAGACACGATGTCTCACTATGATGCTCAGGCTGGTCTTGAACTCCTGGGCTCAAGTGATCTTCCTGCCTCGGCCTCCCAAAGTGGTGTGAGCTACTGCACCAGGCCTTAATCATGTTTAAGCGTATATTTAAGTAGTGTTAAATATATTCACAATGTTGTGCAACCAATCTCCAAAACTTTTTCATCTTGCAAAGCTGAAACTCTGTACCATTAAACAACAACTCCCCATTTTCCCTCCCCTAGTCGCTGGTAACCGGCATTCTACTCTCTGTTCATATGAATTTGACCACTTAGAAAACCTCATGTTAGTGGAGTCAGATAGTATTTGTCTTTTAGTGACTGACTCATTTTATGAAGATGAACCCCTAGATTCATTCACGCTGCAACATGTGTGAGAATTTCCTTCCTTTTTAAGGCTGAATTATGTCCCACTGTAAGCATGTTTCACATTTATTTTTCTGCTCACCAGACGATGGACATTTGGGTTGGTTTAACCTCTTGGCTATTGTGAATAATTCTTGATGAATTAATTTTTAACAAAAGAGTCAAGACAATTCAGCTGAGAAAAGATGGTCTTTTCAACAAATGGTGCTATGACAATTGTATATCCACATGCAAAACCATAACTTTGATCAGTATTTCACATCATGAAAAAAATTAACTGAAAATTAATCATAGATCTAGGTATAAAAGTAAAAATATAAATATTAGTGAAGAAAACAGTAGAAAATCTTTGTACTCTCAAAGTAAAGATTTTCTAGATACAATAGGAAAAGCACAATCTATATGAGAAAAAAGAATAAATCGTACTTCATTAAGTAGAATAAACTTTTGTTCTTCTAAAGATGCTAAAAGAATAAAAAGGCAAGCCATAGACCAACAAAATATTTGCAAATTGTATATCCAATAAAGGATGTGTAAGTAGAATATATCAAGAACTCTTTAAACTCAACAGCAGGAAAACCAACAACCCAACTAAAAATGGGCAAAAGATTGGAACACACACTTCAAGGAAGACATAGAAGTGGCAAAGAGGTTGAGAGTGGTGGCTCATGGCTGTAATTCCAGCACTTTGGAAGGCTGAGGCAGGTGGATCACCTGAGGTCAGGAGTTTGAGATGAGCCTGACCAACATGGTGAAACCCTGTCTCTACTAAAAATACAAAAAAAAATTAGCCAGGTGTGGTGGCGGGCACCTGTAATCCCAGCTACTCAGGAGGCTGAGGCAGAAGAATTGCTTGAAACTAGGAGGTGGAGATTGCAGTGAGCCGAGATCACGCCACTGCACTCCAGCCTGGGCGACAGAGTGAGACTCTATCTCAAAAAAAAAAAAAAAAAAGTGGCAAAGAAGCACCTGAAAGCACTCTCAGCACGTCCATCATCAGAGAAATGCAAACTAAAAGCACAGCAAGCTGCCACTGCATGCCTATTCCAGCACTACATTAAAAACAATGGCTATACCAATGGCTGCTGGGGACATGGAGGAACTGGATCTCCCATCACTGACGCTGGGAAAGCAAAATGGTGCAGCTGCTTTGGAAGACAGTTTTGTAGTTTCTGAAAAAGTTTTGTATTCTTGTTACTGAGTTTCTGAAAAGGTTAACACACACCTGCTGTATGATTCCTCTCCTAGGCCTTTCACTGGGAAGTATGAAACTGCCTGTCCCTATGAAGGATGCCCATGGCTGCTTTATCTGTAATGGTCTCAGACTGGGAACAACCCCAATGTCCATCGATGTGGAAACAGATAATCCGTGTTATATCCAACCAGTGGAGGTCCAATCAGTCATGAAAAGGAGTGAATTATTCGCACACACAACATGAAAGAATCTCAAAGAAGCAGGCACAACATGACAGAGTAAACACTGTAAGAGATTCCATGTGTTCAAAACGTAAGGAGATATAAACTGACCTATCGTGTTAGTTGGTTCTTGCATTGCTCTAAAGAAATATCTGAGACTGGGTAATTTATTTAAAAAAAAAAAGGGAGGGCTTAATTGTAGGCTGTACAGGAAGCATGGTGGCTTCTGCTTCTAGGGAGGCCTCAGGAAACTTACAATCATGGCGGAAGGCAAAGGGGGACCTGGCAGGTCAGGTCACGTGGCTAGAGCAGGAGCAAGAGGGGGGAGGGGAGGTGCCACACACTTTTAAACAAGTAGATCTCATGAGAACTCACTATGACGATGAGAGTTCCCAGTGGGGATGGTGCCAAACCATGAGAAACCACTCCCACGATCTAATCACCTCCCACCAGGCCCCACCTCCAGCATTGGGGATTACAATTTGACATGAGATTTGGGTGGGGACACAGATCCAAACTATATCACCTATGAAAACAGAAGGCAGGTCAGTGGGCTGCAGAGAGAGAGTGGAGGGAGAGGGCGGGAGGAAGGTAAGCGGCACTGGAGGCTTGGGGGGGTCTGTTTATTATCTCGATTGTGGTGATGCTTTTGGTGTCATTTGCAAAAGGCAAAACATATCAACTGATAACACTTTAGATAAATGCGGCTTGTTGTATGCAAATCATACTTCAGCTAGCTGCTGAAAGAGAGATGTATACCTACAAAACACCACACACACAGGAAGATGCCTGCGTAGTTAAGGGACTGGGGTACAAAGGTCAGCATTGAACCAGGGGCTGAGTTCTGCAGTAGGAGTGGGGCCCCACAGCAGGAAGCAAGCTGAATATACACAGAGACTGTTAGGACCATGCAATGGCACGGGTGGCCACAGCCACCAAGAGAGCCAGACCGGGGCCAGCAGTGCAGCAGGAGCTGCACCAAGGAGCTGCCCTGTCGAGGAGAAGTCTAGAAACTACAGCCAAGGACTGGCCCTGAATATCTCATTCCGGAAGCAATTCCAAGGGAAGCCCAGCCTTGGCTGCTCAGCAAAGGTGACTCAGAGCAGCGGTCCATCCTGCCATGCACAGACTAGCAGCCCTCTCTGGGCAGAGGGACTTCAGGATGCACCAAATTCATGCACTTGGTTCAAGCAGTTTCAGAAATTTGCAGTCTGCTTGCTCTCTCTCCCAGATGAGCTTTAGGCAAAGATGTTCTTTTGAGGCACCAGATATGTCCTCTCCTTGCTCATGGTCAAGGTGGCTGAGAGCTGCTGCCGGGTACTGAAGCCCTTGACCACATGGGCACTGCTCATGGGACGTCCTCGAAGCTGTCCCTGAAGGACGTCCCTGGAGAGCCGCCAGGGAGCCTGTCCACCTCCTACCTGGCTCGGCCAGCCCCAATTTCAGCGCACAGGGTTCCTCCACCTCTCAGTTCTCATGAATGATGCTGCAATGAACATGCAACATGGGTGTGCAAATATCTCCTCAAGACCCTGCCTTCAACTCGATGTCATTCCTTTTTATGGCCGGATAATATTCCGTTGGATGGATGCAGCCCATGTTTCATCAGTTGATGGACATGTAGGTTAATTTCACATCGGGGTATTATTAATAATGCTGCTATGAACATTTGTGGACAGGTTTTTAATGTGGACACACTTTCAGTTCTCTTGGGCATATATGTGGGAGCAGAATTGCTGGGTCATGTGACAACTCTGTGTAACGTTTGGAACAACTGCCCGACTGTTTTCCACGGTGTCCGCACCATGTTACATTCCCTCCAGCGATGAATGAAGTTTCCAATTTCTCCACATCCCCACCAACACTTGCTGTTTTCCAGTTAAACAAAATTATTAATAGAGATTGTAGCCACCCTAGTGGGTGCATTTCCCTGAGGGCTACTTATGTGGAGCATGTTTTTGTGTTGATCAGTCATTTGTGCATCAGCTTGGAGAAATGTCTACTCATATCCTTTGCTTTTTTTTTGACAGAGTCTCACACTGTCACCCAGGCTGGAGTGCAGTGGTGCGATCTCAGCTCACTGCAAGCTCCGCCTCCCGGGTTCACGCCATTCTCCTGCCTCAGCCTCCCAAATAGCTGGGACTACAGGCGCCCGCCACCATGTGTGGCTAATTTTTTTTGTATTTTTAGTAGAGACAGGGTTTCACCGTGTTAGCCAGGATGGTCTCGATCTCCTGACCTCATGATTCGCCCGCCTCAGCCTCCCAAAGTGCTGGGATTGCAGGCGTGAGCCGCTGCGCCTGGCCCCTTTGCCATTTTTTAATTGAGCTGCTTGTCTTTTCGTTGTCAAGTTGCAATTGTTCTTTGTGTAATATAACCCCCTTTATATATGCCAGATACAAGTCTCTTATAGACAAGTGATTTGCAAATATGTTCTCCCATTTTGCAGATTGTTTTTTGGTTTTCTTGATGGTGTCCTTTGAAGCACAAAATTTGTTGATTTTGAGGAATTCAGTTTATCTATCTTTTTCTTTTGTTTCTGTGCTTTTTGGGTCATATCTAAGTAAACCAAGCTCAAAAAGATTCACCCCATGTCTTCTCAGTGATTTATAGTTTGAATTTCTACATCTAGGTCTTTAACCCACTTTAAACTAATTGTTCTATGTGGTATGAGGCACCTGTCTCTTCCTAGAGACCACTGCACTCCACCTGTCCCTGAGAATGACTCCTGACTCCACTGCATACGAGTCCCTCTCCCCCACCTTCTACCTGGAAAACTCCTATTCATCCCATCAAGACCCAGCCCTGGGTTGCTCCTGGGTGGCTTTTTTCACTCTCCTTGGCAGCTTTAACTGCTGCCTGGGATGTGGGCTCAGGGCCAGTGCCCTGGAGGGCCCCTGTCATAGCCCTTCTCACCAGCACTGAGATTGGTCACCTCCGAGTCTGGTGGGCCCGGGGCCCCCATGCAGGTGCACACAAGTGCTGCTGAGTGACTGGTGATCATACAGCCAACATTCGCGGTGACATTCATGCACCGGGGACTTCACAATTCCCCGGACTCGTCATAAGGGCTGCTCGGCCCCATCTTACAAATGGGGAAACTGAGCCTGGGGGGTTCAGTAACTTGCTGAGTTCACACAAACAGTGAGTGGATGGCTGGATGAGTTTGTAAAAGGAAGGTCGATTCTGCATGATGAAGCTAAATTGGAGCCCAAAATTCTCTCTTCCGGCCCCCAGTAGAATATTATGGGTGCACCCAAAGGAATGTAAAAAGACCAGATGCCCAGGACACGGGGCGGTGCCTGATGAAACAGCTGCATTAGAGAGTGACTTTGCAACTCTGGAGAGAAGCCACTGAAACCCAGCGCTCCTATAAATAGCAGCTCTTGCAAAGCATCGGGTGTGAATTTTCGTGGTGTTGGCAAATTCAGAGATTGAGAAATCCAGAGACGTTCATGTTCCCGGAGAAAGGAGTGGGGTGGGGAGGGAGGTCGCAAGCAATGCCATCTTCAGGAACAAAACTCCTGCATAACGAAGCCCAGGTTTCTGTGTTTTCGTGGGTGTTCCCGGGCACCTTCGGGCAGGTGGCCCCAGGCGATGTTGTGTGTCTCTCCTGGCTGTGGACGAATGGACGCCTGGGGTGAGGCTGGGCCAGGGACCTGGGGCTTGTGGGTGTCGGCTCCCATCCCGGGGTCCTCCCCCGCCGTCCTCCCCCCTCCCCCGCCCTCTCTCCCACCCTCCTCCCTCCTCCCACCTCCCCTGCCCTCTCCCACCGGCGTGCACCCCCCCGCCCCGCTGCTCACCGCCCACCACTCCCCAGAGGCCGCTTGCTTCCCCGTCTTTGGCCCTGGGCCCCCAGTACCGCCCCGTGCCCCCCTCACTTCTCCCCCGGAAGCGCATCCGTCAGGGAAACCGTCCTAAGACCGTCCGCACTCGCTTCAGAGCCGCTGCAAACGGCCGTCAATCCGTCATTCAGACGCGAAGACAAAGCGTCCCTGGCTCAGCCCTGAGAAGCAGCGGGACGGCGGCGCGTTCCTGAGTTCCCGCCACGCGGGCGCCCGGCGAGGGCGGGGCGGGGCGGGGCGGGCGGGGGGGCGGGGCGTGGAGGGCGGGGGGGCGGGGCGTGGAGGGCGGGGGGCGGGGCGTGGAGGGCGGGGGCGGGGCGTGGGGGCGGGGGCGGGGCGTGGGGGCGGGGCGTGGAGGGCGGGGGGGCGGGGCGTGGAGGGCGGGGGGCGGGGGGATGGGGACAAGGTAGGGGTCGTGGGGCGCTGGGCTCACCCCAGGCCCTCAGGTGTCTCGAGATGGCCCGGGCTCCGAGCGCTCCCGGCGCTTACGCTAGAGCCTCCTCCTGTGCGAAACGCGTCCGTGCCCAGGCGCGGGGACCCTGCAGGGCTGTGGGTTCGCGCTGCCGCTGATCCTGCGTCTTCCCCCCTCCCAGGCCCCGCGTCCAGCCCGCCCCGCCCGCGGTGGGAGACGCGCCCTCCAGGTGCGGATGAGACGCGCGGACAGCGGGATGGAGAAGGTGAGACCTGTCCGGCCCCCGCCTCGCGCTCCCGCTTCTCCAGGAAGAGGTGTCGCCGCCGCCCGGGGGTCCCCGTCCCTCCCTAGCCCGATCCCCCGGAGCCGCGGCCCCACCACCGCCTGGCACTCCCGGGAGCGCGCGGCCTCGGAGCCCCCAGCCCCGCACAGCCCCTTGTCCCCGGCTGGGAATGGCGCCTCGCACGGGGTCCCTCGGAGGCCGCGAGGCTCCGCTCGGCGTGTTCGGAAGCCACCCCCAGCTCCCCCGGCAGCTTGGAGCCTCAGAAACGCGGGGCAGAGACGCGACACGGAGCCGCCTGGCACTGAGACTCCCCAGTGGCTGCGCCGCCTTCCCGGGGGCCCGAGGCGGGGGCGGGGGGCGCGCTCGCTTCTTCCCCTCGCGGGGGTCTTCCCAGCCCACCGGCCACGGCCGCTCCGTTCCAAGCGCGCTTTTCATTCCGCGTCATCTTATCTGACAAACGTTAAAAAGAGGGAGGGTGGGAGGCCCCGAAGTCCCACCCGAGTCCCCGCGGGGCCGCTGCCCCCTGGAAGTCCCCGCGGCCATATGGCGGCTCCGTGGAGGGCGCGGTCCTGTCCCCGGAGCCACCGCGGGGAGGGACCCCAGGGCCTGGGGGGCGCCTCCGGGGGACAGAGGCGGCCACGGAGGGGCTCCCGGGACACTCGCGAAATTCAGATTCACGGGGCAACCGGCTTCAGACCTCCTCACTCCCTTCTTCACCAGAGCCGCCCCTCCCAGGTTCACCTGCCAGCCCCTGAGTCTCCTCTGCCAATCTCTCTTCTCCTCCTGGTCTCTCTCTGTCTCTTCTTTGTCTCTCCGTCTCTATCTCTTTATCTTTTGTCTCTCTCTATTTCTGTCTCTCTGTGTCTCTCTCATCTCTGCCTCTATCTCTCATTACTCTTGTTTCTCTCTATCTCTTTCTGTCTCTCTCTGTTCTCTGTCTCTCTCTGTTCTCTGTCTCTCTCTGTTTTCTGTCTCTGTTCTCCGTATCTCTCTGTCCTTTCTCTGTCTCTCCCCTGGGCCTGGGCCCCTCCACCCCTTCACCCCACGTGCTGCTCATCTCTGTCTCTCTTGTCCTTTTCCGGGCCCTGGCCTCTTCCCCAGCTCAGCCT
This sequence comes from Homo sapiens, assembly GCF_000001405.40. Lineage (NCBI taxonomy): Eukaryota > Metazoa > Chordata > Mammalia > Primates > Hominidae > Homo > Homo sapiens. Next base: position 72,539 of record NW_025791792.1, read on the forward strand.
GCAGGAGGCCCGTCTCCTGCACCCCTCCCCGTCCTCCATCCTTTCTGGTCCCCCATCTCCTCCACCTCTCTGCATCCTCCATCTGCTGGTCCTCCAGAGACCCCCTTTCAGTTCCTCGCCCCTGTTCCAGGTGTGATATGGTTTGGCTCTGGGTCCCCACCCAAATCTCAGGTTGAATTGTAATCCCCATAATCCCCACGTGTCAATCTCGGGACCAGGTGGAGGTGACTGGATCATGCGGTCGGGTCCCCCATGCTGTTCCCGTGATAACGAGTGAGTATCCCCGTGGGGCCTTCTCCCTCCGTTCAGCACACATTCTCTGTCCTGCCACCCTGTGAAGAGGTGTCTTCCGCCATGATTGTAAGTTTCCTGAGGCCTCCCCAGCCATGCAGAACTGCGAGTCAATTAAACCTCTTTCTTTATAAATTACCCAGTCTTGGGTTTTCTTGATAGCAGCGTGAGAATGGGCTCATACAAGGTGTGTCCCAGGCTGGAGGTTGTCCAAGTCCCGGAGGCATCCCCAGCACCAAGACTCCGGTCGTGATCGCTGGCAGAGTCCCACGGGGGTGGGGGGCCCGGGCCACGGTGGATGGTTCTGGAGCTGCCCGGCCTCCAGCAGGAAACCTTCCTCTTCTGCACTTGAGTGTCTGCGGGAACTCCCACGCCACTTCCCGAAAGGATGAACCTTCTCAATGTGCTGCGCCTGCACCTGGCGAGCAGCTTTGGCATTTCTCAGGCGCTCATCTGTCAGGGCATCCACTGGGATCCGGCACTGCTCCGGGCGTGGGGGATGCAACTGATGGGATCATACGCGTGCATCTGTGAGTGTACACGTGCGTGTGTGAGGATGTCGCCTCCACACTGCATGGATGTGGCGTGTCCGTAAGTGTGCACGTGCACGCCGTGAAATAAGATTTTGAAATCAGTACCCTTGACATGAAGCAAATACCTTTGTAAATAACTTTCTGGTTGTAGAGGAAATGAAAACTTAGATTACAAGCTGTTTAGAGAAGAAGGGCCTCTTGAGTTCTTGAAGCAAAACCTCCACGAAGTCGCCAAAGGGAGCTCCAAGGGCAACTTAAAGGCCTTGGCTATGAAACAGGAAAGACAGAAAGCAAGCCCATTAGGCTGGAGTGAGGCAGTAAAACACACTCCAGGAAAGTAGAGGAAAGGAATTATTGAAAGCAAAATAGAAAGTGATAAAATAGAAAAATTGAAAAGCAAACTTGCTCACTAAAACCCAAAGCTAGACTTGGAAAAGAATGAATTTGACCAAGGTAAATAGAAATGGATCAATAGAAAGACAAAACTGGCCAGGTGCGGTGGCTCACGCCTGTCATCCCAGCAATTTGGGAGGCTGAGGCGGGTGGATCACTTGAGGTCAGGAGTTCAAGACCAGCCTGACCAACATGGCGAAACCCTGTCTCTACTAAAAATACAAAAATTAGCTGGGCGTGGTGGCAGGTGCCTGTAGTCCCAGCTACTCAAGAGGCTGAGGTAGGAGAATCACTTAAACCTGGGAGGTGGAGGTTGCAATGAGCCAAGTTGACACCATTGTGCTCCAGCCTGGGCGACAGAGCAAGACTCCAAAAAAGAAAGAAAGAGAGAGAGAGAGAAACAGGAAAGAAAGGAAGGAAGGAAGGAAGGAAGAAAGGAAGAAAGAAAGAACAACCATGGGAAAGAGGAAAAGGAGCAAGGATAGATTCTGAAGATGTTTGAAAATTAAGAGAGAACGCGTCACACACATCGATACCGATACATTTGAAGACCTTGATGAAATGGGTCATTTCTAAAGCAACATCGGAAAAACGGACTTATTCTTTAACTCATTCATTCCTAGATATTTGGAGGCCCTCCCAGGAGCCAGGCTGCTGAGACCGCAGGAGGCAGACAGACAAACAGACAGGGACCCCCGCCCTTGAGGCACTGACCTTCTCACAGGACCCAAGTGAGGCAGAAAACCATGAGCCATGACCAGGAAGACGTAAGATGGTGCCCGTACCGCCACCAGCAGCCGGGAGACCTGCAGAGCCAGCCTCGCAAATCTCTAAGAAGCAGGCTTGGCCTGTGTTACATGGACACAGAGTCCAGGGACAGATGGACAGCTCCCATGGCCGTGGGGCCAGACCTGGGCACGCCCGGACCTCCTACTGTGGCCCACCCATGGACAGACACGACACACACAGAGGCAGACATGACACTTGCCCAGAAATACGCACACACAGACACTGAGAGACACAGACACACATACACACTCACCTCGAAATATGATACACACACATCCAGACACACACAGAGACACACTACCCTAGAAATACACAGACACACATCCAGACACACACAGAGACACACCCACATCCAGACACACAGAGATACACTCACCTAGAGATACACACAGACACACCCACATCCAGACACACAGAGACACACACCCACCTAGAGATACACACATACACAAACACATCCAGGCACACACAGAGACGCACCCACATCCAGACACACAGAGACACACTCACCTAGAAATACACACAGACACACCCACATCCAGACACACAGAGACACACACTCACCCAGATATACACACATACACAAACACATCCAGGCACACACAGAGACGCACCCACATCCAGACACACAGAGACACACTCACCTAGAAATACACACAGACACACCCACATCCAGACACACACAGAGACACACTCACCTAGAGATACACACACACAAACACATCCAGACACACACAGACACACCCACAGTAACACACACTGACAGAGAAAAACACACAGGTGCACACACACCCAGTGACACAGACACATAGAGACACAGACACACACAAATACACAGAGGCAGACACCCAGTAATACACATAGACACAGCCAGTAACATACAGCAAGAAAAAAAATGGAAAAGAGAAAACCACAGGACAATATCACACAAAAATATGGATACAAGCATTCTATAAATTTCTATTTTACAGTTTTAATTTCACAAGCCACACATAGATGATACAACGACACAGATAGTGCCTAGATCCCCCATGGCTGTCCCATGGCCCAGCCCCTTCACCTCCCCAGAGCTGACGCTGTCTGCCTGGTTTAGGTTGGGGTCTCTGCTGCATACGGAAACACACAGTGTGACTGCTGTCCGCACGGTTTAGGGTGGGGTCTCTGCTGCATGCGGAAACACACAGTGTGACCACTGTCCGCACAGTTTAGGGTGGGGTCTCTGCTGCATATGGAAACACACAGTGTGACCACTGTCCGCACAGTTTAGGGTGGGGTCTCTGCTGCATATGGAAACACACAGTGTGACCGCTGTCCACATGTTTAGGGTGGGGTCTCTGCTGCATACGGAAACACACAGTGTGACCGCTGTCCGCACGGTTTAGGGTGGGGTCTCTGCTGCATACAGAAACACACAGTGTGACTGCTGTCCGCATGTTTAGGGTGGGGTCTCTGCTGCATATGGAAACACACAGTGTGACTGCTGTCCGCATGTTTAGGGTGGGGTCTCTGCTGCATACGGAAACACATAGTGTGACTGCTGTCTGCCTGGTTTAGGTTGGGGTCTCTGCTGCATACGGAAACACACAGTGTGACTGCTGTCTGCATGTTTAGGGTGGGGTCTCTGCTGCATATGGAAACACACAGTGTGACTGCTGTCCGCATGTTTAGGGTGGGGTCTCTGCTGCATATGGAAACACACAGTGTGACCGCTGTCCGCATGTTTAGGGTGGGGTCTCTGCTGCATATGGAAACACACAGTGTGACCACTGTCCGCATGGTTTAGGGTGGGGTCTCTGCTGCATATGGAAATACACAGTGTGACCGCTGTCCGCATGGTTTAGGATGGCGTCTCTGCTGCTTATGGAAACACACAGTGTGACCACTGTCCGCATGGTTTAGGATGGCGTCTTTGCTGCTTATGGAAATACACAGTGCTGCTTTCTTTCTTGCCTAAATAAAACACGAGCAGACAGAAGCCAGCAAGGGATGGAAATAGCACCTCGTCATAGTCAGAAGCGAGTTTATCTCAGCATGCGAGGGCGTTCTGACATTAGGAAGTCTATTAATGCAATTCAGTACACCCGGAGCTTGGGTGCAGTCTCAGGAAATCGGGAATGGAAAAGCACTTCCTGCATTCCATCCAGGGTGTCTACTAAAACATACAGTGTCTGTCTTACGTATTCTAAAACCTCAGAGGCATCCATGAAACTCTGGAATAAGATGTGGGTGGGGATTTGCAGAGAATTGACATCCCTAACAACACCGAGTCTTCTGGTCCCTAAATAGGGTCTATTTCTCCATTTTCAGTGACAATCTTTAATTTCTCTTGAAATGTCATAATTTCCACCACCATGTTCTTCCACATCTTCTGTTAAGTTTATTTATAGACACTTGATATTTTGGGTGTTATTATAAATAATAGCTTCCAAATTTGATTTTTAGTGGTTTGTTACTGATGTGTAAATTTTTATATATTAATTTCTTTATTATGTTAAAATACACATAACATACAATTTACTGTATTAAACTTTTTTTGAAAATTTGAGACAGGGTGCCACTGTCTTCCAGGCTGAGTGCAGTGGTACAATCACAGCTCACTACAGCCTCCACCTCCTGGGCTCAAGCCATCCTCCCGCCTCAGCCTCCCAAGTAGCTGGGACCATAGGTGCGAACCACCATGTCCGGCTAATTTTTTCATATTAAATATGTTTCAGTGTGTAGTTCAGCAGCATTAAGCATTTTCCCAGTGCTTGATTTTTCCTGTAGGTGGTATTAAGTAGCTGGCTAGGGCTGCCTTAACAAAGCCCCACAGTTGGCCGGGCGTGGTGGCTCACGCCTGTAGTCCCAGCACTTTGGGAGGCCGAGGCAGGTGGACCACTCAAGGTCAGAAGTTCAAGACCAGCCTGGCCAACATATAGTGAAACCCCGTCTGTACTAAAAAACACAAAAATTAGCTGGGCGTGATGGCACATGCCTGTAATCCCAGCCACTTGGGAAGCTGAGGCAGGAGAATCACTTGAACACCTGGGAGACGGAGGTTGCAGTGAGCCGAGATCACACCACTGCACTCCAGCCTGGGTGACAGAGCAAGACGCCATTTCTAAAAAAGCAAAGCTTCATGGGCGGGCAGCGGGAGCAGCAGACAGTTACTCTCACAGTCCTCGAGGCTGGAGCCGAAGATCAAGGTTTCTTCTTGGACCCGCACAGGGCTGGGTCCTTCTGAAGCCTCTCACCTTGGCTGGTAGACAGCGTCCCCCTCGTGCACAGCTCTGTCTAAATGTCCTCCTTCTGCTAGGACACTGGTCATGTTGGATTAGGGCCCACCCTGATAGCTTCACTTTAACTTCATTATATCTGCAAGGCCCTATCTCCAAATAAGGTCACCTCTGAGGTCCTGGGGATCAGGGCTGTAGTGTCCGAGAGCAGGGCGGGGGTCACCTCTGAGGTCCCGGGGGTCACCTCTGAAGTCCTGGGGTCAGGGCTGTAACATCCGAGTGCAGGGCGGGGGTCCCAGTTCAGCCCGGGACGTGAGGTTCTTCTGCGTCTTCTACACACCCAACCACGTCCTGTGTGACGCCATCACCTTGCTTTCTCCTCTAATCTCTCTTCTTTTGGGCACTGGAATTCAGCCCAGCGCCGCACACAGCGCGACACCAGGCCCCCAGCCTTGTTCCCGCCGTCAGGGACGGCTCCTGTGCCTCACCCACAGTTACGCTGGGGATGTTTCCTGCTACTCCTGGTCTGCTAGGTTTTCTTGTTGTTTTTTAAAAAACCCATGAATGAATGTTGGATTTTATCAAAAGCACTTTTGGCATCTGTGGAGATGAGTGTGCGATTTTCTTCCTTCCTTTGCTAACGTGGTGCACGCACGGATGCCATTTCTACGGGTCGCATGCTCACGGGGTCCTGGGTCGGTGACTCCTCAGGCATGGATTTTCCACGTTGCTGTGGACGCCATCTCCTAACGACTGTCATCGCACTGCCTAGGACAGCTGACACGGGCACGGTTGGCAGTTTCCACCTGGGCGGCTCCTCCTTGGGCGAGGCTGGACAGCAGTGGCCCTCGGCAGGTGTCTTGCAAAACGCCATTTCAGGACAATTTGGAGAAGGAACACAAGTCCTGCCCCTGGCTGAAGCCTGGCTTAACACCTTTCAGTGAGATTTTTTCTTAAGTGCCAGCATTAGAATTTGCAAAATTGTCAGCAGCCGCTCAGAAGAAAACCCCGGCGGTGTCAGTGGGCCACCGTTTTGAGAAATGCTGAAATGTGTCTAGGGAAAACCTTAAGACCCCGAAAGGAGGCCTGAGTGGTACCGAGCAGATGTACGTGGGGCCAAGCATCAGGCGAGGTCAGTGCAATGCCGCAAAGGTCCCCACACCTTTTTTGCAGTTTTATGGAGTTAGACGGGTTGATAGCAAAGTTTTTACAGGAAAGCACTCAGGTAAGAAGAGGTGGGAACACACTAGCAGACAGAACACTCCTTGAAACCTCAAGGCAGAAACTGTGGATGGTGCAGGCTGGGCACGGTGGCTCACGCCTGTAATCCCAGCACTTTGGGAGGTGAAGGTGGGCGGATCACGAGGTCAGGAGATCGAGACCATCCTGGCTAACATGGTGAAACCCCGTTTCTACTAAAAATACAAAAATATTAGCTGGGCGTAGTGGCGGGCGCCTGTAGTCCCAGCTACTCAGGAGGCTGAGGCAGGAGAGTGGCGTGAACCCGGGAGGCAGAGCTTGCAGTGAGCCGAGATCCCACCAGTACACTCCAGCCTGGGCGACAGAGCAAGACTCTGTCCCCCCCACAAGAAAAAAGAAAGAAACTGTGTCTGGTGCAGGTGCAGATGCCCCAGGCCTGCAGACAGGAGACCCCAGGACATGGGTGGCTGCAGGTGCAGATGCCCCAGGCCTGCAGACAGGAGACCCCAGGACACGGGTAGCTGCACAAGTCACAGGGGCAAGGCTGGAATTTTGAATAAATGGTGCTGGCTAATAACCCAGTGTCCGTTTGGACAAAGACTTTGTCCCGCCTCTGCCACCCCTGAGACAGCAAGACCAGCCCTTGCTCCTCAGCCCACTCAATGTGAAGCCGACACGGATGAGGGCATTGATGATGATCCACTTCCACTTAGTGAATATATTTTATCTTCCTTATGAGTTTTTAAATAACGTTCTTTTTTCCGGTTTACTTGATTGTAAGAATACAGTAGATAACATATATAACATACAAAATATCTGTTCATCAACTGTTTATGTTATTGGGGAAGGCTTCCGGTCAACAATAAGCTACTAACAGTTAAGTTTTAGGGAATCAGGCTGGGCGCGGTTGCTCATGCCTGTAATCCCAGCACTTTTGGAGGCCAAGGCAGGAGGACCACTTAAGCCCGGGAGTTCAAGACCAGCCAGGGCAATGAAAGGAGACCCCATCTCTACAAAACACAAACATTAGCCGGGTGTGGTGGCGTGCACCTTCGGTCCCAGCTACTTGGGAGACTGAGGAGGAAGTATCCCTTGGGCCCAGGATTTCGAGGCTGCAGTGAGCTGAGATTGCACCATTATACTCCAGCCTGGGTGACACAGCAAGACCCTGTCAAAGAAGTTCTATGTGGGTTTTCTCTGTGCAAGCGTCATTGCCCCTCAGCCTGCATCGTTCAAGGGTTAACCACATCCACCCAACAGATGAATGTGACCATATTGCAGAGGAATGACACAGTCACACTGAAGGAAGTCGAGAAGTAAAGGAACGCCTGAAGTCACCGCGGGGACAGCGTTGACTGGACGCTGAAGGTGAGGCTGAAGACAAGACACGCTGTGCATGGATGCCAGGCTCTGGGTGGTGGGTCTGTCCCTCACGGGGGTGTATCAGCAAGTCTGGAGCCAGTTCACCCGCAGCTGGGACTAGACAAGCAGGTGAAGGTGTGAAAGCCAGGTTTCTTCAGACAAGAGATGCAACAGGTAAAGCGGCGGACGAGAACAGGCCTGCACTGCTGGGGTGGGCATGGAGGGACCCGCGCTGCTGGGGTGGGTGAGGATGGGCGTGTGCCCTGGGGTGGGTGAGGATGGGCGCATGCCCTGGGGTGGGTGAGGATGGGCGTGTGCCACTTGGGTGAGCGAGGATGGGGCACGTGCCGCTGGGGTGGGTGAGGATGGACGTGTGCCCTGGGGTGGGTGAGGACAGGGCCCATGCGTCTGGGGTGGGTGAGGATGGGCGTGTGCCCTGGGGTGGGTGAGGAGGGGCCCGTGTCACTGGGGTGGGCGAGGATGGACGTGTGTCCTGGGGTGGGTGAGGATGGGCGTGTGCCCTGGGGTGGGTGAGGATGGACGTGTGCCCTGGGGTGGGTGAGGATGGACGTGTGCCCTGGGGTGGGTGAGGATGGGGCACGTGCCCTGGGGTGGGTGAGGATGGATGTGTGCCCTGGGGTGGGTGAGGAGGGGGCATGTGCTGGTGAGGAGGGGGCGTGTGCTGTTGGGGTGGGTGAGGACAGGGCCCATGCCCCTGGGGTGGGTGAGGAGGGGCCCATGCCGCTGGGGTGGGCGAGGATGGATGTGTGCCCTGGGGTGGGTGAGGATGGGGTGTGTGCTGCTGGGGTGGGTGAGGACAGGGCCCATGCCCCTGAGGTGGGTGAGGAGGGGCCGGTGCTGCTGGGGTGGGCGAGGATGGACGTGTGCCCTAGGGTGGGTGGCAGCAGCATGAGCTCACACGGTCAATCTACACACATGTAGATTGTTTGTGCATGGGGGTGAGTACACAGGCATGCATCTTCTGGCTCTGTCCACCAAGAGGGCCTAGACACCGGGATACCCCAGTACCAAAGGAAGCACAGGGTGCAGGTCTCGGTCCCCGACGTCACCCTCCAGTGAGAGGACCCCACAGGCCTCGGAGTCTCGGCTGGCACCAAGGCCGGGGCAGGGAAACGTCAGGCTGAGCTTGGAGCACTCACAGTCCCGGAACGTGAGGAAATGCGTGAACGGGAGCAGGGCTTGTGGGGAGGGGACCTGGGAGTCAAGATGAAAGCTCCCACGCGCCGGGTGATAGTTTACTGGATTGTAACCCACAGAATAAAAAGCCGCGAGCCCACAGTGACGCACACGAACAATTCGCTGAGTGAAGAGTCGGTGTACACGGAGCTGCCCTTTCTCCTTCCTGGCCCTGGTGGGAGAATTTTTATCACAAGTGGGTGATGGGTTTTGTCCAGTGCTTTTCCATGTCCGCCGGGATGGAATAAACGTGACGTTTGTCTGTGGCCCTGTCAGTGTACAGCACGTCACGGATCATCTGCATGTGTGCCCAGGACCGGGGCAGTCACCCAGCAGATACGCACGTGGGACCCGGCTTGGCCTCATGGGGTGGCGGCTGTGTCTTGGTTTTCATTTGGTTCAGAAGGTGGGTACGGACCAGGCATGGTGTCTCACGCCTGTCATCCCAGCACTTTGGGAGGCCGAGACAGGTGGATCACTTGAGGTCAGGAGTTTGAGACCAGCCTGGCCAAAACCACCCATCTCTACTAAAAATGCAAACATTAGCTGGGCCTGGTGGCAGGTGCCTGTGATCCCAGCTACTCAGGAGGCTGAGGCAGGAGAATTGCATGAACCCGGGAGGTGGAGGCTGCAGTGAGCCAAGATCGCACCATTGCACTCCAGTCTGGGTGACAGAGGGAGACTCCGTCTCAAAAAAAAAAAATTCCTTCAGGTCCTGCATACCTACGAAACTGTTGACTCAGCTGGTCCAGAGGACCCCACTGACACACGCTGGCCTCACAGCAAAGAAACAGTTTTGAAAGACATCTTTGCTGAGTTTTCCATGCTCAGCTGGCACTCCCTTTCTCTTCGGAGTTCCTGGCCTCCTCAGGAGTCTTGTGGCCTCTCCAGAGGTCTTGCGGCCTCCTCAGGGGCCTGGTCAACCCTCCTTAGTTATAGGAATGGCCTCATTTGAGGAGATTCCCTCCAATAGGAGGGAGACGCTTGCAGAGCAGGATTCATGAACAATCCGTGTAAGTGCGGGGACGATGCCTGGCATGTTACACTCCAGATGCCGGCTGTCAGTAGCGCCGTCACAGTCACTCATGTCTGTGGTTCGCTTCCCACGCCGGGTCTTCAGCCCCATCTACCCACAGGGCCCCAGACTCAACCCCACCATCTCTGTAAATAGAACCACCAGCCACCCACTGCTTAAGCAGAAAGAGTGCCAGGAACGCTTGTGACTTTCCCCCATCCTCACCTCCACTTCCAAACAATGCTGGGGACCAAGCAGGGGTCATGACCCAGATTCTGTGTTTCTGGCTAATGATTAGTTGGGAGTTCCTTTGGAATAAAACCCCAAGTCCTTGCCACAGCTGGCAGGAGCCTGTTCTGCAAACCGCACCCCCTTCTACGTCACCCTCTCTCTGTATCACAGGGCCCCTCTCTGGTCCTCAGACACTGTGGGAGGCTGGAGGGATCAACCCCAGCCCTCTCTTCCCTACCCACCTTCTGAACTAAATGAAAAGCAAGACTCTGCATGAGCACAGGGGGCCAAGCTGGGTCCTACATGTGGATCAGGCTGGGCGGCCGACCCTGGTCGTGGGTGGGCCGACCCGTGTGGGGAGCTTGGGGAGGGCGGCATCCTTCCGCCCGGGAGGGGAGATTAACTCACACACACAAAGCACTAGCTGGTGGCAAAGGACATGCTTTATCATATACGGCAGAGCCATGTGGGCACCGAGAACCCGAGAAAAACCCAGCTCCCCATGAGAAGTGTGTCTGTCCAGCGTCTGGGGGAGGGGCGTGTGGTCCTCAGGAAGGCCATGCAGGGCGCCCACCCGGAGCTCCCCGGGGATGGCCTCTGCGTGCGGCCTCATGACCTTGTGACCTGGGTCTGGCTCTCAGGAGCACCAGGCAGGCAGGGAGGGCATGCCCTGGAGGAGCCCTGCCTGTGGCCGCATTGCCGTTAGAATTTCAATGAGGGGCACTCAGTTTGATGGATGACTCCTGCGGCCCTGGAGGCCTGAGGCCCCACCTGCTCCGTCTGCTCGGGAGACACAACGTCTTGACTCGGCCTCTGTCCCTTTGTCCTCCCTGCCAGGCCTGCCAGCCCTGCGCTGTGACTCTGCCCTGCAGGCCGGGGGGCCGGGTAGACACCCCTCAGGAAGAAAAGCCTCTGCCTGGAGCCGCTAGCCTGTGCTGGGGGGGGCTTGGAGACCCCAGGGTGTGGGCTTCGGGGCTGCAGATGGCCCAGGCGCTGACCCAAATTCAGTGCTCTCGGGGGTGGGTCTGTGTGTCCCTCCACTGGGCCTCTGGACCAGAACCTTCCGGGGACTCCAGCTTCCCTCTGAGACGTCTCGGCCGACCCAGCCCCTCCTATGCGGCGGCCAGCCTGGGGCCCAGTGGGTAGATTTGCTCCTGTACCATCTCAGGGCCGGTGCCCTGCGGAGGGAGAGGCGCTGTCTGTCAAGCCTCACTCTCTCCTGGCGAGGGCTCTGGTTTTCCAGCCACGTCGCTGCATGGAGAGCAACGCACAAAGACAGGGTCTCAGAGGCCACCTGTGCCCACCCTGGTCCTGCCGGATAACTCCTCCCTTCCCTCTTCTCCGGCAGTCAAAGCCCCCGACAGAGGGAACGATGGCCCCGGGGGACACAGCTCCTTTCCCCAGCTGTTCCCAGAGCACAGCTGGCTTCAGCCTGGGTGCAGCCACATCTTACGGGTCCAGCCCGAGTCCGTCCATTTCTGAGGGTCCTGCTGCCCTCCCCTACCTGCCCCCATGCTCCGCAGAGCCCTGCAGAATGAGAGGGTCCTGGACCTGGCTCCTCTGCCTGGGAGAATCTGACGGCTCCGGGTGCAGTCGTAGCCCCAGGAGAGGCCCTGGCGCCCTGACCCCCGGCAGGCAGCGAGGCTGATGTGGGAGGGCGAGGCCGCCCCGCCCTGGCTCTGACAACCCTCCCTGCACTGCTGCCCAACCCTCTCCCCATGCCTCCTCCACCTCCCCCAGGGTTGGCCTGGGAGCCTCCTCCGCTTCCCCCAAGGTTGGCGCCCGGGAGCCGTGCTCTGGGACCACACTCCTCTTTGGCTCTGGGAATTTCTCCTCCCACGTGGAGGCCCCCACAGCAGTGGACACCACCCAGCCAGGCCCACCTGACCGGTCAGGCTCAAACCCTCTGGTACCCGCCCCACCCATAGGACCAGGTGTAAACCAGGCAGCGACACCCCAGACGTGTGGTCTTGGTCAGCTCCCCTGGGCTCCTCTCCCTCCAGCTGGCCCTTCTCTGCCCAGGAAACAGTTTTCTGAAGAGTTCTCCGTTCTCGAGCCTTCCAGCTGCGTGGGAGAGAGTTGACCCCAAGGCTGGGACCACAAGAGGCCAGGGAGGGTGGGCCTGGGATCTGCAGCTCACGGGCTGTGTGACTGTGGGCACGAGATTTCATTTCCTGATTCATAAAGGTGGGGACCGATCAAAGCTACTCCTTGGACCTTTGTGAAGATTAAATGAGTTCAACACGGAGCATTCTTGACCCATGGTGAGTGTCGTAAAACGCTGGCCACTGTAATTTTTCATTTTCCCTTCGGCATTATGACAATATATCCCCAATGGCATAGGATTTTAAGTGAATGTACCGTAATCTGCCCAACCATTCTTTTACTGTGGACACTTGAGTGATTTCCAATCATGTTTACTCTCATTTGTTTTCTTTTTCTTTTTTTTTTTTTTTTGAGATAGTCATGCTCTGTTGCCCAGGCTGGAGTGCAGTAGTGTGATCTCAGCTCACTGCAACCTCTGCCTCCCGGGTTCAAGTGATTCTCCTGCCTCAACCTCCCAAGTAGCTGGGACTACAGGAACACACCAATGCACACAGCTACTTTTTTTTTAACTTTTAGTGGATACGGGGTTTCACCATGTTGTCCAGGCTGGTCTCAAACTCCCAACCTCAGGCGATCCGCCTGCCTCGGCCTCCCAAAGTGCTGGGATTACAGGTGTGAGCCACTGCACCCAGGCTAGTAATATTGACTCTTAGGCTAGTAATATTGACTCTTAGAGCTAACACTCTAACATGGAAAGGAGAAAACAATTGTTTCTCCTTAGGGATTGTTTCCTTAAAATTTGGCCCAGAAACTATAATCCTGAGTCAAATGGTGTCGATGTTCTCATTATCCTGGAAGAATCACGCTGACCTTGGCTTTAAAAGGTTGAATCACCTCGGACTTGCGAACGGCAACGGGTCTCTCACAGAAGCTCGGCCGCACTGGAATATGCAGATGTGTTTGTTTTCATTAGTATTTCTGTGTTTTACCATTTTTCTGAGCTTACTAATTATGTGTTTTACCGATTTTTCTGAGCGTACTAATTATGTTCTATTTAAATGTTCTCTGTGTACTGATCTGTTGCAAATGTAATTTGTAATTACCGGGATCACCCTCAGTGTGATGTGAGGTCTGATCTCCAACCTCTATGCCTCACTGCCTTTGAGAAATGACCTGTTGTTCCTGACACTCTTGCGAGGTGGGTGGATTAAACCCTCTGCCTCTGCTAGCTTTTCTCCCAGGTCTCACACCTGGACCCCCCACCCCCACCAACTCCCCTCCCAGGCCTCCCACCCAGACCCCCACTCCCCTCCTAGGCCTCCCACCTAGACCCCTGCCCCCACCAATTCCCCTTCCAGGCCTCACACCTGGACCCCCACCCCCACTGACTCCCCTCCCAGGCCCCATGCCTGGACCCCCACCAACTCCCCTCCCAGGCCTCATACCTGGACCCCCCACCCCCACCAACTCCCCTCCCAGGCCTCACACCCGGACCCCCACCCACTCCCCTTCTAGGCCTCCCACCTAGACCCCTGCCCCCACCAATTCCCCTTCCAGGCCTCACACCTGGAACCCCACACCCACCAACTCCCCTCCCAGGCCTTACACCTGGACCCCCACCCCCACTGACTCCCCTCCCAGGCCCCATGCCTGGACCCCCACCCCCACCAACTCCCCTCCCAGGCCTCACACCTGGACCCCCCACCCCCACCAACTTCCATCCCAGGCCTCACACCTGGACCCCCACCCCCACCAACTCCCCTCCCAGGCCTCATACCTGGACCCCCCACCCCCACCAACTCCCCTCCCAGGCCTCATACCTGGACCCCCCACCCCCACCAACTCCCCTCCCAGGCCTCACACCTGGACCCCCCACCCCCACCAACTCCCCTCCCAGGCCTCACACCCGGACCCCCACCCACTCCCCTTCTAGGCCTCCCACCTAGACCCCTGCCCCCACCAATTCCCCTTCCAGGCCTCACACCTGGAACCCCACACCCACCAACTCCCCTCCCAGGCCTTACACCTGGACCCCCACCCCCACTGACTCCCCTCCCAGGCCCCATGCCTGGACCCCCACCCCCACCAACTCCCCTCCCAGGCCTCACACCTGGACCCCCCACCCCCACCAACTTCCATCCCAGGCCTCACACCTGGACCCCCACCCCCACCAACTCCCCTCCCAGGCCTCACACCTCGACCCCCCACCCCCCACCCCTCATCCCCACTGACTCCCTTCCCAGGCCTCACACCTGGACCCCCCACCCCCCACCCCCACCAACTTCCATCCCAGGCCTCACACCTGGACCCCCACCCCCACCCCTCATCCCCACCGACTCCCCTCCCAGGCCTCACACCTGGACCCCCACCCCCAATGACTCCCCTCCCAGGCCTCACACCTGGACCCCCACCCTCACCCCTCATCCCCACTGACTCCCCTCCCAGGCCTCACACCTGGACCCCCACCCTCACCCTCATCCCCACCGACTCCCCTCCCAGGCCTCACACCTGGACCCCCATCCCCTACCCCTCATCCCCGCCGACTCCCCTCCCAGGCCTACACCAGGTCCCCCACCCCCTCTTGCCTGTCACAGTGCCTCCTGGAACATGGAACCCCTCTAGCAACTCCCTAATTTTCTTCTATTCATAGCAAATTGTCTCAAAAAATGTGTCTACACCCACCATCCAAGACCCTGCATCCAAGACGCCCCATCCAAGACCACCCCCTCCTCTAGTCACTATATGACCACCTCTCTGCATCTCATTTCCTCAGCCACCCCTGCTGGTCCTGGGTCTGGACTCAGCATGGCCGTGGCTGCACGTGGCTCTTCTCCCCCTTTCCCAGGGCTCTTTCCAGCCCACGGAGCAGAGTGCCACCTCCCTGCCTACCTCAGCCCCAGTTCCCTCAAAGGGCAAACGTTCCACCTGCCGACCCATTTTCCTGCTTTGGGCCGGCCAGGGCCAGGCCTGGTCTTCCCAGCCCTACTGCGGTGCCCGACCCACAGGACAGCCTGGGGGGCATCAAGCCCAATGCCTCTGAGAGCCTGTGAGTGAGTGGCCTCCATGGTGCTGGGGCCGCTCCAGCCGCCTTGCTTGGCCCCCGGGCCTCCCTTCAGGATCTAGATCACACCCAGACACCCGTCCCTGCCTCTGCCCCAGCACCTCCGCCTGGAATGTGAATCCGCAGCTACCTGTGGAGCCGGCGCCTTCTCTCCGTCCTTCTCACACTGAGGGGCACCCCCAGAGAGGTCACCATGGCCCGAACGTCTATCCCCAGAAATTCTTCTGTTGAAACCTTCACTGCCAAGGTGATGCTATTGGGAGGAGGGGCCTTTGGGCGGGTCTGGCCGTGAGGGTCGGCCTCGTAAATGGATTAGTGCCCAGACAAAAGGGACCTCAGAGAGCCCCTCACCGCTTCATTACGTTCGGATGTGGCCAGGAGGCGCTGGCTGTGAACCACAGTCTGCCGGGGCCTGTTAGACTCACAGTCTCCAGAGCTGTGAGCTAAATGTCGGTTGCTTGAAGCCGCCGACGGGGGTGTTTTGCTGTGGCGGCCGGAGTGGCAGAGACTGGGGAGATCCTGGCCACAAAAGCGGCAGGGCCTGCCCCTCCAGTTCCTGTCTAAGCCATCACCATAGGTGCATCCTTCACCACCTGCCTGCTGCCCTGCTGGGCCGTTCTCTGCCTTCCAGACGTGAACGTGAGTGCGAGGGTGGGCACAGCCTGCACGTGCCCGGCCCTGCTCCACACGAGCTTCCGGGTGTGCCGGTGAGCCGGATGCCTGCTGGGTTCCCACAGCAGCCTCTCTGTTCTTCTCCCTGATTGTAGAGACGTGACCCTTGCCTGCTGGCTCCAGCTCAGGGAGGTGTGCTGTGTGTCCTTCGCGACGTGCGCTAGGGGCCGGCCCCTGCCAGCTGGGAGGCCAGTGCTGTGTGTCCTTCGCGACGTGCACTGGGGACCGGCCACTGCCAGCTGGGAGGCCAGTGCTGTGTGTCCTTCATGGTGTGCACTGGGGGCCAGTGCTGTGTGTCCTTCATGGTGTGCGCTGGGGGCTGGTGCTGTGTGTCCTTCACGATGTGTGCTGGGGGCCGGCCCCTGCCAGCTGGGAGGCCGGTGCTATGTGTCTGCTCTGTCAGCCCCCTCAGGTGGGTGGTTTGGGCGTCGGCCATGGTGGGAATGTTTACACCACGGAAATTGGCCAGTGCCTCCAGCCAGGGTTTTGTTTCCCTCGTGAGTTGCTCGTTGCTAAATCAGTGCAGCACGGATTGGCCTTCCTCTTCCTCTGTTCTGTTTTGTTATGGGATGTCTCTAACATACGGAAAACCATAGAGAATGATATGATAAGCACCTTCAGCCCTTCCCAGCTCTAAGACTCCCTGACATTTGGCTGTGTCTGTGCCATGATTTTAAGTGGATTCAACCCGTCCAATCCACCCAAAGCCCCTGGTGCCCTGTGGTGCCATTGCTCTCCCTCCTGGGGCAGATTCCACATCTGGAGTGTCGTGCCGGGGCACGTTTGTAGACCTCACAGCACACATGTGACCCTCAACACTATACAGGTGGTTTCTTTTTTTTTTTTTTTTTTTTGAGACAGAGTCTTGCTCTGTCACCCAGGCTGGAGTGCAGTGGCACGATCTCGGCTCACTGCCGGCTCTGCCTCCCGGGTTCACGCCATTCTCTTGCCTCAGCCTCCCAAGTAGCTGGGACTACAGGCGCCCGCCACCACGCCTGGCTAATTTTTTTGTGTTTTTAGTAGAAACGGGGTTTCACTGTGTTAACCAGGATGGTCTCGATCTCCTGACCTCGTGATCCGCCCGCCTTGGCCTCCCAAAGTGCTGGGATTACAGGCATTAGCCACCGAGCCCAGCCTACAGCGTGGTTTTACGTGGGGGTTTTTTGGTTTGTTTTGAGACAGGGTCTTGCTCCATCACCCGGGCTGGAGTGCAGAGGCATGATCATGGATCACTGCAGCCTTAACCTCCCAGGCTCAAACCATCCTCCCACCTCAGCCTCCTGAGTAGCTGGGACCACAGGCTTGTGCCATCATGCCCAGCTCATTTTTTATTTTATTTTATTTTTATTTTTATTTTTTTTTTGAGACGGAGTCTCGCTCTGTCGCCCAGGCTGGAGTGCAGTGGCGGGATCTCGGCTCACTGCAAGCTCCGCCTCCCGGGTTCACGCCATTCTCCTGCCTCAGCCTCCCAAGTAGCTGGGACTACAGGCGCCCGCCACTACGCCTGGCTAATTTTTTTTGTATTTTTAGTAGAGACGGGGTTTCACCGTTTTAGCCGGGATGGTCACGATCTCCTGACCTCGTGATCTGCCCGCCTCGGCCTCCCAAAGTGCTGGGATTACAGGTGTGAACCACCACAAACAGCCCCTCTTTTCCTTGCCTGGGTTAGGGACCCACTGAGAATAGGACAGGAGAAAAGGCAGATGTGATTTTTTCAGAATACCAACTTTCTACCCGGCCCCAGCACTGGCTGTCCACCCACGCTGCCCTGCCACCCACCCATGCTGCCCTGCCGTCCACCCATGCTCCCCTGCCGTCCACCTACGCTGCCCTGCCGTCACCACGGCACTCGGAGCTTCTGGAGCTTAGACTACTTTATCTTTGTGGCCCTTTTCTGCCTTCTTATCAACTCCCTTTCCCTGCCTCTGCAAACAATGCCGGTGAAATTTAGATAGGAGTTGCATTGTACACAGATATTACAGAGGGAAGGAATAACATTGTTACAACATTGACTCCCACACACAAACCTCTCTCTCTCTTGCTCTCTCTCTCTCGCTCTCTCTCTGTCTCTCTCGCTCTCTCACTCTGTCTCTCTCGCTCTCTCTCTTGCTCTCTCTCTGTCTGTCTCTTGCTCTCTCTCGCTCTGTCTCTCTCGCTCTCTCTCTGTCTCTCTCTCTCTCACTCTCGCTCTCTCTCTTGCTCTCTCTGTCGCTCTCTCTCACTGTCTGTGTCTCTCACTCTCTCTCGCTCTCTCATGCTCTCTGTCACTCTCTCTCGCTCTCTCTGTCTCTCTTGCTGTCTGTCTCTGTCTCTCTCGCTCTCTCTGTGTCCCTCTCGCTCTCTCATGCTCTCTCTCTGTCGCTCTCTCTCACTCTCTGTCTCTGTCGCTCTCTCTGTTTCTCTTGCTCTCTCTCTCTCTGTCTCTCTCGCTCTCTCTCTGTGTTTCTCACTCTCTCATGCTCTCTCTCTGTTGCTCTCTCTCACTCTCTCTGTGGCTCTCTCTCTCTCTGTCTCTCTCGCTCTCTCTCTTGCTCTCTCTGTCGCTCTCTCTCGCTCTCTCTGTGTCTCTCTCTCTCGCTCTCTCATGCTCTCTGTGGCTCTCTCTCTGTCTCTCTCTCTCTCTGTTTCTCTTGCTCTCTCTCTCTCTCTGTCTCTCTCGCTCTCTCTCTGTGTCTCTCCCTCTCTCTCGCTCTCTCATGCTGTCTCTCTCTTGCTCTCTCTCACTCTGTCTCTCTCTCTCTGGTCTTCTTTGAAGTCTTTCATTAAACTTTAATAATTTTCTGCTCACAGATCTTATATGTATTTTGTTAGGTTTATTCCTAAGTATTTTTTATTTTGGGGTTTGAATTTTCACATTTGTGTTTGATGCCCATATAGAAAACTGCAAATGACTTTCGAATGTTGATTTCTAGATTGGAGCATCTTGTTAAACTATTTTAATTCTCATAATTTGTGGATTGCAGTATTTTTTGTAAGTAATCATTTCCTCAATACATAGTTTAGTTTCTTTGTTTCCAATTTTTAATATCCATTGTTTCTTTTTAAAATTTATTTTATTTATTTATTAATTTATTTATTTTGAGATGGAGTCTCTCTCTGTCACCCAGGCTGGAGTGCAGTGGCGCGATCTCGGCTCACTGCAAGCTCTGCCTCCCGGGCTCATGCCCTTCTCCTGCCTCAGCCTCCCGAGTAGCTGGGACTACAGGCGCCCGCCACCACGCCCGGCTAATTTTTTTGTATTTTTAGTAGAGACGGGGTTTCACCATGTTAGCCAGGATGGTCTTGATCTCCTGATCTCATGATCCACCCGCCTCGGCCTCCCAAAGTGCTGGGATTACAGGCATGAGTCACCGCGCCCGGCCCGTTGTTGCTTTTTCTTGTCTGGTGGTGAGTGGGTCCTCAAGTTCTTTGTGGGTTAGAGGCAGTGAGGGTGAGTTGTCTCATTCCTGATTTTATTTAAAAATGTGTAATTGTGATGGTTGCTGTGCTTTGTTTTTTTTTGTTTTTTTTTGGTTTTTTTTGCGTATTCCTTTTATAAAGTTAAAAAAATTATTTTATTCCTAGTTTGGTAAGAGTTTTATCTTAAAATACTGTTGAATTTTATCAAGTATTTATCTTGCCTCTATTGAAATTGACATGTGGTTTTTCTTTTTGCACTGTTTTTGTGGCAAATCACAAGGCTGGGCCATGGAGTGACTATCTCCTGGGAGACTCGGGCGGGTGAGCTGGTCATGCCTGAGCTCCACCCAACCTTCTGCACTCCTCAGTCTTCCGATTCCTTCTCCACTTCCCCGAGGAACTCAACTGTTGGATTGTAGGGAGCACAGAGGTTGAGAGGCTTTCGGGAGACCTGGGAAGGTGGGCTCTGGACAGGAGAGGCAGGGGAGTTGCTGCCTGGCCCCTGCTTTGTGCAGCACCAGGCACAGGCTCAGAAGATGCTGCCGCCACACTCAGGGCTCCTGGATGATGCCACGGGCAGAGGCTGACCCAGAACCATTCAGGAAAGACATCCCAAGTGGTGTAGTCCAAGCTTCTCCTGCGCTGTGGGAGGAAAGCACATGAGGGTGGGGGTGTGCAGGGCTGTGACCAGCAAACAGGCCAGCACGGCCTGCTTCTGGTCACTGGCCAGGCCTGCCCTGCTGCAGAGTGAAGACTTCCTGTAAGGCCACCCGGCTGCTCCCTCCCGGCGACGGCTCTGCAGTGAGGCCCACGCCACCCGGCTGCTCCCTCCTGGCTATGGCTCTCCAGTGAGGCCCACGCCACCCGGCTGCTGCCCCCCAGCGACGGCTCTCCAGTGAGGCCCACCTGCCATCCCCCCGCACGGGTAAACAGAGGCCTGTGAGTCGGTGTGGCAACCTCCAGTCCAGGCGAGCTGCTTTTCTAGGTCAACACTGGTCCTCTCTTGCCATCCTGTAAATCAGATACCAAGTTTAAAAGCTGACCACAGAAAACCAAACATTGTGTGTTCTCACTGATATGTGGGAGCTAAGCTGTGAGGACGCGAAGGCATAAGAATGATACAGTGGACTTTGGGGACTTGGAGGGGAAGAATGGGAGGGGGCGAGGGATAAAAGACAACAAATAGGGTGCAGTGTATACTGCTCAGGTAATGAGTGCACGAGGATCTCGCAGATCAGAGCTCAAGAACTCACTCCTGGAACCAAATACCACGTGTACCCCAATAACTTATGGAAAAATAAAATAAATAAATAAGTAAATAAATAAATGCTGACCACACCCCATGTAAAACAGCAGGGAAGGGCTCAAGGAGGGGAAGTGGTGGGAGGAGAAAACGTGCGTGGCTGCCCCAGCCCCGCCGCCGCCTCTGCACGGCACGGTGTCCTGTCCGTGGCTCCATAGCCATTGTGTTCTCAAAGGGACTGAGCCGTTATTCGTCCTTTTCTTTGGGGTTGTTCCAAAATGCCATCCATGGTCGGGCGCAGTGGCTCATGCCTGTAATCCCAGCATTTTGGGAGGCCGAGGCGGACGGATCACCTGAGGTCAGGAGTTTGAGACCATCCTGGCCAACATGGTGAAACCCCGTCTCTACTAAAAATACAAAAATTAGCCAGGCGTGGTGGCGGGCGCCTGTAATCCCAGCTACTCAGGAGGCTGAGGCAGGAGAATCACCTGAATCCAGGAGGCAGAGGTTGCAGTGAGCTGAGATCACACCACTGCACTCCAGCCTGGACGACAGAGCGAGACTCTGTCTCAAAAAAAAAAAAATAGCAAAACATAAAAACAACAAAATGTCATTCATGAACTTTGGCTTCCAGGTGGTCTTGGGGAGACTCCAGGCTCAGCCTCCTCCCGCTGCTCCCTTGAAGGAGCCGTCCTGACTGTCCTTGGCCGCCTGAGCCCGCTGCCCCAGCAGGAGGTCTACTGCTCTGGTGGCAAGAGGACTCCTGGGCCTGTGGCTGTCCAGGCGTCCCCTTCAGGGGAAGCGTGTGTGTGACGTGAATACTCCGCACCACCTCAGCACCTGCAAAACCCAGACGTGCTGACGCGGGGAGCATGGGCTTAGCCGGTGCGTCACTAGGGCCATGGTGCAGGGAACCACCCTGGGCCTACGTGTCCCGGCTCTGGGAGAACATCACACATGGACCTGGCCCACCTTGTGGGACCACACCCTCCAGAGGCCTCGTCCTGTAGACAGCTGTCACACATTGTCACACAAGTGAGCCTTCAACAGCCCATGATGGGGGTGACGTGGCCCAGGTACAGCAAGGGAACGCATGGGCCTGAGCCCTTTCTCTCCCTTTCCTCTGTGGAATGGGGCCCTGGGTCGCAGCTAATGCTTTGTGGAGGACCATGACAGCTGCTCAGACTCTGCATGTGGTGTCGGCAGAAGTGCCATGACCAGGGACAGAAACTCATGTCCAGAGGAAGCGTCTATTCCAACCGGGACACATCGTTGCACCCTCCCTGATGGAGGGGTCCAGTGAAACCAACCTCCCCCCGTGACCGGCTCATCCCGTGGGGAACAGTGCAGTTTCAGGCCCACAGCTCTGGCTCTCTGCTGTTGGTTGTTGGGCTTTTGGCCGTGGTGGGGGGCCCATGTCTGAGGCTGGGCGCAGCTTCCATGCTCACTGCTGTGGGCACTGCCCAGGAGCCATCAAGCATGCCTGGGGTGGCTGGTGACATCCCCAAAACAAGCCGTGTGTTCAGCTGGCTGTGATGAGCCTCCTCCGTGGACACGCAAATATCCCCACGTCCTGTGCCCCTCTGGAAAGGTTCGTCCACAAGTCTCTCCCCAGCCTCCTTGTCATCAACCTTTCAAACAGATGGCTTCCAAGTCCCGGACCATCCGGCAAACCGTTAGCCACATCCCCTGAAGAGGTCTGGTCCTGTCCTCTTGTCCAGGCACAGGACACAGCCAGTGAGGCCGCCCCAAGCGCTGCTCGCTAGGACGACGCCCCTGTCCTGCCTCCCTACAGGGCCATCCCCAGATGAGGCTGCAGCATTGCCCCGTGTGCTCTCAGCTGGTGCCAGTGTTGTCTGGAACTGTCTGGACCTACCTGGAAACTGAGTGTGAGTGTTTGATTCCTCACTCCCCTGGTGGCTGGGAATTGCCCTGGAAGGCACTGGTGCTTGTGGAGGGAGAAATGGCAATGTCTGGGTGTGGGTGCTGTGGGCCTGGGTGCTGTGGACGTGGGTGCTGTGCACGTGGGTGCTGTGGGCCTGGGTGCCGTGGGCCTGGGTGCCGTGGACGTGGGTGCATGGCACAGATGGGCGGCCACCTGAACGAGTGGGAGGAGTGCAGTCCCAGGCCCTCCCAGAGACTGTGCCATAGTCTCCACCCCAAGTGACGGTGGAGGGATGCTGGGAACGGTAAGCTTTAATGCTTGGTGAATCTTGCATTGCCTCATTCATGACCGGTAGGTCACGTGGTCATCTGACACTTCCATCTCTTCCGAGGCCCAGTGGAAAGCCAGGAGCTGGGTCTCCAAAGGAAAATGGTTACTTTCAGAAGAGGGCATGATTTTTCTCCAAAACGCTGGGTGGCTGAGCTGGGATTCTTCTGAAGGGTTTGTCGGAAGCTCCACACGGCATCCCTGTCTGACACGGACCTGTTGTCACCGTCTGATTTGCTGAGACACGCGTGCAGAGGTGCCTGATGGCAGCCTGGACCTGCTACAGAGCCTTCTGCTGCTGTAGGCCCCTTCAAAACTGACAGCCTCGGAGGCTTCCATATGGTCGAAGCAGCCTGCTTCAATATGGTGCATGAGCTCTCTGGGGTCTAAAAAGGCCTACCAAGCAGCATTGTGCCACCTTCTTAGTGCAAAGAACAGGAAGTTGGGTCAAGTATCTTATTATTATTATTATTAATCATTATTGTTGAGACAAGGTCTCACTCTGTTGCCCAGGCTGGAGTGTGGTGGTGCCATCACAGCTCACTGCAGCCTTGAACTCCTGGGCTCAAGCGATCCTCCTGCCATGGCCTCCCAGAGTGCTGGGATGACAGGTGTGAGCCCATGCCTGGCTGGGGGCACATATCTTCATATATCCCAGACCACAGGATGTCTAGAAATTTCACTGAAATGACAGAATCCTTCATTTTGTGAGGTGCGTCTCCTACTATGGAGGCACGAAAGGGCCTTACTAAGACAGTTAGAGTATTTACTACTTCCTGCCACCAGGTCTGATCTCCATTACACCATCGGCATAGTGAACTGGCACTTTGTCCCATGGGATGGCCAGGACTGAGATGGTCAAGGGCCCTGAGGTCTATATTTTGACAAAGGGATGGACGATGGGCACAGTTCTGAGAAGCACGAGCCGGGGTGTATTGCTGTCCCTGCCAGGTGAAAGTAGCCTTCCCCTGTGGCTCAGCTGTTGTGTGTGGAAGGAAACGTTGGTCAGATGAGTTTCCTCATGGAAGCCATGGCTGGGTGTTCCATCACACGAGGTACATCTGGAGGGGCAGATGCAATTGGAGTCCCCACCCGATTGTGTTTGCAGCCATCCACAGTCACTCTCCAAAATCCACCTCTGTCCTTCACAGGCCAAAGAGGTGAAGCAAAACGATGTGATAGGAAGCTGAGATATCGGCTGGGCACAGTGGCTCACACCTGTAATCCCAGCACTTTGGGAGGCTGAGGCGGGTGGATCACCTGAGGTTGGGAGTTTGAGACCAGCCTGGTCAACATGGTGAAACCCTGTCTCTACTAAAAATACAAAATTAGCCGGGCATGGTGGCGCACGCCTGCAGTCACAGCTACTCGGGAGGCTGAGACAGGAGAATTGTTTGAACCTGGGGGACAGAGGCTGCGATGAGCCAAGATCACACCACTGCACTCCAGCCTGGGCGACAGAGCAAGACTCTGTCTCAAACAAACAAACAAAAAAAGAGGAATCCAGGATACCGTTGCCAGTATGCACTGTAAATCTTTCTCCTAGATTTCTCTGAAGAAGTCTGCAGCCCTTTGGCAGCGTGGCTGCAGATGGAAGGAAGGAAACAGTTCGCCCTGGAGAATGGCTAGGCAGCACCTCTGAGCCGAGCATCCCACCCGCTCTGACTGGCCCACAATCGTGGGGCCAG
Source organism: Homo sapiens (assembly GCF_000001405.40). Taxonomy (NCBI): domain Eukaryota; kingdom Metazoa; phylum Chordata; class Mammalia; order Primates; family Hominidae; genus Homo; species Homo sapiens. Next base: position 97,086 of record NW_025791792.1, read on the forward strand.
TGGTATCTCAGAGCCCTTCTGTAAGGAGGTCTGGTCCCCCGGCATTCAGGGGTTCTGAGCTGCTCAGTTCTGGGATATGGGGAAAAGCCAGGATTCTCCACCATGCTGGCTGACGCCATTTCTCTGTTCACCAGACCTACAGGGTTTTGTCACTTACAGTGATTGCCATGGTCTGAATGCTTGTGTCCTCCTCGAAAGGTAGGTATTGAAACCTAATCACCAAGGTGATGGTGTTGGGAGGTGGGACCTTCAAGAGGTGGCAAGGTCATGGGGGCAGAGCCCTCATAAATGGATTGGTGCCCTTATGAAAGGGGCCCATGGGAGCCTTGTTTGCCCCATGTACGGGTGCAGCCGGAAGTTGCTGTCTGAGAGGAAACTGGCCTCCACCAAACACAGCTGGCACCTTGGTCTTGCACTTCCAGCCTCCAGAACTGTGAGACATGTTTCTGTCATTTATAAGCCACCCAGATCTTTAATGATATTTTTGTTATGGTAGCCCAAACAGACTAAGACAGAGACCAGAGAACACTTTGGCAGGCTACTTACGTGTTTTAGTCCTGGGGACACTTCAATCAGTTAGACATTCCCCAAAGTCCTACAGGGTGAAGGACACAGTTGCTGCCCTGGCCCTGTCACCCATTGAGACCAGGACACCCCATTGTGCTGGAGCTGCTACCTGGTTGCCAACACTCAGGCAGCCTGTTCAATGAGAGCAACTTGCACCACTATCTTGGTCCACAGAGCCTTCCAAGATGCGGTGCCCTCCATCAGCATATTGCCACGCCTTTCTCTCCCAGGATGCATTGCTGGGATGGATGAACAGGGCCATGCGATAAATCCTCTAACGTTGCCACGTCTGTGCTTTTGCCTCCTTTCCTCTCCGTTGTATGGAGGAAGTTCTGACAGCTCACTTCATTTCACGTGGTGTGCAAGCTTCTGTCAAACAACGGAACAAACTATGAGAACCACTTCCAGCCACTGCTTCTGCACACTTCTCTGCTAAGTGAGTCTCTGCTGTGTGAGTCTCATTGGTAAAACTACCCTGATCTAACATTCTGTTACCTCCTTTGTGGTCCAACACTCCAAGAGTCCACGGCCTCAGACGCCCCTGGGTTTCTGCTGATGTAAATTGGCAAAAACTTGCATTCAGTGTGTATGTGGCTCCTCTTGGGTCTCACTGTGTGTTTATCCCTCTGCACCCAACTCTAGTCATGGCTCTGGGAATAATGAGGGTCGGTGGAGGTGGATCTCAAGGGAGATCTGTCATCTTGCAAGGCTGTTTCCTCAAGTGAAGCCATCACAGATCTTTGGGCACAGTTTTACTCACCTCAGACTCTAAGGAAGAGTCACTTCTGCTTACAGGGAGACTCAGGAAGGTCTAATGTTCAGGGGACTCAGAGTCAGAGAAATCCACCCTCTCCAGTTCTCGAGGTCTCATTCTTTCCAAATAAATGCCTTAACTTTGACTTAAGAGATTTAGTAAGACATTTAATTATTCTTTAGTTGTAATTCATTAGCCTGCAAGATCAAATTTGTACTCTGCATTTAAAAAAAAAAGTTGACTCTACAGCTACAAGAACTAAAATGGTTTTTTTAGGACAGCTATAGAAGGGCTCTGGTTCTCTGTCTATACCTTCAGCTGAGCACTTAAGGCCACAGCTTGTCATTTTCTTTGTCAGTTCCCCAGTGCAATAAGCAGCAGCCACCCCATGCCACATCCTTGTATGCATGGTTTCCATCCACATCCTAATGTCCTATTGCAAGAGCCCCCTGGTGTCTGAAACCCAGGCTTGTGATGGGCACTGCATCGCAGAGACCTCAAGGTAATGATTTTACCAGTGACAATGTTTATAGATTATCTGCATCCTGCTTCCCACTCCTCACGTGGTCCTCACTGACATCAGACAAAACCTGGTCTGTCCAATTACTAACTCCAGATTCCCATCTTCAAGGTTCTGCCTTCCTGGAAACACTGCTGGTACCAGGAATGGTTGGTCGGGAACACTAAAGTCACTCTAGGTATTTTGGGTAGAAGGAGATTCATTGCAGGGAACTCTAGGCTTACAGAAATGTTGAGAACTTTGGGGACTGAAGGTTATTTCAGGAGATCTGGAAGTGCAGGGATAGAAGGGTAGCATCCATTGCCCCCTGATAACTGTACCACTGACATGGCTAGAAACCACCCCAGTGATCCCAGCTGCTTGTAGCACCTCAGGGTGATTCTCAAACTGACTCCAGAAGCCAAGGTACACTGCTGCCAATGACTGCAGGGGCCTCTGCAAAACGGACGTTGATGAATGAAACAAAGTGTGATCTACCCATAGCAGGGAATGTTATTCATCCTTAAAAAGGAAGGAAATCCTGCAGCTCACGCCTGTCATCCCAGCTCTTTGGGAAGCTGAGGCAGGAGAATGGCTTGAGGCCAGGAGTTTGAGACCAGCCTGGGCAACATAATGAGACCCCCGTCTCTACAAAAAACAATTTAAAAAATTTGCTGTAGTCCCCGCTACCCAGGAGACTGAAGCAGGAGGATAGCTTGAGCCCAGGAAGTTGAGGCTGCAGTGAGCTATGATCTCTCCTGTCTCTAAAAAAGAAAAAAAATAAAAGGAAAGAAATTAATTCTCACACAGGCTACAAAATGGATGAACCTTGAGGACATTATGCTGAATCAAAGAAGCCATTCAGCAAAGGATAAATCCTATAAGCTTCCCCGTATATGAGGAACCCAGAGCAGTGAAATCCCCAGTGACAGGAAGTGGATGGTGGGCACCAGGGGCTGGCAGAGAGGATGGGAGTCAGTCTTCCATGGGGACAGGGACAGCTTCAGTTTGGGAAGCTGAAGAAGTTCTGGAGATGATGATGGTGGTGACAAGTGCACACCAACGTGAATGTATCAGGGACAGCTTCAGTTTGGGAACTTGAAGAAGTTCTGGAGATGACGATGGTGGTGACAGGTGCATACCAACGTGAATGTATCAGGGACAGCTTCGGTTTGGGAAGCTGAAGAAGTTCTGGAGATGATGATGGTGGTGACAGGTGCACACCAATGTGAATGTATCAGGGACAGCTTCGGTTTGGGAAGCTGAAGAAGTTCTGGAGATGATGATGGTGGTGACAGGTGCACACCAACGTGACTGTATCAGGGACAGCTTCAGTTTGGGAAGTTGAAGAAGTTCTGGAGATAATGATGGTGGTGACAGGTGCACACCAACATGAATGTATCAGGGACAGCTTTGGTTTGGGAAGCTGAAGAAGTTCTGGAGATGATGATGGTGGTGACAGGTGCACACCAACGTGAATGTATCAGGGACAGCTTCGGTTTGGGAAGCTGAAGAAGTTCTGGAGATGATGATGGTGGTGACAGGTGCACAGCAATGTGAATGTATCTAATGGCACTAAACTGTGCACTTTAAAACTGCATGCATTTACAATGGTAAATTTTATGTTATGCGCATTCCACTGTAGTGAAAAAGAGTTAACTTCACCTGAAATGAATTCGTGTGGTAACCATTGGTTCTGTGTTAATAGCATGGACTTCCATTGTATCTGCATAATGCCGAGACCAGCTCAGTCTGGGAGGCCCTAACCCAGTGGCGCTAGAGGAATTAAAGACACACACACAGAAATATAGAGGTGTGAAGTGGGAAATCAGGGGTCTCACAGCCTTCAGAGCTGAGAGCCCCGAACAGAGATTTACCCACGTATTTATTAACAGCAAACCAGTCATTAGCATTGTTTCTATAGATACTAAATTAACTAAAAGTATCCCTTATGGGAAACGAAGGGATGGGCCAAATTAAAAGAATAGGTTGGGCTAGTTAACTGCAGCAGGAACACGCCCTTAAGGCACAGATCGCTCATGCTATTGTTTGTGGCTTAAGAATGCCTTTAAGCGGTTTTCCGCCCTGGGTGGGCCAGGTGTTCCTTGCCCCCATTCCCATAAACCCACAACCTTCCAGCCTGGGCGTTAGGGCCATTATGAACATGTCATAGTGCTGCAGAGATTTTGTTTATGGCCAGTTTTGGGGCCAGTTTATGGCCAGATTTTGGGAGGCTTGCTCCCAACAACATAAAGCTGCAAAATAGATTTAATCCACATTTTAAAGGCGTTACCACCTGTGAAAGAAGCCAGACACAAAAGACAACACACAGTTTGATTTCACTTTTGTGGAATCCAAGAGTCGGCAAAATGGGCCCGGGGTAATAGAAGTTGGGGTTGCGTTTGCCCACGGAGGGGAGGCTGGAGCGGGTGAGGGGGCATTGGGGCTAGTGGTGACGACATTCCTGGTTCCCTCAAGGGACATGTTGGGCACATGGGAGTGTGGCTCCGCCACAACCCACGCAATCGTATGCACTGAAAACCTTTGCATCTCACTGTCTGTGATGTTTTCCCTCTTGATTTTAAGACAAACCTGTGAGCTAAATGAAGTTGATAAAGCCACATTTGTCACTGGAAATCTTTTTTTTTCTTTTTGAGGCAGAGTCTCACTCTGTCGCCCAAGCTGGAGTGCAGTGGCGCCATCTCGGCTCACTACAAGCTCCGCCTCCTGGGTTCATGCCATTCTCCTGCCTCAGCCTCCTGAGTAGCTGGGACTACAGGCACCTGCCACCATGCCTGGCTAATTTTTTTGTATTTTCAGTAGAGATGGGGTTTCACTGTGTTAGCCAGGATGGTCTCAATCTCCTGAACTCGGCATCTACCCGCCTTGGCCTCCTAAAGTGCTGGGATTACAGGCGTGAGCCACCGTGCCTGGCCTTGTCATTGGAAATCTTAACTCACTTCCTCCGGTAGACAACAAACAAGAAGGAAAAAGATCAATAACTTGACAGGCGTTCTGGAGCCCATGATAGACAGACTTGCTCCCGGAAACACCACCTGTGGAACCCTGCCCCCTCTTTCTGGGTGTAAATGGAACATGGGAGCACACGTCGTGTCATGGCCACAGCACAGATGTCCACATGGTTGAAAGGTTGGCATTGGACAGTGTTCTCTGGGCATGGTGGACCTCTGCCAGGACCCAGGGGTGGGGGTACCAGGAGGCCCCCCCACACTGGGAGATGGAGACCCCGCTCCCAGCCAGGCTGTGTGTGATGGTCGTGTCCCAGCCCTTCTGATGCAGGGCAGGTGAGCCCCAGCGTGGAGCTTGGCCCTTGGGGATTCTTGGCTTTGCCCAGGAAAGAATCCAAGGGCGAGCAGGCAGAGAGCAGCTGCTCAGGGCCGTTTGCATCACGTTTATACCCACTTGTAATTGCATGCACTTTAAAGAGTGGCTCATGCAGAAATTTCTAGGGAAGTGGTAGTAACTTCTGGGCCATCAGGTCGTTGCTGTGGAAAGGGCGGCAAGGCCTGGGTGTTGCCACGTCAACGGTAAATTGACCTGGCACGGCGGAGGGCAGGTCTGATTGGAAAGCTGCTTTCACCCTGCCCTGTTTTACCTAGTCCTCAATCTGGTCCGGTGTCAGAGCCTGGCCTCTGTCACCAAGTCCTGCCCCTACCTCAGCTCCACGTGGCACTCAGGGCTGTACTGGGTCCCTGCTCGCCCACCCGCAACACCCATTTCACCCTGCCCCAAACGCCCCTGTGTTCTGTTGACCCAAAGCCACCTGGAGCCTCCTCCACCCTGTTGGAAAGTGGCCTTGGGCCCTGGCGGGACTGGACGTGACCTCTTACTGCAGGGTCACCCTGCCCTGCGTCTGCCTCCCCAGCCAGGCTGGCCTCTGTGGCTGCCCTCTGGGTAAGCAGTGCCCGCCTCTCCATCTCTCCTCCTGCAGCCATGGCCTAGATGCTGAGTGACCCTGAGCCTCATGCCTCTCACCTGTGACCTTGGGGACACTAAGCCCCTTGTGCAAGGCTGATTTGGTGAGTAGAATAATTTGGGTGAACGGGTTTTAGGAAACTCAGAGCTTGGTTCAGACACAAATCATCATAATTAACTTTGTGAATGGTTTTAGGAAACTCAGAGTTTGGTTCAGATACAAATCATCATTATTAACTTTGCGAATGGCAGAGGAGGTGCCAGGTCCCTGGTGTCACGGGGTTTACAGTCGAGTTGGGGGAGCAGCAAGGACCCACATGAAATCAACTCGACAGATGATGTAATTGCAAAACAAATCATGCACGTGCGTCGGGGACGGGAGCTGGGTGAGCAGTCACCTTCTTGCACCCACGGCCTCCAAGCCCACCTGCTGGGAGCTGACGTGGGCTCCAGCTGAACCCAGGGGCGACCCTCCCGGTGGGAGGCGGGGGTCACTGAGGAGCTCCTGGCCAAGCTCATCGACTCAGCCCTGAGTGGAGCCGACACTCACTGGGCACGTGCAGCCCTTGGAGTCCGGGGTGGACATGTGGCCCTGCAGGAGTCCCAGGGGCTTCCCAGAGGAGGGGATCCCATGCCCCCTGGCCAGACCTCAGAGGCGTGTGTGGGCACCTGTGTGTGCCAGGGAGAACGGGACGGAGGTGTGCGAGGGCACCTGTGTGCGTGCCAGGGAGGGCGGAGATGTGTGTGAGGGCATGTGTGTGTGTGCTGCGGAGGACAGGGAAGGGAAGGGAGAGGAGGTGGCATCCAGGGAAGGGCTGAATGGGGACCTACTGGCCAGTGGAGTGCGGACGCCGGGGTGGAGAGGTCAGGGGAGCCACAGCAGAAGGTCCCAGCCTTCACCCAGGGAACTCAGCAATAGATCAGGGAGGGGTGAACTGGCTGGAACTTCCCACACCTGCTGCTCTGGTCATTTCATGGAGGACCAGAAGGAGGCAGGAGGCGTCTCAGAGCCGCTGTAGCACGAGGTTTTGCGGCTCAGGCCCCAGCTGCGTACCAGGGTCTGGGCACTGTACCCTCCAGGGCTGCAGGAAGGGAGGCAATGGTGGAATGGGGTTGGGGTTGAGGACCCAGCAGTCCAGCGTGGGGTGGCTGGGTGGGAGAGGCGGCGCCAGGCTCCAGGAGCTTCCTGCCTGGGGTCCCCAAAGCTATTGGGATGGGAGAAAGCTGGCCGTGCTCTGGACGGGTGTGGGAGGCCTGTGGCAAGAAAGGGACTCAAGACAGCCCTGGAAGCAGGAGCGAGGGGAACCCAGGTCAGCAGGGGATGGCGCTGGTGTGGCCCGTCATGGGTTCCCAGAGTGGCCTCAGCGACACTTCTGGTCCCACCCGTTCCTTCCAGCCCTGCCACTCAGCAAGAGGTGGGGCCCCCCTGCCCCCATGAGCCCCATGGAGGAGCTGTATGTCACCTGCGGCCCAGCCCAGCTAAGTTCTCCAGGGACAAGCAACGAGGGGGAGGAAGGGAAGGAGGAGGAGGAGGAGGGGCGGTGAGGCTCATCCTGTCTGGGGGTCCTCCTTGGCCGCCCTGAGTGTGTGGGGGACTCTGCCAGGCAGGCACTGGGGCTTGGTGGGGGGCCCTGACCTCCCATGACCTCTCGCCGACCCTCCCCCCGCCCGCTGCCCTCCACGCTGGACGACGGGTGCTGCAGCACCTTCAGGCCCACAGACACCCGGCAGGGTCCCCTCTGTGCCCTCAGTCCATCCTCCCGTTCGTTTGGGCAGCACAGACACTCACAGCAGAGATGGACTTGAATCTGTCCCCAGACCCACACCCAGGGTCCCAGGGCAGCCCATGGGGCAGCAGGGCCGTGCAGGCAGTCGGGAGCTCGGCCTGGGGCCTTGGGGCCTCCTGGCTCCCCCGAGGCACAGGAGTCCCAGGCATGGGTCCCACTGCCCGGCCCTGGGGGGCTGGTCGAAGCCAACGTGGGCTGGGGTCATTGTGCATTTTGGGTTCGGCCAGGCAGTGGCAATGAGGCCAGCAGTCCCTGCATGTGTCGGGGACCAAGGCATACAAACCTTGGACCAAGGCGTTCGGCAGCTGGACCCTGTGTGCTGTCATGGGTGGTGCCGAGGGGAGAGAGCACTGCTGGAGCCTCGGTCACCCGGTGCCATACAGGGCAATGGAGCAGGCTCAAGGACGGCCGTGGCCAGGGCTGGGGATTGTTCTGCTCCGAGTCCCATCTGGGGAAGCCCCCGAGACCTGCCGTCCCCAGGTGACTGTGGAGCACACAGCACCTCGCGGGTCCAGCTGGGAACCAGTGCCTCACCGCTCTGCCCGTCCCACTGGCCTACACCAGGCCCGTGGCCACCTCTGACGTGTGCACCTGTGTCCGTGGAAGGCACCACCAGGGACTGGAGGGAAGCTGGCGGGGACTGGTGGGGCTGGAGGGAGCGGGGGACAGCGACTCACCCCACATCCCCGGCCCTGCGCCCTGGCCTTGCTTGACAGCTGGATGCAGCCTGCCCTGGAGGCTTGTAAGCCTCTGAGGGTGGCACTGGGCGTTCTTGCCATCACTAGACAGCAGCACACCCAGGGCTGGGCAGCGGCGGGAAGGTGCTGAGGGTACTCTCACCTGCTCGGACAGTTGGGAAAGTGGAGACCACAGCACCACAGGGCTCTCCCGGGGCCTCTGTCGTAGGCCTGCAGACACCACCTCTCCCCGCCTCCTCACGGGGCTGTCCATCTGTGCACAGGCTCCCCGGGGGGCGGGCGGGGGGGAAGTGTCCAAGTCTCCTCTTCTTACGGGGAGAAGACCAGAACAGGGCCTGCCCCAAAGACCTCATTTTAACAAAATTCCCCTTTGAAAGGCCCTACCTCCAAATGCAACCACATGGACGTCCTGGGGGTCAGGACTTTGACGCATGAATCTGGGGGACACGATGCAGCCGATGCAGGACGGCATCGGTGACACCCGCCCTCCATGTGCTTTCGCCTGCATAGTTGGGGCCAGCCTGGCTCTGGCCGTCCTCCCGGGGGGCCCCTGCTCCCCAGCCTGAGAATTTGTATCCTCTCCCCTCTAACCCCAGCTGTGGTTTCCGTATTAGAGGGTCAAGAGCAGGGAGACATAAAAGACCAATGCTGATGCCAAGGAGCCAGTGACAGGGGCTGTTCCCCTCAGCAGGGGCCGGGACGGAGGATCCAGGTGGGGCTGGGATCTTCACCAAGAGTGCATGGGACCTCGTGCGGGAGACAGGAGAGGGGAGAGGGGCTGCAGACCAGAGACCCCAGAACACCCACAGGAGGGGGCCGGGTGGGAGGAGTCATGGAGGAGCCCGGGAGGGAGCAAGGGGAAGGGATGGTGGGGGGAGCTGGGGGCCCCGAGCCTGAGGGGAGGCCACGGGACACAGAGCAGGGAGCTCTGTGCACAGGGGCCAAGGGGGCCTTGGGGACCACGGGAGTCCCGGGAGCAGAGGTGCGGCAGGTGCGGGAGAGACCAAGGGAGCGGCCGACCTTGGCGGCCTGCAGTGCCCTTGGCCTCCCCTCGGGTTGGGCTGGCCCATCAGGCTCTGTACCCGCCCTGCTGCGGCTCCACGTCGGGCTGGCGCCGGCTGAGGAACAGAGAAGGAGGACAGGCTCCAGGCCAGGGAGCGTCAGGGAAGGACGAAGGACTCAACCCTTTGAGGGCCAACAGGCCCATGGAGGGAGTCTTCCCTAGCGCCACTGCACCTGCAGCTGCTGTACCAGGGTGGGCCTTCCTCCCTCCCCTGTGGGAACCGGGCCCTCTGGGATCAGCCCCTCAGTGACTGCCGCCGCCCTGTCCCAGCCACTGCACTGAGGCCCAACCATGGCCTCCCTCAGCAAAGGGGCCTCCAGGATTTCACACGGGGTCCCAGCGACTGCACCCAACCATTGGGAGGCTTCACCTTCAGGTGGCCAGAAAAGATGACTAATCCTACCCTGAGCTCACCCTAATCCTAGGCTCCCCCATACCTGAGCTCACCCTAATCCCAGGCTACCCCATGGGGGTCTGGCTACAGGGAGTCTCTGTCCAAAAGTGCCCAGCTTCAGGGATGCTGCAGAGCTGCCTTCGGGGTGGGGGTGACCCACAGACCCCATTCCCCTACAGGGAGGCAGGAACCTTTTGTGGGGCTCATTCACAGAAGGGGCTGGAGACCCAAGAGCCACGGCTCTTTGGGATGGTGGATAGGACAAAGGTTTCTCCAGGGAACCAGCGCAACGTATGCCAGATGGCCACACCCCCAGCCACAGATGGCCTCACACCAGAGACAGGTCAAGGTCAAGTGATGGAGCCGGGCGCGGTGACTCACGCCTGCAGTCCCAGCACTTTCAGAGGCCAAGGAGAGAGGCTCACTTGAGCCCAGGAGGTCGAGACCAGCCTGGGCAACATAGGGAGACCTCATCTCTACAAAAATAAAAATAAAAATAAAAATAAAAAAATATAAAATAATAATAGTAATAATTAGCAGGGCGTGGTGGCATGCACCTGTGGTCCCAGCTGCTTGGGAGGCTGAGGTGGGAGGATGGCTTGAGCCCAGGAAGTCGAGGCTGCAGTGAGCTAAGATCGCACCAGGCACTGCAGCCTGGGTGACAGAGAGACCCTGTCTCAGTAAAAGAAGATCAGGCGACCAGTCCTGGTATTGAGGGGGATCTGGAGAACCAAGAGAAAATCTCTTATTAAACGCAGATTTCACAGAAAACAATAACTTTACAAAACTGGAAATCTACCAGCCTTTTAGGCATGAGGAATTGTCACGCAGGGTTGCCTAGCGATGGACAGGCACATTTCAAGAAATACGGGCTCAACCCATCGAGCCGTATTAACTTTAATTATTAACGTTCAGTGTAATTATGAGCTATCTTTCTCCTTGCATCCGAGGAAAGCTCTGTTCCTGTGCAGTGGGGCTGTGTGGCCCTGTTCTGGGGGTGAGAGAATGTCTGATGTACTTCTCCTAAATCTGAAAAACAAATAATAGTAATGATAAAAAACAAATTGAAATCGTAAATAAACGGTCTCACTACAGGCGAGGTGCAGGTGGATGGGAAGGCAGGGCTGGGGCACCCCTGCGGCCGTGGTGGCTGTTCCCCAGCGGGGACCTCGCCATGGTCTCGAGAGCCATATTTCATTAAACAAATAAATACAAAGACAGTCATGCTAAAAATTCATGGAATGTTAAGCCACAATTCACCAGACTATAAACACCATTCCGTCTTCATATTCCTGTTATCGGTCAGAGGTGGAGGCTCCTCATGGTGCATTTTCGGCTCAATTGCTTTGGACACAGTTTCTTTCTACATCACTTCTTCGTGGCTATCTCAGGAAGGGACAGGAGGGAGGAGAGTGGCCTCCTGGGCTCCTGTGGCCTCGGCATGCCGTGCTTTGTTAGTAAGCCTGATGTCAGGCGTGGCCTCCCCTCTTTCCTCCTTTGCGGGTGGGGCCCATTGTCCCTCCTCACTCCGCTCCGGTTAACCACCACGATGCTGGTTGTGTGGACTCGGCCTGTTCCTCTTGAGGAATGGGATTCATGCTCCAAAAGTATCCAGCCTGCACCTGGGAGCCCCTCGGAGATGACGCCTTCCTTCCTGCCCCTCCCACCCTGCACCCAGCACCAGCTAGAGACAGCCTGGTGCAGCCCCCAGAAGTCCATGGAGGGGAAAGTGGGAAAAACCCCACTTTTAAGAATGTGACCCCCATGTTTTTCCCAGCTTGTTTAAGCATTTAAAAAATTGTTCTGAAATATACATAAAAGGCACCACCTGACACATTCTAAGTGTATACAGTTTGGGAGCATTCAGTACGTTTGCACTGATACGGTTTGGCTCTGTGTCCCCGCCCAAATCTCAGGTGGAATTGTAATCCCCAGAGTTGGGGGTGAGGCCTGGTGGGGGGCGATTTTAGTGCCGTCCCTGGGTGCTGTCCTCCCCACCCGGCCTGAGTTCTCTCTAGCTCTGGGTGTTTAAGGATGCAGCAGCTCCCGCTCACTCTTTTGCTGCTCCTGTCAGGTTAGACCAGCCTGCTTCCCCTCGCCTTCCGCCACGATTGAGAGTCTCCTGAGGCCTCCCCAGAAGCCAAGCAGACACCAGCATCAGGCTTCCCCTGCAGCCTGAAGAACCGTGAGCCAATTCAGCCTCTTTTCTGTATCAAGTACACAGTCTCAGGTGATTCTTTATAGTGGCGCGAGAATGGGCGAATACATGCTGCACTGCGCAGCCCTCCCCCCGCCCCCCGCAGCCTGCTCTCGGGCTTTCTATACCCCCACCTCCTCCTTGCTCACGGCTGATGGATACCTAGCGAGGAGGGGAACTGCAGGGGCTCTCACGGGCAGCAGGCAGAGCTGTGGGCTTTCATCTGAGGCCGGGTCTGAAGGTTCCTACGCTCCCAGACATCTGACCCCTCCACTCCCTCCCACCCATGTACGGAAGCCCCACCCAGGCTGGGCTGAGCCTCCTGGGGCCCCAGGGCGGTTGCCCACCTCTGAGTCCCTGGAAGGTCTTTCTGCAGCCTGTGGCTGGGTCCTGCCCCCTGGGACTTGGGCCCTTTGGCCTCGGAGCCACCCAGGAACAAGGCCCCCATCTTTCTCCAGCACAGCCTGTGCTAATGAGAGGCAGACACAGACTCCGAGCCCCCTTGCACCCCTGTTTCCCTCCTCAGCTGCCCAAAGAGTGGGCAGGAACCGTCACCCTTGGGCTACAGAGGCTGGGCCCTCCAACCCCAGCAGACAGAGGTTCTGGGAGCCGCCTCAGCACGACCCAGCAAGGGTGGGCAGTGGGGACTGGCCACGGGGTGCTCCCAGCGCCTCCCACCCCCTCAGCTCTCCTTCCCGCACCCTGAGTCCAGGGGATGGGGTAGCGGCCAGCCCAGCTGGGAAGAGAGTGGAGCTTTCACTTGGGGTGCCCCAGGGTGAGCTGGGGGTATTGAGGGGGTGACGCAGGTGGGCAGCACTTGGCCCTCACAAAGGTTATCATTTTCACAGCAGAGAGTAAGGCTGCCAGACACAGCTCTGGGATCTGCTCTGGTCCCCTCGACGGTGGGTGGCCAGTGACCCACCTGGTGAGCCCGGCGGACAGGATCGTGTCCTTGGGGATACGGGACTGGCGCCTGTGAGGCAGGGCCCGGCCCGAGGAGCCTCCGGGTCCTGCTGGGTTCTTGGCCTCCGTCCACCATGCACCTCCCATCCCCTCAAGCCTCTTCTCCCACACCCCTCCCTCCTCGCCTCTCAGGGCCCCTGTGGCACCTTCGTAGCATCCCAGCTTATGTGACCTCAGGTTACACAAGCAGCAGCCTGGGGCACCTCTGGGCTTCTCTGTTAAATCATCAGGAGGACCTGGCGGGCTGCACATAGGCAGACGGTCCACGGAGCCACAGCCGGGACCCGCACAGAACCACTCGGGGCCCAGCCCTAGATGAGAGCTCAACAGCGAGGAGAGCCCTGACCTGGAGCGACAGCCCGAGGCCCCTGCTGCACTTGAGCTGCAGAGAGGGAGGCCATGAGCTCCGACATCACAGATGGAAGGCCGAGCGCAGTGGCTCACGCCTGGAATCCCAGCACTGTGGGAGGCCGTAGCAGGCGGATCGCCTGAGGTCGGTGGGTCACGTGAGGTCAGGAGTTCGAGACCATCCTGGCCAACATGACGAAACCCCATCTCTACTGAAAACACAAAAATTAGCCAGGCATGGTGGCAGATCTCTGTAATCCCAGCTACTTGGAAGGCGGAAGCGGGAGAATCACTTGAACCCAGGCGGCAGAAGTTGCAGAGAGCTGAGATCTTGCCACTGTATTCCAGCCTGGGTGACAGAGTGAGACTCTATCTCAAAAAAATAAAAAATAAAATAAAATAAACACAGATGGGAAAATGTCCCCAGCCCCCAAAATACCACAATGAATCCGAAAGCCAAACGATCTGGGAAAGAAACATTTCTACATGTACGCCACAGAGAATGCTAATATCTTCCGTTTACAAAGGGCTTTATAAATCAGTATTAAAAACCGGAAAGGACATGAACAACTCACAAAAGAAAAAGGCAAATGGCTACTAAATACATGGAAAAAATGCGGAGCCTCAGCAGTGAATGAAAACGTGCAGGGTAACAAGCGTCAGAGCTCGGCCCATGAGGGCACACCAGGGTGGCTGGTTCACATCCACAGTTGATGGAGGAAGGAACGGGCGTGAGCCCATGGCCGTAAAATCAGTGCAACTCGGCCCGGCGCGGTGGCTCATGCCTGTAATCCCAGCACTTTGAGAAGCCAAGGAGGGAGGATTTCTTGAGTTCAGGAGTTCAAGACCAGCCTGGGCAAGATGGTGAAACCCTATCTCTACAAGAAATACAAAAATTAGCCAGGAGTAGTGGTACATGCTTATAGCCTCAGCTACTCAGGAGGCTGGGGTAGGAGGGTTGCTTGAGCCCAGAAGGCTGCAGTGACCTGAGATTGCACCACTGCACTCCAGCCTGGGCGACAGTCGCCATGCTGACCGTTATGGGGTCAACTGCATCCCCCCAAAATTCAGAGGTTAAAGTCCTAGCCCCCAGGGCCTCAGAATGTGTCTGTATCTGAGGAGAGGGTCTTTAAAAAGGTAATTGATTTTAAATGAGGTCCCTGGGATGGGCCCTAATCCAATAGGACTGGTGTGTTATAAGAGGAGCAGATGAGGACACAGACACACACAGAAGGATGACCACGTGAGGATGCAGGGAGAAGGCGGTGTCTGCAAGCCGAGGAGAGAGACCTTGGGAGGAACCAGCCCTGACACCTTGATCTCCGGCTCCAGCCTCGAGGACTGTGGGACAATCAGTGTCTGTTGTCCAAGCCGCCTGGTCCTGGGTGCTTTGTCTTGGCAGCCATAGCAGATGAATGCACTGGCGTTTGGTGAAAAACTGGCAGGCTTTGAGGGAGTGAGTCAAGTGCATGGGAAGGGAAGGCCCTCTGGGCCAAGTCCAGGGTGGTGGCCTGAGGCAAGCGTGTGCCCACCACACAGCACCGTGAGGAGAAGCCGGCCAGCTGGAGCAGTGCACGGCACGTGAGTGAGTGGGAGATGAGGTCAGAGAGATGGGGGGCACCTTGGCTTTGACCCTGAGTGAGAAGGGCTCACGGAAGAGTTGCAAGCAGATGGGGGATGGACTCTGCCTTATGTTCTTAGAGGGTCCCTCGGAGCCTGTGTTTACCTCATAAGGGGCCAAGGGTAAAAGTCAAAGGCCACAGAGAACTCATCAATATGAATATACATGTTATACCAACAAATTAAATTATTTAGTTGAACAAATTAGATCATTTAACTGGATAAATTAGGTAAGTTAGTTGAAATGGACAAATTCCTAGAAAAACACAATCTACCAAAATGGACTTAAGAAGAAACAGAAACACTGAATAAACAAGATTAAAGGAATAATTTAAAAATTTCCTGAAGGAACAAACTCTGGACCAGATAGCTTCACTGGTGAATTCTACCAAACACCTAAGGAAGAATTAATACCAATCCTTCACAAACTCTTCCAGGAAATCAAAGAGGAGGGGACATGTCCTAATTCATTCCATGGGGGCAGAACCATCCTGACACCCAAATCAGACAACGACATCACAAGAAAAGAGTTATAGGCCGGGTGCGGCGGCTTACGCCTGTAATCCCAGCACTTCAGGAGGCCGAGGCAGGCAGATCACTTGAGGTCCGGAGTTCGAGACCAGCCTGGCCAACAGGGTGAAACCCCATCTCTACTAAAAATACAAAAATTAGCCGGACGTGGTAGCGCATGCCTGTAATCCCAGCTACTAGGGAGGCTGAGGCAGGAGAACTGCTTGAACCCAGGGGGCGGAGGTTGCAGTGAGCTGAGATCACGCCACTGCCCTCCAACCCTCCAGCCTGGGCAAAGAGTGAGACTGTCTCAAAAAAAAAAAAAAAAAAAAAAAAAGGCAGCTATGCAGCTATAGATCAATATCCTTTCTGAATATACACACAAAAATCCTTCTACAAAATATTAGCAAACTGAATACAGTGACACAGAAAAGGATTATATATCATGACCAATTTCTGGAGCCTATCCCAGGAGTGCAAGGCTGGTTTAAATTCAAAAATCAGTTAATGAAATACACCGTATCAATAGGATAAAAAACAAAGCCACACGATCATCTTAACTGATGCAGTAAACACATTTGACAACATCCAACATGCTTTCATAATTAAAAAAAAATCAACAAAGTAGGAATAGAAGTGAATATCTCCCACCTGATAAAGAGCAATTTTTTTGTTTGTTTTTTGGTTTTTGATTTTTTTCCTGAGACGGAGTCTTACTCTGTCGCCCAGGCTGGAGTGCAGTGGCACGATCCCAGCTCACTGCAACCTCTGCCCTCCGAGTTCAAGTGATTCTCCTGCCTCAGCCTCCCGAGTAGCTGGGATTACAGCACGTGCCACTGCGCCTGGCTAATTTTTTGTATTTTTAGTAGAGATGGGGTTTCATCATCTCGGCCAGGCTGGTCTTGAACTCCTGACCTTGTGATCCACCCACCTCAACCTCCCAAAGTGCTGAGATTATAGGCGTGAGCCACCACGCCCAGCTGATAAACAGCATTTTTTTTTTAAAAGCCACAGCTAACATCATTCTTTTTTTTGTTTTTTTGAGATGGAGTCTCACTCTGCCGCTCAGGCTGGAGTGCAGTGGTGCAATCTCGGCTCACTGCAAGCTCCACCTCCTAGGTTCACGCCATTCTCCTGCCTCAGCCTCCTGAGTAGCTGGGACTACAGGCGCCCGCCACCACGCCTGGCTAATTTTTTTGTATTTTTAGTAGAGACGGGGTTTCACCATGTTAGCCAGGATGATCTCGAACTCCTGACCTCGTGATCTGTCTGCCTCGGCCTCCCAAAGTGCTGGGATTACAGGTGTGAGCCACCGCGCCCGGCCAGCTAACATTATTCTTAATGATGAAGGACTGCTGCTTCTCCCCTAAGATCAGGAAAAGACCAGGATGTTTGCTTTCACCACTTCTATTTGACATTGTACTGGAGATTCTAGACAGGGTAATCAGTCAAGGAAAAGAAACGAAACACATCCAGATTGGAAAGGAAGAAGTAAAACTATCTCTATTTGTAGGTGACATAAACTGGTATATAGAAAATCCTAATGAATCCACTGAAAAGCCATTAGAACAAGTTCTAACAAACAAGTTCAGCAACATTGCAGGGTGCAGATCAATATGCAAAAATCAATTCTATTTCTGTGTGCTAGCCATGAACAATCTGAAAAGGAAATTAAGAAAACAATTCCGGCTGGGCATGGTGGCTCACGCCAGTAATCCTAGCACTTTGGGAGGCTGAGGCGGGTAGATCACGAGGTCAGGAGATGGAGACCATCCTGGCTAACACGGTGAAACCCCGTCTCTACTTAAAATACAAAAAATTAGCCGGGCGTGGTGGTGGGCACCTGTAGTCCCAGCTACTCGGGAGGCTGAGGCAGGAGAATGGCGTGAACCTGGGAGGCAGAGCTTGCCGTGAGCCGAGATCGTACCACTGCACTCCAGCCTGGGCGACAGAGCGTTACTCCATCTCAAAAGAAAAAAAAAGAAAAGAAAAGAAAACAATTCCATTTAAAATAGCATCAAAAGGAATAAAATACTTAAAAATAAGTTTAATAAAAAATGTGCAAAGCTTGTTCTCTAAAAACCACAAAACACTATTGAAAGAAATTAAAGAAGACCTAAATAAATGGTAAGATATCCCATGTTCATGGATTAGAATTCTTACCATTGTTAAGATGACAATACTCCCCAAATTAATCTACACCTTCAATGCGATTGCTGTTAAAATCTCAGCTGCCTTTTTTACAGAAATTGACAAGCTGAGTCTAAAATTCATATGGGCTGGGCATGGTCTACAGTTACATGGATAAGTAAGGCATGGTCTACAGTGTCCGTGTGACGGAACATTATTCAGCCACAGAAGGAAGGAAATGCCGACACATTCCGCAACATGGATGGGCCTCAGAGACGCTGTGCCTAGGGAAAGAAGCCAGACACAAAAGGCTACATATTGTGTGATCCTGTCCGTGTAAAATGTCCAGAACAGGCAAATCCACTGAGTGAGGAGATAGATCTGTGGTTGCCTGCAATCGCAGGGGCAGGGAGTGGGGAGTGTGTTTAATGGATGTGGGGTTTCTGGGGGGATGATGAAAATGTTCCAAAATTGATTGCAGTGATGGCTGCGTGGTTCTTTGAATACACTAAAAAATACAAATCACTGAATTGAGCCATTTAAATTGGTGAATGGTCTGGGCGCGGTGGCTCATGCCTGTAATCCCAGCACTTTGGGAGGCTGAGATGGGTGGATCACCTGAGATCAGGCGTTCAAGACCAGCCTGGCCAACATTGCAACACGCTGTCTCTACTAAAAAGGCAAAAATTAGCGCACGCCTGCAATCCCAGCTACTCGGGAGGCTGAGGCAGGATAGTCGCATGAACCCAGGAGGCAGAGGTTGCAGTGAGCCCAGATCGCACCACTGCACTCCAGCCTGGGTGACAGAGGGAGACTCCGTCTCAAAAAAAAAAAAAAAAAAAAAAAAAAAAAAGAAAGATGTACATCTGTCGTTGCCTGAAATTGCAGGGGCAGGGAGTGGGGAGTGTGTTTAATGGATGTGGGTTTTTGGGGGGGATAATGAACATGTTACAAAATTGATTGTGGTGATGGCTGCACAGTTCTGTAAATACACTAAAAAATACACATCACTGAATTGTGCAGTGTGAATTGGTGAATTGTATGATACGTGAATTATATTTTAATAAAGCCGTTAAACATTTTTAACGGAAAGGAGGATGTTACAAACATCACATTTAGCAGAAGACAGCTGGCAGACACAGAGCTAGAGGTGAACTAGTGGTTTGCTCTAGGTGGTGGGACCAGAGGTGATTTTTATTGTCTTTTCATTTGGCTACATTTTTCAAAATTTCTTCAATACCCATACATGTATTTGTCAATTTAGAGCCACATAGCATCACTTTCTCAACTGTCTTTTCAGACACATTGGTCCCACCCTCCTGTCTAAATCTTGGCTATCAGCTCATCCTGCTGCCTCTCCCTCCCCATTCCTGGCTTCTCTCAACAGGAAGAGGAGCAGGGGCCTCTGCGTCAAAGGCCGGCTTTGGGTAAGTCAGGTCACCACTCTGACCCTCAGAATCCTCTTCCCCACTGCGGGAGCTGTACCTTGCTTCCATGACACTCTGTCCCCTGCTTTCCTCCCGCTGCTCTGCTCCTTCTCTCCCGGGGCCTTCCCTTACTGCACCATCCCTCCGTGTCGCCCTCCCCACCCTCTGGCCTGTCTTCTCACTCTGCAAGCCCTCCTTGGGTGTCTGGCTCCTGGGTGGGCAACGCTTACCTCTGTGTGCTGGTGACCTGCAGAGCTTCCAGGACAATGTGTGCAGTGTGGAGCTGACCCCCCTGCCACCCCCAGCAAGGGCCACCTGGGCACTGCCCTTCCCAGGCTTCCCTCCTTGTCCCTCAGTGGGGGCCATCGTGGGGGTCTGAGCACACATGCTCGGCAGATGCTGGATCTGTGCTGGGCTTCTGAGCATCAGAGGCCTCAGTGTGCCCCTCCAGGCTTCCTGGTCACCTCCATTGGGTGCAGCAGGAAGCCCCCGGGCTGGGGCAGGGACAGGAGCTCAGATGGAGACAGGAGGTTCAACAGCTAATGTCCCCACTGTGACAGGCTCTGCTTTCCACCAGTGTGGCTGGGAGCACCTGGTGGTGGGGACACCCAGAGGGGCCTGGGTGGGAGACCCCCGCACCTGCTCCCACCTGCACACTGACCTCCCGCCTGTCTCTATGGGGGACTCTGGCCACCTATGTACAACAGAGGGGGAATTAGACTGTGGCCACCCTCTCCAGAACTGCACCCCGTTCCTTTCTGCAGCAGGACGGGCTGGCCAAGAGCAACCGATTGTCGAGATAAGAGGCCGATAGCTGTCGGGCACGGAGCTGGTGGGCGCCAGGCTGGCGGGGCGTGGGGCAAGCCTCCGGGAAGCGACTGATGAGAGAGCAGCGGGAGGACCAGAGGTGATGACGAAGGCAGGGCGGGAGTGGGACGGGGGCCGCACAACAGAGACCCTAACCTGAGCCCGCTGACCCAGCCGTCTGACCCCTGTCCAGGGACAGGTGGGTGCGGGGTGTGAGCAGAGAGGACGGAGGCAGGTGTGGCTGTGGGCAGGGTGGCTTCTCTAAGGTCCC
The DNA here is from genome assembly GCF_000001405.40 of Homo sapiens. Lineage (NCBI taxonomy): Eukaryota > Metazoa > Chordata > Mammalia > Primates > Hominidae > Homo > Homo sapiens. The sequence goes on from NW_025791792.1 coordinate 117,057, forward strand.
CCGTGGTAGTGGGGGATCTTTTTGTAGGACGGAGTCATGGGCAGCCTGGGCCAGCCAGGGAGGCCCTGCCAGTGGGGAAGGAGGTGGCTGCTCCTACGGCTGGGCCAGAGGTGTCCCTGATGTCCGTGGATGGTCCTGGCAACCAAGAAAGCGGCTGCTCTTCCTCCTCCACACAGCCACCTTGGTGAGGGAGACGGGGCGGGTCAGGGACGGGGCGGGCGCAGGAAGCCCAGCTCTCAGGCGGTGAAGGGGGCGGGTCCAGGAGGGGGTGTGAGGCTGGCTGGGAGGCCCCGGGAATGCGCGCGACGGCAGGCCGTCTGCCCACCCGTGCCACCTGCCCTCCCCCCACGGGCCCTCGGCCCAGCTCCTGGTGGCCGTGAGCTTGTCCCGCAGCTCGGAGATGCTGCTTAGCGGGGCGCCTCGTCATTGGTCGTGCGCCTGCTCAGTCTGGGGCAGGGGCTGGGACAGCGTCTTTAATCCCCGGTGCCGGTGCGGGGATCAGGGCAACGTGGAGTGAGACAGCGAAGGGATGGCGCCGTGAGCCCTCAGCGCGGGGAGACACACGCCGGGCCGGGGCGCCAGGAGCGGGGGTGGCGGGGAGGGGAGGGAGGGAAGGCTGGTGACGTCAGTGGTTCCAGTTCCGCAGCAGCGGAGGCCGCGGCCGGGGACGTGAGACACCAGCTGACGCCCGGAGCCTCACAACCTCTGCACACACATTCTCCTGAGGGCCGGTGCCTGGAAACAAAGGCCACCCCCGCCGGCCGGAAACTTCTAGGCTGGCAATGGAGATGGGACATCTGGTGACCCCCTCTGTATCCTCCTCTCCCTTGGGGTCCTCCAGGAAGGGCTGCGTGATCAATGACCCACTTTTTTGTTTTGTTTTTGAGATGGCCTCTTGTTCTGTCTCCCAGGCTGGGGTGCAGTGGTGTGACCTAGGTTCACTGCAACCTCCACCTCCCGGGTTCAAGCGATTCTCCTGCCCCAGCCTCCCTCGTAGCTGGGACTGCAGGTGCGTGCCACCGCGCCCGGCTAATTTTTTTTTTTTTTTTTGAGACGGGGCCTCCCTCTGTCGCCCAGGCTGGAGTGCAGTGGCGCTATCTCAGCTCACTGTAAACTCCACCTCCTGGGTTCATGCCATTCTCCTCCCGAGTAGCTGGGACTACAGGTGCCCTCCACCACGCCTGGCTAATTTTTTTTTTTTTTTTTGTATTTTGTTTTTTTAGTAGAGACGGGGTTTCACCGTGTTAGCCAGGTGAAACCCGGCCAGGTCTTGATCTCCTGACCTCGTGATTCGCCCACCTCAGCCTCCCAAAGTGCTGGGATTACAGGCATGAGCCGCCGTGCCAGGCCAATTTTTGTATTTTTAATAAAGTCGGGGTTTCACCATGTTGGCCAGGCTGGTCTTGAACTCCTGACCTCAGGTGATCTGCCTGCCTTGGCCTCCCACAGTGCTGGGATTACAGGCATGAGCCACTGCCCCCAGCCTCAATGACCCACTTGTCCACTGGCCTGCACTTACATCCTCAGGCAGCTGGAGCCGCCTCCTGCAGGAAGCCCTCCCCCTGCCACCCACCCACCCACCCACCCAAAGGCGGGGCTTCCCCTTGGGTTGCCATGGACCTTGTGGCCGGCAGGGCACCCGGTGCACCCAGGTGTGTCTCCCCGCGTGGCCCACAGGCTCTTCTGGGTGGAGCTCAGAAGAGCCTCTGCGCAGCTTTACTGAAGTAAGATTGTACGTATATGATTCGATGAGTTTAGCAAACAAGCCAGCCGTCAGGATGTGCAAGAATTCCTATCGCCCTGGACCCACAGCCACCCCTCTGCCTTCTGTAGCTACAGTTTTGCCTTTTCCATAATATCATAGAAATAGAATCATACAGCACATGGCTTTCTGAGGCCAGATTCTTTCACTTGGCCTAATGTGTTTGAGATTTGCCCACATCTCAGCCACGCTTCCTGGCCCGCTGTGGTCACGGCTGAGTCGCGTTCCCCGTGTGGGTGCACCACAGCCTGTCTGTCCAGTCATCACCCAAGGACAACGGGGTTCTTTCCACTTCTTGGCTGTTACTAATAAAGTGGCTATGAACATTTGCATGCAAGTTGTGTGTGGCCGTAAGTTTTCTTTTTCTTGGGAAAATAGCTGTAAGAGGGATTGTTGGATCGTATGGTAACGGTGTGTCTAATTTTATAAGAAACTGACAGACTGGTTCCCAAAGCATCATTTTGCACTCCCATCTGCAACGTCTGAGAGTTCGAGGTGCTTTGTGTCGTCTAAATTTCCGTCATCATTTTTTTGAGGCAGGGTCTCACTCTGTTGCCCAGGCTGGAGCGTAGTGGCTCTATGGTGGCTCACTGAAGCCTCCATCTCTCCAGTTCAAGCAATTCTCCCACCTCAGCCTCCCAGGGAGCTGGGACTACAAGTGTGGAGTCCTGGTGTGTAGCCATGCCTGGCTATTTTATTTTTATTTTTCATAGAGATAATGTGTTAGGCTGTTCTTGTGTTGCTATAAATACCTGAGACTGGTAGTTTATTTTAAAAAGAGGTTTAATTGGCTTATGGTTCTGCAGGCTGTAAAGGAAGCATGGCATCCGGAAGCTTCCAATAACGGTGGAAGGCAAAGGGGGAGCAGGGGTCTCACACGGCAGAAGTGGGAGCAAGAGAGAGTGGGAGGGGAGGCTCCCACTTAACCAGATCTCACGAATACTCACCATTGCAAGGACAGCACCAAGCCCCGAGGAATCCACCCCATGACCAAAACATCTCCCAGCAGGCCCCATCTCCAACACTGAAGATTCCATTTCAACATATGTCTGGGCGGGGACAAATACCCAAACTATATCAGATGGAGTCTTGCTATGCTGCCCAGGCTGGTCTCAAATTCCTGGGCTCAAGCTATCCTCCCACCTTGGCCTTCCAAAGTGCTGGCAGTACAAGCATGAGCCACTGCACCTGGCAGCTTGTCAATTTCTAAAAAAAAAAAAAAAAAAAAAGAGAAAATTTAAAAAATCAAATTAAAATTAAATCGATTACTTGGGCCTTGTTAAGTCTCACTTAATATACTGAGAGATGTATAATCGTTTTTTGTGTACAGATCTCATGCAAATTCTGATAAATTTACCCCTAGTATTTCGTGGTTTTTAAATTCTCTTTGTAAGTGGTACTGTTTTCATAATTTCAACTTCTAATTGATGGTTAGCACACAAATAGAATTGACCTTTTTTTGGCTTTGTACCCTGTGGCTTTGGTAAACTTACTTATTCGTTTTAGTACCAGTTTGTAGCTTAGAATTTTCTGCAGACAATAATGTTATCTTCTTGTTTTACTTTCTGACATGGAGTTTTGCTCTTGTTGCCCAGGCTGGAGTGCAATGGCATGATCTCGGCTCACTGCAAACTCTGCCTCGTGGGTTCAAGCGATTCTCCTGCCTGAGCCTCCTGAGTAGCTGGGATTACAGGTGCCCATCACCAAACCCAGCTAATTTTTGTATTTTTAGTAGAGACAGGGTTTCACCAGGTTGGCCAGGCTGGTCTCGAACTCCTGACCTCAGGTGATCTGCCCGCCTCAGCCTCCCAAAGTGCTGGGATTACAGACGTGAGCCACCGTGCCCGGCCATTAATGTTATCTTCTAATAAAGATCACCTAAAATTTCCTTTTTGGCTGGGCACGGTGGCTCACGCCTGTAATCCCAGCACTTTGGGAGGCCGAGGCGGGTGGATCATGAGGTCAGGAGATCGAGACCATCCTGGCTAACACGGTGAAACCCCGCCTCTACTAAAAATAAAAAAAAATTAGCCGGGCGTGGTGGCGGGCACCTGTAGTCCCAGCTACTTGGGAGGCTGAGGCAGGAGAATGACGTGAACCCGGGAGGCGGAGCTTGCAGTCAGCCGAGATCGGGCCATTGCACTCCAGCCTGGGCGACAGAGCAAGACTCCATCTCAAAAAAAAAAAAAAAATAATAATAATAATAAAAAATTTCCTTTTCAACTGGTACAAATTTTGTCTTCCTTGCCTCATTACTTCGGCATGTACTCTGGCACGACACTGAAATAAATGATGATGATGGACAACCTTGCCCCATCCCTGACCCAAGGAAAAGCTTTCAGTTTCTCACCACTAAGCCTGACATTAGCTGTGGGTTTTTGTAGTTTCCCTTTGTTGGGTTGGGAGTGCAGGAGCAGAATAGATTCGAATCTTCTCCTCCTGGTTTACTGAGAGCCTTTGTCGTGAATGAGTGCTGAATTTTGTTGAATGCTTTCCTTGCATCTGTGGAAATGACCGTGTGGTTTTTCTGTGTTGGTCTGCTAATAGTGAATGACAATTGATTTTGAAATGTTAAACTAACTTTGCATTCCCGGGTACGCTCCACAAGGTCATATGTGTTCTCTTTATATATTGCTGGAATTGATTTGATGTTTTGTTAAGGGATTTTTGTGTCTAGGCTCCTGAGTGGACTTTAATTTTCTTGTCATGTCCTTGCATGGTTTTGGCACCAGGGTGATGACAGTTTCACAGAGGAGCTGGGACATGGCCCGTCTTCCTCTGTGTCCTGGAAGTGTCTGTGTAGCGGGGTGCTTTTCCTCCATTAGTGTTTGGTGGGCTCCACTGGTGAGTCTTGGCCTGGACGTCTTTGTGAGACTGGGCCCTTTCCTAACTCCGGCAACAGACCTTCGTGCTCGAGAGCCCTGGCTCCTTTGGGGCTCCTGCTCCCACCTTACACGCGACAGAGGGGGACCGAGGGCTGTGGCATCACAGTCGTGGGCATCTACTGGCTGGCCACACCCTGGTACACCCTCTCCTGGGGCACCCCAGTACCAGGCCCGCTGGAAGGAAGGGCAGTCATCCTGTTGATCCCCACAAAGATGGCAGCAGGGAGGGCGCGGCGTGCTATGGAGAAGGCGTTGAGTCTGGGGTTTTGTGCAGCACCTTCAAGAGGGGACAGCAGGGCCAAGGGAGGCTGGGAGGGCGATTTGAGGATAGGCACTCAAGAGGCTGAAGGCTGACTAGCCTCTTGCGCCCGGAGGACAGGCAGGGAGCCAGAAGAGAGGCCCCAGACTGAGCCCCAGAGGCCACCAATGGCATAGGCTGCTCAGACACAGACAGGGAAGAAAAGGCCTCAGGGCTGCAGTGAGGGTTGGGAGAGGGATGCAGGCTGGCAAGGAGGTGGGAAGGAAGAAAGCAAGAATTTTGGCCACTGGAGTAGCCGGATGCAAACGGTCAATAGGGCAAAATGCTGCTGAGGATGTCACAAAGGTGCGTCTGACTCTGCTGCAGCCTGGGAGGCCAGGTGACCATGGCAGCAGAGAGAGGGCATCTCAGGTCAAGTGCCCCTGCCCTCTGGCTGTGGCCTGACGCCCTCTCCTGGTCTCCTGCACACCCTCGGCCTCTGTTGGCACCTGGACCAGACCACTCCCAGTCAGCCTCCAGCCAGACCTCACTGCTTGACAGTTTCTCCAGCTGGAGGTCCCAGTCTACATTCAGCTAAAAATGTCTGCTGTCCCCACTCACAGCAGCAGCAGCGGGGGAAAGGGGAGTGCCCTCTGCCTCTGTCCCATGCTCTCAGCCCCCCTCCCCTGCCCCCACTGGTGGGGCCCTGATTGCTCATGCTCAGAGGCCCCAGAATTGGGTAGGGAGGACCCTTAGTCCACAGCATTTGAAGGGAAGCAGGGCGGGCGGGTGCAGGCCGAGAGTGGACAGGTGCTTTGGGGCCCACTCCCCTCCCCAGCTGGAAATACAGACAGCCCAAAGAGCAGGAGGGCGCACTGGGAAGACCCCGCAGTTTCCTGAGCTCATACGGGCTTACCAGCGTGGGGAGCGGACCACGGTCAGCAGCAGTGTGTGGCAGAGCCCGCAGGGGAAACGTTGCCCGCAGACCATACACGGGCAAGATCTGGGACCCCCACTTCTGCAGCGTTCCGGGTCTCCCTCACCTCTCCCCTCCCACCACCTTCTGCAGCACGGGCTTAAGGAAATACCAGTGTTTTTCTGCAAAGAAACAGAGGGTCCGTCCAGGTCTGGCTGCCTCTTCGGCTGCCTGTGTTTAGACCTCCAAAGGCTGCTCCCGGCAACCCCTGCCCAGCTGCTCAACCTGAAAGAGGGGTCGGTAGCAAGGGCCGGGAGGCGCCAGGGCGCTGCGGCCGGATCCCAGGTGAGTTCCTTGACTCCGCGCCGCGCAGGTCACTGTGGCATAACTGGGAAAACCGCCGCTTCTCCCTCGGGAGCGGAGGCGGAGGGCCACGTCCTCCCTGGGGGTGCACAATCTCTGCTTGGACAACGCCCGCGTGCAGTAGCCCCACAGACTCCCATGCAGCCCCCCCGCCACGTGTGCCGCATCCGCGCCCTGCATGCAACACCCGCCCCCTCCAGCGCAGCATGCCCCTCGCTGGCGTGCAGCACCCCCCATGTGTGCAGCACCCCTGCCCCGAATACAGCACCTCTCCCCAGTACAGCACTCCCGCCCCGCATGCAACACTCGCCCCCCTCCAGGGCAGCATCCCCATCCCCCGCGCGTGCAGCACCCCCTCGAGGGGCGGGAAACTCTTTGGGACACCCGGGGTCACGCCCTGCAGGGTAAAACCCCCGTCCAGGGCAGCCATCTGCACCCCCTCGCCATGGGCCCACTGCCTGCTCCGTCCCGGGATGCGCCTTAATGGCGGGTCGGGCGGCAGCGGGAGCTCTGCTGCCTGGTGGGACCGGACGTGGCAGCCGGCGGGCTGGAGGCTCCCAGGTCCCGGCCTCGCCCTGGCCTCGCCTCGCCCCCTAGAGTCTCCCCGAGCGCTCGTAGCGGCGGGGCGGGGTGGGGAGGCGCTGATTGGCCGGCGCGGGCACCGCTTGCCGCCGCCACGGCATCCCGCTGCGTTCGTACAGGCTCGTGTCGACTCGGCTCCGTTGCGCGGCCCGGCTCGGCTCCCCTCAGCTGCGCTCGACTCCGCTGTTCGGCTCGGCTGTTCGGCTTGGCTACAGGGCTCGGCTGTTCGGCTTGGCTACATGGCTCGGCTGCGCGGCTCGGCTCTGTTCGGCTCGGCTCGGCTGCTGGGCTCGGCTGTTCGGCTCAGCTGCGCGGCTCGGCTCGTCTCGGCTCTGTTCGGCTCGGCTCGGCTGCTGGGCTCGGCTGTTCGGCTCAGCTGCACGGCTCGGCTCGGCTCGGCTCGGCTCGGCTGCGCGGCCGCTGACGGGCGTGCGCTGGGGGCGCGGGGCGCGGGGCGCGGGCCTCGGCGGCGGCGGCGGCGGCGGCGGCGGAAGCCAGGTGCCCCCGCCCGCCCTGTCCTCTCGACGAGGCGGAGGCGTCGCCGCGGGCCAGGCCTCGGACTGCCGCGTCGGAGTGGACGCGGGGGGCGGCGGCGCGGGCGGACGCGGGCGGCGCGAAGCAGCGGGGCCCGCGGGGGCGCCCCGGCCGGGTCGGCGCGGACGGCACTCGGCGGACGCGGGCGGACGCTGGGCGGCCCCTCCCTGCCCGCGCGCCCGGGCGCCCCTGGCCGGCGCCGGGCCCCAGAGCGATGACATCGACGGGGAAGGACGGCGGCGCGCAGCACGCGCAGTATGTTGGGCCCTACCGGCTGGAGAAGACGCTGGGCAAGGGGCAGACAGGTGCGTGCGGCCGGGGCGGGGACCGGGGCCGGGGAGGCCGCGCTGGCAGCGCGCTGGGTGGGGGGCGCCCGAGGGAGGCCCCGGCCGCGAAGCCGCAGGCCCGGCCCGGGCCCCGGCCGCGAACAATGGGCGGCCCGTGCGCCCCCGTCCGCTCGTGCGCCCCGGTTCCGCCGCGGATCCCGCAGGCCGCTTGGCTGCGGTCGGCCGGGCGCGGCCCAAGGACACGCGGCGCGGCGCGGGGCGCGCAGGCGGACAGGGGCGCACGGGACGGCGCCCCTCGGGCCCCGCTGCAGGTGCGCGGCCCGGGCCGCATTGTGCGCCCCAGCGACCGGGCCCATTGTGCCGCGGGAGGAGGGGGCCGCGCGGGCGCCCATCTGCCGTCTGCCGCGGCCGCGCTAATAGGCGTGCTGCCCGAGCAGCTGCGCCCCCGGCGGGACTCCCACCTCCGCGCGCCGGCCACCGGGGCCTCCGGGCAGGCCCGATCTCCCTCCGCGGTGGGGGCGGGAGAGTGCGGGGACCTGCAGAGGGCTGGACAGCGCCTTGCGCTGCTCCGGCTCGGGCTCGGGCGGGCGGAGCGTCTGTGACCTGCATTCCCACGGGGCAGGGAGAGGCCATTGGTGCTGGGACCAGAAGTGCGTGGGACCTGACCCGTGGAGCAGCCCCGCGGCCTGCCGGTGGAGGGGGCTTCCCGGTGGGGCCTGGCTGTCATTCTAGGGAACAGGCCGGGTCCCTGCGGGGCCGAACCCAGGCCAGAGGCAACCCAGCTACCCTCGCATGTGGCCAACTCTCCCCGGCCCGCTGGGTTTGGCTAGCCCTTCATCTGGTCAGGCACATTCACAGAGTCGCCTTTGTGGAGGCTGGGGCTCAGCCATTTTCTTTCTTCTCTCAGGACCGGCCTGTCTCTTGGTGTCCCCGAGGTCCCACGGCACTGCCTCTCCCTTCCAATCCGAGAAGTTCCTTAGACCCGGGCGGGCAGGGGTGGAGGGAAGGAGGAGGAGAGCGCTGGTGCAGGGTGGAGGCTCAGCCCCTCACGGCTGCACAGAGGAGGAGCTGGGAGGTGGCGTTGGGGAAAGAAAGTGGGCCAGGCCCAGGCTCTTGGGGGAGGGCCGTGGCTGTGATGTAACTACGGCAGAGCTGCAGGAAGGGGTTTAGACTGAGGGGTTCAGGGGAGCTGCCTCACCTTGGGTGCACAGCCTTCCGCCACCCGCCACGGCACGGAAGGGCCCCTGGCCACAGGGCAGGACCTGGGCAGGTGGGGTGGTGCAGCCTGGGTTGGAGAAGGAGGTGGCATTCAGCCCATGTCACCTGAGTTCAAAATTCTCGTCTTTCCCGGAAAGAAAAACTAGTGTGTGAAATCCGTGGTGAAGGAGGGGCCCAGGGCAGCAGGATGCAGGAGTCAGTGAGATAATCCAATTACGGTCCCAATAAAATGTTATTATAAGGAAACATCTGCGTGTAAATGAAGACACGATGAGTTATGTGCTGTGCGCGGCCTCGGTGGGTAGGGGCTGGTCTCCACTCTTCATGGCATTCTGCTGGCGGCAGTTAATTACGGGAGGTTTCCACTGTAATTAACAGTAATGAATACAAAAGGATGGGCTGTGTGTGTCTACAACGTGCTGAGAGAGATATTTAGAAAACAGCTCGAGGGGGGGCACAAAGCGGCCCCTCTCTCCCGAGTTATGACGGGCAGAGCGCAAGCGTGTCACCGGGAGGGCCCTGGAGAAGGCCACCATTTCTGTGCGTCTTCTGTTGCTGCTGCTGAAGGGTCACCAGGAGTTGGGTGGACATGGGGCCTGGAGTGTGTGTGCTGGGCCACTTGGCACCAGATGCCAGGAGAGCTGCCAGGTCCCAAGCTCAAGAGGGAGATAGGCTTCCTGCCAGGAGACCTCCGTGGGAGAACGGGAGGCTGGGCTTCTGGCCGCCACCACCCGAGGACGATCTGATCCTGCCGTTGAGAACGCTTCTCCTTCCAGGGACCTGGCCACAGGGGAGCTGTGGAGGCCTTGCTTGGGGGGCCATTGGTGTGGACGCGACTCCAGCCCCTTCCCCGTGTCTGTGGCTGGCAGCTTTGTTTGGCCCTCTCTGTTCATCTCTCTCAGCCTGAGACCTTGGAAGGAGGAGCTGCTCGACTTGAGGTGGCCACTGAGAGGGAGGTGGTCAGTGGCAGTGGCAGTGAGCCTTGTGGTGCCACGAGAGCCCTTCCACCCGGCTGACCCAAGCTGGGGCCTGCTGGACGGTGGGCCAAAGATGTGGTCCGAAACCTGCCCTTGGGGAGTCTGGCCGTGTGGGGAGGGGAGACCACGCAGCACCCCCACCGGGGCCTGGAGGACGCCCTTCTAGACGCCGCAGGGTCCGGTCGGCTGTCTTCTTCTGCCTTTCAGCGTGAGCGCTGCATGGTCTCACCTGTACGGCACCTCCCTGTCTTGTTGGGTCTGTGCGTCCTGCAGGGCCAGTGTGGCTGTAGGGTCGTCCTTCTGCATGGGGCGTCCTCTGCACAGCTCCCCTCGGTGGCTGTGGGGGTTGCCTTCAGTGGTCTCACTGCCGGTGCCAGGCACCAGGTGAAGCCGTCAGAGCACTGAGCATCTGTGGAAGCCTCCTCGCCGGCTGCTTGGTGGTTTCTGGCCAAGACTTAGGGGGATGTAGGCTGGGGTTGGGGTGGGAACCCACCTGCAAAGGTGCTGCCTTAGCTTTTCTTGGGGCTGAGAAAGGCTTGTGTAGCCTCATCTGAGCTTGACCCCTGCAGAGATGCCGAGACACAGTCCCTGCCAGCAAGGGCAACCATGGAGGTTGGAGGGCGCAGACACTCCGAGTTGGAGCATGCAGGTCCAGGAGGGTGTGTGGCACGGGCTGGGTGGCTTTTGTCCCTGCGCGCCTTTGTCCCTGTGCCCCATCAGTACGTGGAGCAGGGCACCTTCTTGCCCAAACCTCGGCTTAGCTCCTGAAATCTGGGAGGCCTGGGAGGGCCCTGTGGGAGGAGCTGGAGAACCTCGGGCCCTTGGAGCTGTTCTTGGGGGCAGGCGGGTGGGCTGCATGGGACGATGAGGGGCCTGCCTTCGGGAATCCTCTGTCTGGGGGGCGGGAGAAAGGAATAATGGCCGCGATAGGGCTCCCTGCGAGGGAACGAAGGAGCTAGGATGAGGGGCTGCCCTGCAGCTCACCTGGCAGTGTTCACCTGCTGTGGCGTGGGGGAGGGACCTAGGCTGCCAGGGACCTGGGGCCGCCCCTCCATGTTCTCAATGGCCTTTAGGAAGGTTGAGCCCTGGTGGCTGCCAGGGTGGAGAGGGGTCCTGGGATGGGAGGAGTCATTGAAGATGGAACAGGTGAGGGGAGGGAGAGCCTGTGCCTGGGAGACCCTGGGGGTGACCCCAGGCCCAGAAGCTGGAGGCAGATGTGGAGGGGAAGGAAGCTGGTCTGAGATGGGGTCTGTTTAGAAAGTTGAGCAGGACGGGCAGCGATGGGCTGTGGTGTGCAGGTCCCTGGAGATGGGCCATGGAGATGGGTCCTGGAGATGGGTCCTGGAGATGGGCCCCTGGAGATGGGCCATGGAGATGGGTCCTGGAGATGGGTCCTGGAGATGGGTCCTGGAGATGGGTCCTGGAGATGGGCCATGGAGATGGGTCCCTGGAGATGGGCCCCTGGAGATGGGCCATGGAGATGGGTCCTGGAGATGGGTCCTGGAGATGGGTCCTGGAGATGGGCCATGGAGATGGGTCCCTGGAGATGGGCCATGGAGATGGGTCCTGGAGATGGGTCCTGGAGATGGGCCATGGAGATGGGCCATGGAGATGGGTCCTGGAGATGGGCCCCTGGAGATGGGCCATGGAGATGGGTCCTGGAGATGGGCCCCTGGAGATGGGCCATGGAGATGGGTCCTGGAGATGGGTCCTGGAGATGGGTCCTGGAGATGGGCCATGGAGATGGGCCCCTGGAGATGGGCCCCTGGAGATGGGCCATGGAGATGGGTCCTGGAGATGGGTCCTGGAGATGGGCCATGGAGATGGGCCATGGAGATGGGTCCTGGAGATGGGCCCCTGGAGATGGGCCATGGAGATGGGTCCTGGAGATGGGTCCTGGAGATGGGCCATGGAGATGGGTCCTGGAGATGGGCCATGGAGATGGGTCCTGGAGATGGGTCCTGGAGATGGGCCCCTGGAGATGGGCCATGGAGATGGGTCCTGGAGATGGGTCCTGGAGATGGGCCATGGAGATGGGTCCTGGAGATGGGCCATGGAGATGGGTCCTGGAGATGGGTCCTGGAGATGGGCCATGGAGATGGGTCCTGGAGATGGGCCCCTGGAGATGGGTCCTGGAGATGGGTCCTGGAGATGGGTCCCTGGAGATGGGCCATGGAGATGGGTCCTGGAGATGGGTCCTGGAGATGGGCCCCTGGAGATGGGCCATGGAGATGGGTCCTGGAGATGGGTCCTGGAGATGGGCCATGGAGATGGGTCCTGGAGATGGGTCCTGGAGATGGGCCCCTGGAGATGGGCCATGGAGATGGGTCCTGGAGATGGGTCCTGGAGATGGGCCATGGAGATGGGTCCTGGAGATGGGTCCTGGAGATGGGTCCTGGAGATGGGCCCCTGGAGATGGGCCATGGAGATGGGTCCTGGAGATGGGCCCCTGGAGATGGGCTGTGCAGGGCTGAGCCCGGAGAGCGCATGGGTAGACAGGACCCGGCAGCCTCCCCAGCCATGAAGGTGAAGGTGGACTCAGCGTGGGGTGTCTGCTGCGAGACCCCAGGAATTCTGTGGCCTTCCCCACATCAGGCCCTGGCCATCTGACCCCAGCTGTTTTGTCAGGGCAGCAGCAGCCTGGGGCTGGACTGAACCCCTCATCTGCCCTGCACGGGGTTTCTACAAGCTGAGGTCTCAGGACGCTGTTCTCAGGGGCGCCGTGCACAGAGCCCGGGGAGCCAGCATGGTGGGTAGCCCTCCCATCTGAAGTCTCCCTGGCCCCCTGAAGTCCCTGGAAAGGCCCATTTGGTGTCGCTGGGCGCCATGTCAGTGACTGCGCCAGGGTGGAGGCCTCAAGATGCTGCCCCTGGCGTCTTCCTGCCCTGCATGCCCTCCACAGGGAGCCCCCTTTCCAGCTGAGAGCTGGCCTTGAGTGTCCCTGTCAGGGCCCTTGGCACAGAGGTTCCGGGTGGTGAGGACGGCAGTTCCCCTAGGCGGGGGCGGGAGGGTCGTTGGAGGCGGGAGCCCTAGGCCCTTGTCCTGTCCCCACCCACTGTGGCCCTGGGCACCTCAGGTGTGTGTGTCCCTGTTGACGTGGGTCTCCCTGCCTTGTCACTGGCAATGGCTGGAAAAGACACGCTGGGCAGAGGGCACCGCCCGGCCCTGATCGTGCTGGCCGTGCTGGCCCTGCTCTGCTGAGGTGCGTGCACGCCGTGGATTTCCTGGATGTGGAAGCCTCAAGGCCAGGCTGTGCCCCCTCCCCCAGCTGTGCCAGGGAGGGCTTTCCAGAGTCACCGTGGCTGGCTGCTGCCCCGCCTGCTCCACCATCTGCCCGAGCAGGGAGTTGTGTCCAGAACCACTGGGGAATGCAGGGCCTGGGCTGTGATGTGAGGTTGGCCTCTAGGCTTCAAGGGGATCTGTTTCTGGCAAATCTCACGCAGGCCCAGCTGGAGCTACTATCAAGGGCCGTGGCTCCTGCCCACGACCCAAGCTCCAGGGCCTCTGGGTCCCCACCATCGTTGGCTGCCGAGGTGGCCAGGTCCCTTCCTTGCTCTGAGGGTGGCTGGGAGTGTCTTAAGGTTGTCGCTGTGCCAGGTGTGTGTGGACCCCTGCGTCCCCCGCTCCTCGTCTCTCTTCCCTTCCACCCACGTCCCCCACTCCTGGTCCCTCTTCCCTTCCACCCACGTCCCCCACTCCTGGTCCCTCTTCCCTTCCACCCACGTCCCCCACTCCTGGTCCCTCTTCCCTTACAGCCGCCTCGAGGACTGCATGGGGCCAGCAAGGCCTGTACCCCAGGACACCAGAGTTGCTCGGACCGGCTCCCGGACCTGGGCCTAAGCGAGCTCTCCTGGTTCTCACTCCCGAGTCTGCGGAGTGACCCCGGGCCCTCTCATCATGGCCTCACCCTGCTCCGGCGCTCTGGGTGCTTTGAAGCAGACAGGAGACCCCCTCCAGGCTGGCCCGAGGGCAGGTCAGACCCCAGTCCCTGGGAACAGCCTGAGTGGGCTGTGCCTCCCCGTCGGCCACTGGCGCTCAGGAGGAGCCGTCGGGAAGGCCCCTTTGCCATCACCTGGTGGCGCTTGCTTGAGGGCTTCTGTGCCTTCCAGTCCTCACTGGGCACAGACTAGCTTCTTTGGGCACCTGGGGAGGGTCAGGCTGTCTCTGAAGTCAGCAGCCCTGCTGGGCAGCCGGCACCAGGAGAGGAGGCGGGCTGGTCCCCGTGACTGCCGGCCGCCGGCATCCACCTATGTGGGGCTGTGCCTAGATGGTGGCACTGTGGGGCATCACTGTGCAGTTCTGGGCCCTGCCCTCAGCTCTGGACAGCCCACCTGGACCCTGGCCCCTCGGAAGTGGAAGGACTGGGACCTCAGGGCCCCTGAGTGTAGAATGGGGTTTCCCTGAAGCTTGTGCGAGGTTCCAATGGCTGGAAACACCGTACCGCGCAGGAGGACGGCAGACCAGCATCTGTCAGGCCCCTTGGGGCTCACATGGCTGGTCCTCTGTGCTGCCCTGTGCTCTGCAGGAAGTTAACGGCACCCTGCCACCTCCTCTGTGCAGGGCAGCCCCGCTTTCACCTGTAGGGCTGGTGCCTGTGTCAGGCCCAAGCCCCAGGTCCTAGCCTAGGCTGACCAAGCGGCCTGCAGATCTCCCTGAGGCCTCACCCCAGGGATGTCCGCCGGGCCAGGCTGCCCTGAGCCAGCTGCCTGGGGCTCTGGACAAGATGGAGGCTGGGCTGGGGCAGAGGCTGCAGGGACAAAGCACGGATTGTGCCAAGCCGGCTGCCTTTCAGGGCCCGGCCTGCCAGGTCCAGGCCTTGTTCTACCGCCTCTGAGGGGCCAGTGTTCTGGGCCCAGCAGCTGGGAGCCAGGCCCCACCCACAGAGCAGTGCTCCCGAAAGTCCTGCTGTTAAAGAGAAACTCCTCGTTTTCCTGGACGCCTCCAGCTTCCCAGGCTCGTTCTGCCTTCAGTCCCGGGGCCCACGGAGGCCGTGGCTGCCCTACGCTGCTTTGCCCCAGGGGCCTGGGCTGCAGGCTGGGCCTGGCTTCCTCCCCGAACCCTGGAGAGTGACAGCACCACCCCCAGTGGATGGCAAGGTCCCATCGGTTGGCATGTGTCTCTCTGGGCACCATGCTCCTCGTTGGGTGCCACGTCCTTGGGCTGAGCTTGGGTCCTGTCTGCCCTGGGGGTACCATCCTATGAGGACAGAGCTGCCTTTCCTGGGTGGCCATGGCAGCCTCATGGCACTGGCTGAGGGGAATGGACACTTCTGGGATGGAGCTGGGCTGGGGTGGGGCTGGGTAGGGCCAGTGGGAGTTCTGGGCACCTTGGCCTGAGGGGGATGGGGGTGCCCAGGGCATTCACGCCATCACTGCCCACTTGGCTTAAGCTGGAGCCCAGGGCCCTGGAGGGCAGGCTGGCCTTCCCGGCCCCGGGCAGAGGTGGGAGGGCGCCTGGACGGCTGCCTGCATGATCCCCGTGATACAGCGGGGATGGCTGCAAGTCGGGCTGAGTCCAGCTGTGGGTGGTTTGCGGGGGCACAGGGAGCCTGCCTGGCCAGGAATGTCGCCTCTGCGGGTGTCTTGGCCTGGGAGCCCCCGGGGAACCCTTTGTATGGGAGAAGGGGTCAGGATAGGGGCTGGGGGGCAGTGCCTAGTGGCCCTCCATGCTGAGGGAAAGCCCCTCTTCACAGCTAGCATCGGGCCTCGTGTCCTCGGCACCCTGAATCAGCTGCAGGGCTAGCTGCTGCCTGAGCTGCCTGGTTGGGGCTGGCCTGGGCCCCTGATTGGCTGCTTCCCTGGGCGGGGGTGACGTTGCTGCCCTGGGTCCGAGAGTTATCTTGTGCGGACAGAGGTAATAGGTGTGGTACCCGCCCCGGGAAGGGTGGTGGCCAGGGTGGCCATGTCAGGCGCCTTGGCCCTGCCCCCTGGGGATACAGGGGGTGGAGAGGCAGCCCCAAAGCTGGGTTCTCAGAGACCTGGGGTGGCCAGATGGGGGCTCATTCAGCTGCCCCCTGTGCAGCCCCTTGGTGCCATTAACTTTCTGCAGAGCGCAGGGCAGCACAGAGGGCCAGCCAGGCCAGGGGGCCAGAGGTTCCCCTCCCACACAAGCTCCGAGGTGTCCAGACAGGAGGCGGTGGCCCCAGTCCGCATAGGCCTTTCCCCAGGGCAGCCCTTTCCCCAGGGTTAGGCTGCAGGCCCTGCCGGTGTGGCTTCAGGAGTCCTGGTCCCCGCACTCAAGCTTCCCT
This sequence comes from Homo sapiens, assembly GCF_000001405.40. Lineage (NCBI taxonomy): Eukaryota > Metazoa > Chordata > Mammalia > Primates > Hominidae > Homo > Homo sapiens. The sequence goes on from NW_025791792.1 coordinate 133,066, forward strand.
CCTGCTCATCTGTGATGGGGCCTGGGTGTACCCAGGTCCTTGGTAGGCGCCAGGAGATGTGTGGGGCCCCCTGGAGCCTGGAGCCCCCCCAGCCCCTCCGCTTATCTTTGGTGTCTGGGGCGGAGACTGGCCCTTGGCACCCGCGGCCGTCCCTGGCTTTCGTCCTGCGCCGTCCTGGGTCTTTGGGTCCCTCTGCCAGCCCCGTGGTGACTTCTTGCACACAGGGTTTGCAGGGGGGCTGCGGAATGACTCCGTCCCTTCCACAGCACACGGGCACCTCCAGCCAGGAAGGAGCTGGGCAGGCAGCCCCGCCCCAGGCCAGAGCCACAGAGCCGTTGTGACTGGGGGTCTCTGGCCAGGACGTTCCTGTGCTGTCTGTTGTGGGCAGGCCCCCCAGGGCAGGGCCACCTCCAGGGTACTTGGTTCCAGACGCTGGCTGAGTGGTCACTTGTGTCCACACCGCAGTTTCCCTATCTGTGAAGTGGCTTGGATAGGATGGTGGGGTGGTGCCAGGGGGTTGCTCTTGCTGGGACTGAGCCCAGGGCCTGGCCCTGCCACTGGGGCCAGCGTCAGCCTCAGGACAGCCGAGGAGGGGAGATGGCTTGTGGGCCAGGATGCCCGAGGGTGGGGAGAAGCAGCTCAGATGGCGTCACTGTGTTGCCTTCCCCCAGCCGATGGGATTTTTGTGGAGCTCTCTCTGCTGGGGACAATGAGAGGGGAGCCGTGAGCCGTGATAGGGATTGTGGCAAGGCCGGGCTGGTCAGCTGGGGATGCCAGGGCCGCACAGTCCCTCGGGGCTCAAACTGGCAGCTGTCCCCCCAGGGCTCTGGGCTGGTGAGGAGCTTGTCCTGCCCGTCCCTCTGCTGCCACAGTAACCCCGGACACATCCCATGTCATCTGCTGTGGCCCTGCCTTCTGCCGGGTGGACATGGGGGATTTGGGGTACAGGGAAGCAGTGAGTTCTGGGCCGACCAAATTCCCCGGTGCCGTCGGGCCCAGCCTCCTTCTTCCTTGGCACCCTGGGGTGTGTCGTGGCTGAACCCCAGCTCTGTGGTTCCCGAGGCTTTTCTGGGATGGAGGCCTCGCTCCGGGTCCTGGTGTTTTCACATAGCAGAGGAGAGTGCCCCAAGCCTGGCGAGCACCGCCTGTAGCCGCCAGCAACACCCCCCACCTCCGTTACGCAGGAATAGTCCCAGCCACCATTTATTGTAAACATTTGGTCTGCACATATAACAGAGAAACTCTTGAAAACCAAAGGGCCGTTATCACCCTGAGAAATTAGCACTGATTTCTAGAAACTGGCAGGAAGCCAGTCGGATGCTGGGATTTTAACTTTAAAAGAACATTTCCCAGGCCTGGGCCTCCGCCGCCAGCCCAGTCTCCCTGCAGGAGGGAGTGGGCAGGCGCTGGGCTCTGCGTGGGGCCGTGGACTCAGTCTCCCGCCCCCTCCATGGCTGGGAGCTGTTCCCAGGGGCCCTAAGCCTCAGCTTTCCCCGGAGGCCCGGGCATGGGGTGGGCCTGGGCTCTGCATCTCTCAGAAGTTTCCAGGTGATGCTGACGCTGGTTGGGGGACCCCACTTGGAGAGCTGGGGTGGCGGTGGCCTCCTCTTCCATAACCCCTGACCCTGGGCGGTGGCCTCCTCTTCCATAACCCCTGACCCTGGGCAGTGACCACCTCTTCCATAATCCCTGACCCTGTATAGCGGCCGTGGGTACTGTCTTCCACCCGTCCACATCCTTCCTGGGCACCGAACACTGCCAGCACCAAGCCAGGCACGGGGCCAGCAAAATGCCCTGCCCGCCTGGGGACACACATGCTGGAACGTTCACTGTGTGTCACACACGTGCAGGTGGTCTCGGGGGGCAGATGCCACATGGGAGGAATGGGCCCCTGTCAGCTGTGTTCTCCATTGTGGTCGGGGGTGGGGGCAGGTAGTGGAGGACCTGCCGGCTCTGCCTGGGCCCTGCGGCCACCCACCCCGGACACTGTGGCACTGGGAGGGGTGCAGATGAGGAGCCGGTCCAGGGCTAGGGCCCTTCCTGTCTAGCCATGGCCCTCCCCAGGCTCCTCGTGGTGCTGGGACCCTGTGGCGTCTGCTCCTCTGGCCCAGTGGCTGCCGGCGGCGGGGCCGTGTGACCCTCCTTCCTTCCATCCCTGCTGGTGCATGCCCAGCTCCCAGCCTGGCCTCAATGCGGGGCATGAGGGCTCATTTCATTCAGGCCACATGAGTGTCAGGACAGCCACCGTTGGGCATCAGGGAGGACCAGCAGACAGAATAGTGGTGGAGCCGGTCACAGAGCTGCACGGGGCAGGGTGGAGCCGGTCACAGAGCTGCATGGGGCAGGGGACGCCCTGCCCACTCCGCAGGCCTCTAGGCTCCCGTCTTCACAGAGTTCTCCTGCTGAGGCACCTGGCCTGTGTCCTCAGCACATGCCCCCGGCATCACACCTCACCCGTGAGCAACTGATGCACGGCTACCCTCGCGGGTCTGTATTTTGGGATTTCCTGCCAGTGTCTGTGAGTCGGGGCTCACGCCCGGGGTGCGGGTGCCCTCCTGGAAGTGTCTGTGTCTCATAGTGAGTCTGTCTGCCTGGGATTGTCACAACCTGGAAGAATAGGTCGCTCTTCCAGTCCCCCACCTTCCTGCACGGTCCAGGGTCGCTCAGGAGCCCCTGGGACCAGGGCCAGCATACCCCGGAGTATGTTCCTGGAGCCAGGGAACATCACTCCTGGGCCAGCAGCCCCACCTCCTGCAGGCTGCACTGAGCCCCTTCGGGCCCATGCCAACCGCCGGTGCAGCCTCTGCCCGTCCTCTCTGGTCTCCAGGGAAGGCGGCAGCAGCCGTGGGTGGTATGGAAGCCCCTGCTCTGCTGCGTCGTGCCAGAGCGGACTGTGGGGACACAGCAGGGAGTTTGCCGACTTTGAGGAGGAGGAAAGGACCTTATGCCCTGTTCGGGAGGCGGAGAGGCCCTCAGGGAGCTGTCCAGCACCAGCCGTGCTGAAGTCTGCAGCTTCCTCCTCCCGCGAGGGCGCCTGCCTTGGCGCTGGGTCCTCACAGCCCAGCTGCAGCTGGAAAGAAGCTATGTGAGGGCCGGTGATTTTTGGCAAGATCCCAAACCTGTCGTCAGCTGTGGGTCTCTGGTTCCGTGCTGAGGAGGGGCAGGAGGAAACCAGATGTGTTCGGTGCCTCCTGCTGGCCAGTCCCCCAGCCCTGGGCCCTGAGCAGACCCACAGGACCCACCCCTCGTGCCCCGCCAGGGCCTCTCTGTCTTTAACTTACAGGGGAGAGGGAGGGCCAGGGCCCCGCAGAGCTGAGGGTGCCCCTGCGTGTGGGTGCCGGAGAGCAGGCATGGAGCAGCCTGGGGAAGGCTGGGGGGCCTGACCTTGCGCTCTCCAGAGGCGGTGGGTGTCGGGGCTCCCCGGGGCGGGGCAGGCACAGCAGGCTGTGGTGGGGTCTGATCCATGTCCCCTGGAGCGCACTCCTGGGAGCCCTTTGTGACAGACTCCTCCAAGTCACCTTGTTTCAGGGCTCATGTGGCCTAAGGGTAGGTTAGTTGCAGGAGTTTGAGAAGGTGGCCTTGGGGGTGGATGGTCATGGGCAGAGGAGCTACTGCCGCAAACTCAGCTCCAAGCTGCCTCCACCTGAACCTTGTCCGTGCCTGAGCCCCGCCTCCGGGGAGGAGCATTGCAAAGGGTGGGTGGTGCTGCGTGTAACCCTCTGGCTGCCCCACCCTTCTCCAGGGACTTGCCCCTCAGGCCAGCCCAGCCAGCCCTCCTGACTCCTCCTGGGGGGTGAGGGGCAGCGTCTCCCTGGAGCTCCCCACACACAGGAGAGGGTTCTCTAGGGCCTCATCTGATCCTGCCTGGGCACTGGCAGAGGGCCAGGACTCAGGAGGCCAGGACAGAAAAGGCCACTGAGGCCCACAGCCCCTCACTCAGGGACACAGGGTCTCCTGCCAAAGGCAGAGGGAGTGGAGTGGGGGCAGCTGACACACGGGGAGGGAACAGGCCCCCAGCAGAGGAGGCGGGAGCGGCGCTGAGCTCGGCAGAGTGAGGGGCTGTGACTGCCTCTGAGGAGATGGAGGGCTCGGATCTGCTTGGAGGTTTGTTGACCCTAAACCCCAAATCCCCGGGGATTTGTGACTCATCGTAAAGTGCACAGATGAGCGCCCTCTCCAGCAAAAGCCAGAGCCGCCGAGGGCGTTTGCAGATGGCGTGGGTGGGAGGACGGGCGGGACCCCCCGGGGCCACCACGGGGTAGGTGCCTGGCTGCAGGCCTCTGCCCGGCCTCTCACCCATGGGGTGTTGAGTTCCCCATTCCACAGCTCAACTGTGGGGTCAGCTGGCTTGGGGCCTTATCCTCGGGGGGTCTGTGTCACGCTACCCTTCCCCTGGGGCAGTGCCCTTGTCACTGCCTGCTGTGACCGGACTGGCCAGCCTTGTCTGCTGGAGGGAACGTGGCAGTTGTCCCCCAGCCCAGGATGGAGGCTGCTGTGCGTGGCAGAGCACGTGAGGCAGCCACCCCTCACCGCAGGCCACAGCGTCACTGGCTCACCGGTCACTGTGGGGTCCTCCCCACCAGGGCTACCCTGCTGGTGCCCCTGCTGGTGCTGGGGTTGGAGCTGAAGGCTGCTCTTGGGCCTGGGGGCCCTGCGCTCCTGGTCTCAGCCCCCTCTCTGCTCCTTCCACTCAGGAGGCCACGAAACCCGCAGGCTCATGGGATGGGCAGGGGCTGCGGAGGAGGGGCCCAGGCGGTTGGAGCTGGCTGTTTGGTGTGAAAGGGGGATAACTGATACCCCACCTCTGACGGTGTGTCCTGAGCTCCCATCACCCCAGTTCAGTGGTGTCTGACAGCCCCCTTAGGTCCCTCACCTGCTGGTGACAGTCCTGTTGTGGCACCTGGTGCACTGATGGTCGCCTGTGGACCCCCATGCTGGTGAGACAGAAGTGGGCTCTGTTCTGGGCTCTGTGGCTCCTGGTGGCGTTGGATAAACCAAGCCCCCACAGGGCCTGTGCAGAGAGTGACCTGGAAGTGTCCTGGCTTCTCTGGGGGAAACACGTTGAGCGCTTCCCCACGTGGGGAGGCGGCCGGGCTCCAGGCCCCACTGCCCAACTTGGGACGGTGGCATCACGGGAGTTGGGATGGGAGGCGGGCGGTGGGCCTGGTCAGATGGGGCGAATGGGGTGAGCCTGGCCTGGAGTTGTACCCAAGCCCCTGCCCCTCTCCTGGGCTTCGCTCTTTGACCAGTGAAGTGTGAGCAGAGTTCACATCTGTCTGGGTGAAAGCTTCCAGAGCCAGCACCCTCTCCACTGTCCCACAGAAGCTGGTGTGGGCACACAGCACCTCCAGCCTGGCCCTGGGAGGTTGGAGACTCAGCCCTGCGGCCACCCTTTGATTGCTGCCTGCCCCAGCTGCCCGCAATCTGGGTGCGCGGAGCTGTGTCCCTGCCCAGGGCCTCACTCCTCTGTGTTCCCCTCCTGTCTCTGGGCCCCGTGTCCTTGATGCTGCCCCTTTTCCTGACCCTGCTCTCCTATCACGTCCCCTCTTCAGGGGAGTGGCCACGGGAGGAGGCCATCGTCCCAGCCAGCCCTCCGCCTGCCTCAGCCTCCCAGGACAGACGTCCCTTTGGCCGAGAGTTGCACCTGCCTCTGATCCTTGCCCTTGCTCTGTCTTCCCCTCCGTCCCTGTCCCAGCACCCAGAGGAGGTTGGGGTGGGGAAAGGTCCTCGGGGGAGACCATCTGCACGGCCCCTCCCTGGATGCCACAGAGCACCAGCCTTGGGAGGGCAGAGGGGGCGCCCCGGAGGTGGATGCCCTGCCCTGGTTCCTGATGTGGCCCCTGCCTCTAAGACCACAAGGCACTCAGGGACAGATGCTAACGTTTGGGAGGGTAGGAGCAACGGGCGTGGGCTTGCAGCCCCTGCCTCTCCCCTCTCTGCCCTTCCCGCAAGCCGCCCGCTACCCACTGCCCACTAAGCAGCTCTATTCTTACCGCGCCCTGGAGATTACTGCTGCGACGGCTCCTCTGGGACAGGCAGGCTCGCCGGGCTGGGGGCAGGGCTCAGCACTCCCGCTCTGTGGGAGGGTGGCCGCAGGGCCCTGCGTGGAGTCCCTCCCCAGCCCTCGCTGCCCCTGTGTCCTGACACAAGGCCCCCAAGGTGTGGCAGGCAGGCGGGCGTGCAGGCCTCTGTCTCTGGTGGTCTAGGGGGTGGGGGTGGCTCTCTGAGGGGTGTGGGCCTCCATCTCTGGTGGTCTAGGGGGTTGTAGGGGGGCTCTCTGAGGGGCCTGAGCAGCCTCCAGCCCCTCCCCAGGGAGGTCAGTCACCCTGGGAGGGGGTTGGGAGCGGCCCGGGCCAGGCTGCCTCATCCACAGCCCTGGGCCAGTCAGTGGGGCAGGGAATGTGGACACTGCCCTCCTAGCCCTCTGCCTGGGATCCTCTACGTCTCCCCACTTGGGACAGGAGCTGACGTTGCTCCTGGAGCCCTGCGTGCCAGCTGGGGTGGGAGGTGTGTGCGTCTGTGTATGTGTGTGTGGTGTGTCTGCATATGCAGGTGTGTGTGTGCGTGCCCACCTGTGTGTGCAGGTGCCAGCCTTGCCCAGCCTTCCCCCTGTGGCTCGTGAAGCTCAGGATGGCTGGGGGAGCTGGTGGCAGCCCCACTGCATGATAGTTGAGAAGTTGGGATCCTAGGGCTTGCCTGCAGCCAGCACCCCACAGTTACAGGCAGCGAGCTGCCAGCCCCAGCCCCTTCCTCTAGGAAAACATGCCCTGTCCTGCCCAGGGGTCTGGGATGGGGGACCGACCAGCGGCGCCAGCTACCCCCAAGGGCACAGGCTTGGCCGTTGACCTTTGCTCCCCAGCTTTGAGGACCCAGGGTTGAGCCAGGAAGATGGGGTGCGGAGCTCTTGGGCTCAGGGCAGCCTAAAGATTGTGCTCTGTGCCGAGGTGGGGAGGTCCGTCCTTTCCTGAGTGTGGCCCCAGCCAGCAGCCCGCATCTCCAGCGCTCGGTCCTTCCTGCCTACCTGCGTGGCAGTGACCCCATCCAGCCCCTGCTCCTTGGCCCCGCAGGCCCCACACCCCTTGCCGAGTGATTGGCCCAGCCCCAGGCGCCCCTTCTGTCCACGTCAGACGCTGGTCTGCACCTGTGCCATTCCATCCCCAGCCTTCCCAGACCCCCACAAGCCCCCACAGGCTCCTAAACCCACCCAAGATACGGAGACAGGAACCTCCCAACTCTGTCCCAGCTCCTCACACTGTTTGTTGCCCGCTCCCCTGCCGAGGTCAGGGTGTCCCTCGGCCAGCGGCTCCTCCTGCCCAGCCTTCCCCTCCTCCTGCCTGGCCTTCCTCTCCCTGCCCAGCCGCCAGAGGTCCCTTCTTAGGAGATAAACTGGGCCGGGCGCAGTGGCTCACGCCTGTAATCCCAGCACTTTGGGAGGCCAAGGCTGCCAAGGTCAGGAGATGGAGACCATCCTGGCTAACACGGTGAAACCCCATCTCTACTAAAAATACAAAACAAAACAAAAATTAGCCGGGCATGGTGGTGGGTGCCTGTAGTTCCAGCTACTGGGGAGGCTGAGGCGGGAGAATGGCATGAACCCGGGAGGCGGAGCTTGCAGTGAGCTGAGATCACGCCACTGCACTCCAGCCTGGGTGATAGAGCAAGACTCTGTCTCAATAAAAAGATAAACTGAGCCACACCTGGGCTGTCCCTGCCACTCAGGACCCCAGAGAGCTCAGCAAATTGCATGGGGGGCGAGCGGAGCTGGTATTTGGCAACACAGGAGGGCGGGGGCCCAAACCCCTGCAGAGGATGCCAGCAAGCCCCAGGCTCTCAGGATGGGCCACACGGAGCTGGCATGAGGAGGCCTGCAGAGGCCAGGACAGCTGTGTGTCCAGCACTCGGCCGCCTGCTGGCTGTGCTGCTGGAGGGTGCGGGGGTGGGCCTGTCGCTGGGCCACATCCCAGGGCCTGTGGTGGGGCTGGCAGGGTGTCAGCCTGCAGCTTGGAAAAGAGGAGCCCAGGCATCTGCTCCCTCCACGAGGTACACGCATGTGTGTGCATGTCCATGTGCAGGTTTGTGTGCGCCTGCATATCTGTGTGTCTGTGTGCGTGTGTGTGTGTGGTGCGTCTGCATGTGCAGGTGTGTGCGTGCGTGCCTGCCTGTGCGTGCAAACGTGTGTGCGCATGTGTGTGGTCTGTGCATCCTTGTCTGCCTGCACCTAGGATGACAGGCGGAGGCTCCTAGGGTTTCCCAGGGAAGGGGGTCCCAACGTCACCACAGCGACTTGGTAGCCATTCCCTGGGCTGCCGAGGGTGGGGCCTGGCAGGTGCAGAGCGGAGGGAGCTGCAGGCCCTGGAGGAGGCTGCTGTGGTGGCTGTGGTGTCTGCGTGGGTCCCCCACATCTGATGTCTCCTTCCCACCCCTGCCCTCTCTGAGCTTGGTGTGGGTCACCGGCTCTGACTGGCTCCCGCTGGCCACCTCTGCTGTGTCCACGACAGCCCCACTGCCTGCAGAGGGCCCTGCTGCCCCCTATGCCCTCTGGCAACACCGTGGTGTCCCCACAGGAAGTAGGTTCCTGGCCCCACAGAGTCCACTTGGGGGGCTTCTCACATCGGACCCTTGGCCACAGTGCCACCCGTCTTCCTGCACGGGCCTCCCCTCCGAGGCCCTTGTTCCTGCCGCCTGCCCTGCATGACCTTCAAGGAAATTGCTGACCCCCAGGAGACCCCTTCCTTCATGGGGTGCCTCAGACCCCACCTCTGCAGGGGTTCTAGCAGCCTGGTTCTAGCAGCTCTGCAGGGGTTCTAGACCCTCTAGGGGCCTCGACGCAGCCCCTAAACTAGGACACTAGCTTCAGAGACTGAATCACCAAATAGTTACAGGATTCAATCAAAATGTTTCATCGGGCTAATCTTTCAATATTGAATTGTGAAAACCAGTTAATAGAAGTCTAACGTGATCAACTGGCTCCGCTGGGATTGGGTCCCGCCGCCTCCAGGCAGGTGCCACCTCCAGGAGGGCTTTCCCAGAGTGTGGGGCGGGCCCGGCAGGGAGGGGCTGTTTGCTGCTCCATTTGCCCAGTGTGCCCTCAGATCCACAGCCTCAGGGCACCTGTGCCCTCCAGGGAAGGCCGCCTGGGTCTCCTGCCCACCCTGGAGCTGAGCCCACCTGCCCTGCAGCTAGAGGGGGCAGGGGCTGCCTGGGCACCTCCTCCATCACCTCCTGGTGGAGGGGTTCCTGGTCCCAGGTCCTTCCACTCCAGAATCCACCTTTGAGCCCCATACTCTCTGCAGCCCATCCTCTGGCCTCCCTGGGGCAAACTGTGAGGCTTATGGCGTGGGGAGCACAGGCGGGCCTGGCCTCGGGCCCCAGCCTCCCTCCGCCTGTTCCTAGAGCCCACAGTTCCACTGCTGGAGCTTTCTCTTGGCCACCTGACCAGTTCCCCTCCCTGTGTCCAGCAGTCCTCTGCAGTCCCACACTCATGCCCCAGGAATCCATCCAGCTCCTGCTGATCCTCTCATAGCCCCTGGCTTTGGGGAGGGTGGAGTCCAGGGTCCCAGGTCACCATCCACCTTAGAAGTCCAGCGTCCAGCCCCAGGGCAGCAGCCACGGGAGAACTGGGGAGAAGGCTGTATGGGGTGGGGGTCTTCACACAGCGGCCACCAGGCTGGGGGTATCCTGAGGTCAAAGCCTGTGCCACGTCCCCCCATCTTCCCAGGAGACACCTGAGTGCTATGGCCACTCCTTGTCAGGTCCAGGGCCTGGACCCTCAAGGACACCCCTGTGGCTGCCATCCTGACAGGCGGAATTCATCGCAGACCCTCAACCTGATGGCACAGGTCAGGGTTCACGTCGGAACCCTCCCCGCTGGTCCTTACTAGATCTGAGAGTGAGTCAGGTGGGGTGTGTGTGTGTGCACATCTGCCTGTGCAGGGGTATGTGTGTGCACGTCTGCCTGTGCAGGGGTGTGTGTGTGTGTTTGGCTGTGCAAGGGTGTGTGTTTGCCTGTGCTGGTGTGTGTGTGTGTGTGTGTGTGGCTGTGCTGGGGTGTGTGTGCATATCTGCCTGTACAGGGGTGTGTATGTCTGCCTTATGGAGGTTTATGTGTGTCTGCCTGTGCAAGGGTGTGTGTGTGTATGTATCTGTATACAGGTGTTTGCCTGTGCAGGTGTGTGTGTGTGTGTGTGTATGTCTGTGCAGGGGTGTGCATATGTGTCTGCCTATGCAGGGATGTATGTGTGTCTGCCTGTACAGGGATGTGTGTGTATGTGTGTGCCTGTGTAAGGGTGTGTGTACACACATCTGTGTGTGCCGTCTGACCCTGGAGGCATGGGCCTGGCTTTCCTCAGGGCCTGCATTTCCCTCTCTGTTTCTCTGCCCCGCCCCAGCCATCCCCTTCACCCCTTGCAGCCTGGAGCTGGGGGAGTCAGGGAGAGGCTGGGGCTGCAGACGGGGCAGCTGGCATCCTCATGCTCCCGTGCCCGCCTCTTCTCCCTGTGCTCAGTCGTGCTGCTTGGGCCGTGGGAGTGGAGCTCCTTCGCACAGGTGTTAGTCATCTGTGTTTCCTTAGCGATTTACCTGTCCTTGGCTCATTTAAAACAGTTGGAGTGTTGGTGGTTTTGTAACGAACTGGTCAGAGCACCTTCCGTGAGAAGGGCCTTTTCCCCCAGTTCACCGGGGCTCCCCTGCTCAGGGTGTGCCGGGGGCTTTGAGTCACTTCTGTGTCTCCTTGGAGGCTGTGTGGCGTCCGCGGAAGTTGGTGTCTGTGCGGTGTGGTTCTGTTTATGGGTGTTGTAGAGAAGGCGCCGTCCAGAGACAGAGCCACTGCTGAGGTGGGTGGGGGGTGTATGAAGGGCACAAGGACGCTTTGGGGGTGTCAGGTATGATGGCCCTCAGGTCATGGTTTCACACGCGTGTGCTTTAAATGCGTGCTGGCTGTCACGTGTCAGTCGTGCCTCCACAGAGCTTCAGGAACCACCGAGATGGGGAGCCTGCCGGAGACACAGGTTTTCTGAGCGCACCAGCGGCTCCAAAAGCAGAGGGAAGAGCCCTGCGTGCAGGTGGGGCGCTCATGGCGTCGGCCTCGCAGAGCGGTGACGGACACAGAGTCCGTGTTTGGGGGGGTTTGGGACGTCGGCCTCGCAGAGCGGTGACGGTCGCAGAGTCTGTGTTTTGGGGGGTTTGTGACGAGTCCGTGTTTGGGGGGGTTTGTGACGTCGGCCTCGCAGAGCGGTGACGGTCGCAGAGTCTGTGTTTTGGGGGGTTTGTGACGAGTCTGTGTTTGGGGGGGTTTGTGACGTCGGCCTCGCAGAGCGGTGACGGTCGCAGAGTCTGTGTTTTGGGGGGTTTGTGACGAGTTCGTGTTTGGGGGGGTTTGTGACGTCGGCCTCGCAGAGTGGTGACGGACACAGAGTCCGTGTTTGGGGGGGTTTGTGACGTCGGCCTCGCAGAGCGGTGACAGTTGCAGAGTCCGTGTTTGGGGGGGTTTGTGACGTCGGCCTCGCAGAGCGGTGACAGTTGCAGAGTCCGTGTTTGGGGGGGTTTGTGACGTCGGCCTCGCAGAGCGGTGACGGTCGCAGAGTCCGTGTTTGGGGGGGTTTGTGACGTCGGCCTCGCAGAGCGGTGACAGTTGCAGAGTCCGTGTTTGGGGGCGCCGTGAAAGCACCCAGCGTAGTCATGCTGCTGTGTGCGATGGGTGCTGGGCCCGCAGACTTCGGTGCTTCAAAGGCCTCACTGCTGAGCACGAGACGCCGCTTTTGATGTCGTCAGGCTCTCTGGTCCCCGGGAGTGGACTCGGGGGCTCCGAGTGCAGGGCTCACACTGTGTCTTTGAGGGCTGGTCACCCACCCAGGCACACCTGTGGCCCTGAGTCAGCACTGCCTGACGCCCACCCTCAGGAGCCCCCGCCTGCCTAGGGTGGGACCATGGGGGAGGCTGGTCCTCCATTCTCAGGGGCTGGGGGACACCCCTTCTGGTTGAGAAGGCCACAGGTGGCCCCCCCGCCACCCGGCAGGCACAGCAGGGCACCACCGAGACCACTGTGGCCTGAGGAGGAGCTTCAGCAGCCACTTGGTAGGAGGGCCTTCGACGGCCCTTTTGTGCAGAAGGTGGGTGTTCCCCAGTCTCAGAGGCCAGGGCCCTTGCTGGCTGGGGTGGGGGCTCCAGCCCAGGGCCCCGCTGAGGGGGGCAGGAGCAGGGGCGGAGAGAACAGCCGTGCGTCTGCCTTTTCTGCTCCCATCACCATGGCAACAGATGGAGATTTGGCAGGAAGGAGGAGGGGGCGGGCTTTGGAGGAGGCAGCCCAGGTTTGGAGACCAGCTGGGGATCCTCAGGGGCCTAGGGTGGGGGCTCCAGTCTCAGGCTGGCTAGTTCCTCCTTCCTGGTCACTGAGCCAGCCTTGCTGAGGGGAGAGCGGGTTCTGGACGTGCTCTGAGCTTCCTTCCTCACAGCCTTGCTCCTGGGCCAGATCAGCAGGAAAGCAGCCAGTGCCCCGCCATGGCCTGCCCGGGTGGGGTCCTGAAGCTGGGGCCGGAGCAGGGGGCACAGTTCTGCCCCATCTGGCCCTAGTTTGGGGAGGGAGCCTGGTAGGGCACCAGCCTCACCCCATGAGCCCTGAGGGCCACCCCAGCCGATGGGCACGTCCCCGCCGGCCCTGCATCTGTCCTTCCTCCCTCTGCTCCCCAAGAGAGCCCAGGTCTGGCCCAGCGGTGGGCAGGGGAGGGGCCGCACATCACAGAGTGCCAGCTGGCCACACTCCCGGCCCACAGCTGCTCCAGCCGCACCTCCACCTTCCTCAAGGCCAGACCTGGCTCTGCCTGCAGCCCAGCCCAGCAGGTGCGTGCCACGCTCCCTGGCTGGCCAGGGCCCCTCGAGGGAGGAGTGTGTTCATGTGTGAGGGATGCAGCCCCCACGGCAGGGACGGGGGACCTCGCCAGCACTGGTGGGCTGCACCTGCTGGGAGGGCCAGCTGTGCGGGTTCCTACGCTGGCGCTGCCTGCCCCTATGTGGAGAGGCGCCTGCCCCTATGTGGAGAGGCTCCTGCCCACTGGCCCGGCCTGGCATCCGGGCCCTCATCTTGCCCTCCCAAAAAGAGCTCTGCCCCCTGTGCTGCCCCATCCTGTGGGGAACGTGGCCTTGGTCACCAGCCTTAACAGCAGTCCTGCGGTGGGTGGAGTCTCAGCTGCGCCGCCCCGTCCTGCGGTGGGTGGAGTCTCAGCTGCGCCGCCCCGTCCTGCGGTGGGTGGAGTCTCAGCTGCGCCGCCCCGTCCTGCGGTGGGTGGAGTCTCAGCTGCGCCGCCCCGTCCTGCGGTGGGTGGAGTCTCAGCTGCGCCGCCCCGTCCTGCGGTGGGTGGAGTCTCAGCTGCGCCGCCCCGTCCTGCGGTGGGTGGAGTCTGAGCTGCGCCGCCCCGTCCTGCGGTGGGTGGAGTCTCAGCTGCGCCGCCCCGTCCTGCGGTGGGTGGAGTCTCAGCTGCGCCGCCCCGTCCTGCGGTGGGTGGAGTCTCAGCTGCGCCGCCCCGTCCTGCGGTGGGTGGAGTCTCAGCTGCGCCGCCCCGTCCTGCGGTGGGTGGAGTCTCAGCTGCGCCGCCCCGTCCTGCGGTGGGTGGAGTCTGAGCTGCGCTGCCCCGTCCTGCGGTGGGTGGAGTCTCAGCTGCGCCGCCCCGTCCTGTGGTGGGTGGAGTCTCAGCTGTGCTGCCCCGTCCTGTGATTGGTGAACTCTGAGCTGTGCTGCTCTGTCCTCTCTGGTCTGTGAAGTCTGAGCTGTTTGGTAGGCGGGGCCGAGGGAGCAGGCGCCCTCAGAAAATGCGAGACAGGGTCGGGTTGCGGGGAGGGCGTCCAGTGGTGGGAGGGGCCCAGCAGAGCTGAGGTGTCTGTGGGAAAACCTTTACTGAGCCAGGGACAGTGGCTGGGGGGTCAGATAAGGCAGCCCCAGCCCAGAGGGGATCCTCCTGCCTGCTGGGAGTGGGCAACGGTGCCCTGGCTGCACAGATCAACCCAGGCCCGTTGGATCACTAGCCCTGGCCGCACACAGCAACCCCGCGTCCCAGGCAACCCTGCGTCCCAGGCCCGTCGGGTCTCTGGCCCAGGGCACAGTAGTGGCAGTCACTCGCATGGGACGGGACCGCCCATGGCCTCCCACCGTGCACGCCCTTTCTGACTGCTGTAGGCCTGAGGGGTGGATGGGCGGGGCTCACTGCAGGCGCTGCCCCCGGCACCCCAGGCCCTGGCCTCCTTCTTCCCATGTTAGGAGCCTGCGTTCAGAACCCGCATTCCTGGGGAGGATGGGGCTGGGCAGGGACTGGGGTGGGTCTCTCCCCATCTCATGGCACCAGCTCAGACCTAAGCCAGGATCTCTGACTGGAGCCAGCCAGATGTCCAGCTGCCATGAGCTCCCCTGGGGGCTTCTGCCTCCCAGACGGCCCCTGGGGACGGCCCCTCGGGACACCCCCTCAGGTGTGGTGTGCCCTGACCCCACTGTCCACTGGGGTCAGCCCAGGAGACCCTCCCTCTGGCCCACCCCTCCCACCCCTGCAGCCCCTTGCAGGGGCCACGGGGAGACTCACAGAGGCAGTGCCCCAGGACCATGGTAGGAGACTCATCCTTCTTGGAGGCCAGAGGCTTCTGCAGGGCCTGAGCTGTCTCTGTCCAGCCCTGAGGGCCCTGGCAGTGGTATCTCTGCAGGTGGAGGGGCCCTGTGCCCAGGCTGTGCCCTGACCTTCTGCCCTGGGAGCCCTACAGCCCACATGGGCCCTGGCATCCAGCTCCCCAGTAGAACTTCCCCAAGCCAGGAAGGAAGTGGTCATGGGCGTCTGGGGTCTGTGTGCCTGGAGCTGGGCCATGTGGCCTGGGCTCCCTGCACTGCCCACCACCCACTGACCCTGACAACACAGGTCCATGGCGGGGCCTGGGCAGAACGGGGGAACCAAAAGGAGGGGCCTGAGCTGAGCCTGGGGTGGTGGGGCCTGGCACCCCCACTCCATCAGCCCCTCCTGCCATCTCTGGGGGCATCAGTGGCCCCAGAGCCAAGGAGCAGCCCCAGGGGCTGGAGCTCAGGTGAGGTCGGGTGGGTAAGGGGCTGCTGCTGCACAGTGGTGGGCAGCCACAGCGCCCAGCTCTGCCTTCTGCCCCGAGGAAAATGGGCTGCCTCCCACACTGGACACACAGCGCCAGCCACTTCCTCACACGGTTTACTGTAGCCAGACTTGGAAATAGTCATGTGATCCCCAGGGATATATAACTGCGTTTTCTCCATCTGTGCTTAGTTTAAAAACAATTGTTCATTAATTTAAAAGGAAGAGTTTGCCTTCAAACATAAAGATATTCAAATTAAAGATACTCAAATTTTTCTGTACGAACTAGGATTTGTGCTGGTCAAAAATACCACACCCCAAAGTTGCCATTGTCCCGTTGTTTAAAATTCTATGTGCAAATAGAATCTCCAGAGGCCGGGCAGGAGGAGGACGGCCTGGGAGTGTCCAGGCTGCTTCTCCGCCTGGAAAGGTGTCTCCATGCCCCTGTGGCAGTTTGAGGCTGGGGATGCCACTGCCCCACAGTGTGCTCCGGGGATCTCAGGGCGCTAGGAACTTCCCTCTGTAGAGAGTTGGCATCACTGGGATCCCAGGATGAACTTATGTGTGGAATGCGGTGTTCATTAGAAGCTAAGGAGCCTCAGAGTATGCTAAGGTGCAGCTTCAAAGGCAGCAATTGTTTGGAACTTAGGCCAAGGAAGATTTGTGTTTTGGAAATGGCATGTATTTTATCACTGACATTGTTTAGTGTAGGGTGATAAAAAGTAGACTGAATTTTTTTAATTAAAATGAAATTCACATAATATAAAATTAACCATACAATTCAGGGACGGTTAGCGCATTCACGGTGCTACGCGGCCACCACTGTCTAGTTCCAGAATGTTCCACCCCAAGGGACCCTGCGCCACACGTTCTCTTGCCCCTCCTCCATCCGTGGGAGCGTGGCCTGCCTTCCGTTTCTGGACGTGTCACAGACACTGGTCCCATGCTGTGCGTCCGTCTGCGTCTGGCTTCCTTCACACAGCAGAATGTACTCAGGGCCATCCCTGTTGTCATCCCTGTTGGGGTTTCCTTCCTTTTGAGGCTGAACGCACTTACCTGTGTGGACAGACCACGTTGTTCGCCTATCATCTGCCGTGGACATGTGGCTGCTTCCACCTTGTGGCTCTCAGGAGTGGCGCGCTGTGGACGTGTGTGTGAGTACCCACGTGGGTCCCTGAGCTCAGTTCCTGGGAGCATAGACCTCAGAGTGGTAATTCTGTCTTTACCTTTTTTTTTTTTTTTTTTGAGATGGAGTCTCGCTCTGTTGCCCAGGATGGAGTGCAGTGGCGTGATCTCGGCTCACTGCAAGCTCCGCCTCCAGGGTTGACACCATTCTCTTGCCTCAGCCTCCTGAGTAGCTGGGACTACAGGCGCTCACCACCACGCCTGGCTAATTTTTTGTATTTTTAGTAGAGAGGGGGTTTCACCATGTTAGCCAGGATGGTCTTGATCTCCTGACCTCATGATCCGCCCGTCTGGGCCTCCCAAAGTGCTGGGATTACAGGCATGAGCCACTGCGCCTGGCCCTGTCTTTACCTTTTTAAAAAAATTAGTTCATTTATTTTTCTGAGACAGGGTCTCACTCTGTTGTCCAGCTGGAGTGCAGCGATTTGATTGTGGCTCACTGCAGCCTTGGCCTCCCAACATGCTAAGATTACAGGCTTGAGCCACTGCACCTGGCTTGTGTTTAACTTTGAGGAGCTGCCAGACTTTCTCATTGGACCCAGTTTTAGTCAGCCTCATTTGGGTTTTTTAAGGCCCCACAGAAAAGGCAGCCCTGGTCCCTGCTGGATAGCTGGCACCCCTGCCTGCCCGGGGCCTGCTCTGCCCCCTTGGGTCCCTCACTTTCCTTCATAGAATTCACTGGCTTGGAGGAACCCATTACCTGCTCACTGCCCACACGGTGGTCCCAGCAGAGGACTTGGTCCCAGCAGAGGACTTGGAGCGGCTGCCCCTTCTGTTGCACGGGCTCCACCACGGCCTCCTCGGCCACTGTCCCCTGGGAGGGCAGCTGTGGTAAAGGCCGGAGCTCCCAGCTTTGGGCAGGTGAGTGCCCCTGGCAGTTCTTTTCTGTGATGTAGGTTTTTCAGACTGGGAAAAGTTGAGAGTTTCAAAGTCCATTGCCAGTGGGAACTGGAACCAGGCAAGCTGAACCAAGTTCATTAGTGCTCTTGGCAACCTCAGGGCTCACCTGGTGCACGGGGACCTTTGCAATGGCCAGGGCCTGGGGCCACCCGAGCTAGGGCAAGGGGAGGGGGAGGGATGTGTTTATAAAATTTCTGTTTTAATTTCAAGTACAGTAATGTTGGTGGATAGAAACACACAAACCACAGCACTTTGATTTTGTCAGTAACTCTTAAGAGTACGGAGGGTCCTGAGGCTGGGGGGTCTCGTGGGCACAGAGTATGATGCCTGTGAGGACGTCCTTCCAGCCACACAGCCCGTGGACTGCAGCATTGAGTGTTCTATTTCCTGGGTGTCACGTCCGCAAAATCCGCTGTTTTGCAGGGTCAGTCTTCGAGAAATGCTCTTGTAAGAACAGGTTTTTAGGCTCATGTGCCCCCTTCCCAGTGCCCGTCACCTCTCCCTGAGGCTGTGGCCTGGGCTCACCTCCCTCGGACCGAAGGGCTTCCCACACGTCTGTGTCCAACACGTTCCCCCGGCTTTCATTTAACTACCGGCGGTTGTATTTAGCCTCAGTTTTGGAGGATACTTTTGCTGAATGTAGAATTCTGGGTTTCCTTTGAGTGCTTAGCAGGTGCTACACCATGGTCCTCTGCTGGTGAGAGGCAGCCACCACTGAGGCCCTGGGTATGATGTGTGTCTCTGGCTGCTTTTGAGGTTTTCTTTTTATCCTTCGGTTTTGTGTGTTTCGCAGTGACCCACCTTGGTGTGTTCCTCCAGGTGTCTGTCCTGCTTGAGGTTCAGTGAGCCCCGTGGATCCACGGGCTGATGTATTTAGTACATTTGGGGAAATTCTTCATTGTTCTCTCTTAAAATGTGGCTTCTTCAGCCAGGCGCGGTGGCTCATGCCTGTAATCCCAACACTTTGGGAGGTCAAGGAGGGCGGATCACGAGGTCAGGCGTTCGAGACCAGCCTGGCCAACATGGTGAAACCCCATCTCTACTAAAAATACAAAAATTAGCCAGGTGTAGTGGCAGGCACCTGTAATCCCAGCCACTCGGGAGGCTGAGGCAGGAGAATTGCTTGAGCCTGGGAGGTGGAGTTTGCGGTGAGCTGAGATTGCACCACTGCACTCCACACTGGGGGATAAAGCGAGACTCCATCTCAGAAAAAAATAAAAATAAAATGCGCCCTTTTCCCTATTTGCTCTTTCCTGTATTGAGGGACTCTGGGAACAAGTGCCTTAGACTATGAGGGGGCTCCATAGGCACCTGACATGCTGTGAGGTCTCCACCTCCCTTTTTTGCTTTGGTGCTTGTCAGGATAGTTTCTGCTGGCTGGTCATTGAGGTCACTGTTCTTCTATTGTACCCACGCTGCTGTTCAGCCAATCCACTGAATTAATTTCGTTCATCTTTTTCTCCAATGAAATATATATATGTGTGATATTATCTTATCCTTTTCTGAAAATTCTAGCATTTAGATCACCTGTGTCCTGCTTCTGTTGGCTGTTTCTTCTCTTGAGAGTGGGTCACACTGTGTCATGCTTCTGTGGGCTGTTTCTTCTCTTGAGAGTGGGTCACACTGTGTCCTGCTTCTGTTGGCTGTTTCTTCTCTTGAGAGTGGGTCACCTGTGTCCTGCTTCTGTTGGCTGTTTCTTCTCTTGAGAGTGGGTCACACTGTGTCCTGCTTCTGTTGGCTGTTTCTTCTCTTGAGAGTGGGTCACACTGTGTCCTGCTTCTGTTGGCTGTTTCTTCTCTTGAGAGTGGGTCACACTGTGTCCTGCTTCTGTTGGCTGTTTCTTCTCTTGAGAGTGGGTCACCTGTGTCCTGCTTCTGTGGGCTGTTTCTTCTCTTGAGAGTGGGTCACCTGTGTCCTGCTTCTGTGGGCTGTTTCTTCTCTTGAGAGTGGGTCACACTGTGTCCTGCTTCTGTTGGCAGTTTCTTCTCTTGAGAGTGGTTCTCCTGTGTCCTGCTTCTGTTGGCTGTTTCTTCTCTTGAGAGTGGGTCACCTGTGTCCTGCTTCTGTTGGCAGTTTCTTCTCTTGAGAGTGGTTCTCCTGTGTCCTGCTTCTGTTGGCTGTTTCTTCTCTTGAGAGTGGGTCACACTGTGTCCTGCTTCTGTTGGCTGTTTCTTCTCTTGAGAGTGGGTCACACTGTGTCCTGCTTCTGTTGGCTGTTTCTTCTCTTGTGAGTGGGTCACCTGTGTCCTGCTTCTGTGGGCTGTTTCTTCTCTTGAGAGTGGGTCACACTGTGTCCTGCTTCTGTGGGCTGTTTCTTCTCTTGAGAGTGGGTCACCTGTGTCCTGCTTCTCTGTTGGCTGTTTCTTCTCTTGAGAGTGGGTCACCTGTGTCCTGCTTCTGTTGTCTGTTTCTTCTCTTGAGAGTGGGTCACCTGTATCCTGCTTCTGTTGGCTGTTTCTTCTCTTGAGAGTGGGTCACACTGTGTCCTGCTTCTGTTGGCTGTTTCTTCTCTTGAGAGTGGGTCACACTGTGTCCTGCTTCTGTGGGCTGTTTCTTCTCTTGAGAGTGGGTCACCTGTGTCCTGCTTCTGTTGGCTGTTTCTTCTCTTGAGAGTGGGTCACCTGTGTCCTGCTTCTGTTGGCTGTTTCTTCTCTTGAGAGTGGGTCACACTGTGTCCTGCTTCTGTTGGCTGTTTCTTCTCTTTGGAGGGGGTCCCATTTCCCCACCTCTTTGCATACGCTGTAATGTTTTGTTGGATACTGCATGTTGTTTATTTAGAGCAGCAGTTCAGACTGAAGTAGGAGCTGTCATCCTGGAGGGGCTCCCTGCCTGTGTTGGGCATGTGGGGGGCTGCTCAGCCAGATCCAAACAGGACTTCAGCTGGACTGGGACTGGGGGTCCCTCCAGCAAATTTCTGTTCAGCTCTAACACATATCCAAGGGACTGAACCCCTGGGTGGGGAAGTTTTTTCTTTTTTTTCTGTAGTGCCATAAGTGCCTGTCACTAATAGAAGCTCAGTGAATACCTGATTGATTAATTGATTGATCGGTTGATTGATTGAATGCAGCAAGTGTCTGGGAGCTCCCAGTTACAGGTGCGTGTCAGGCGTGAGTCTGGGCACCAGGGTGGGCCTTTGCTCAGCTGTGTTTGTGGGCTCTGCAGGTGCGTGTCAGGTGTGAGTCTGGGCACTGGTGGCGGGGGGGGCCTTTGCTCAGCTGTGTTTGTGGGCTCTGCAGGTGCGTGTCAGGTGTGAGTCTGGGCACTGGCGGGGTGGGGGTCCTTTGCTCAGCTGTGTTTGTGGGCTCTGCAGGTGCATGTCAGGTGTGAGTCTGGGCACCGGGGGGCCTTCGCTGAGCTGTGTTTGTGGGCCCTGGGACGTGATTCCCTCTTGGGTGGTGTTTCCAGCCGCTGGCTGCCCGGGCAGCTCCAAATACTGAGCTGTCAGGTCGGTGGTCTCTCTATGTCTTTCTGTTATCTTGTTCTGCTTTGCTGGGAATTTTCTCATTTTTTCAGTCCTTATTTAAATAGTTTCTTATTCTAGCAGTTATTATTTTTCATGTCTTAGAGCTTTTTTTTGTTTCTTAGTCGTTTTTGTAGACCTTGTTTATAGATGCAGCCACTCACTAAATCCTAGCACACTGGTGCAATCAACAGAATTTTTGAAATTCTCATTTCTGGCCAGACACAGTGGCTCACGCCTGTAATCCCAGCACTTTGGGGGGCCATGGCGGGGCCTCACTTGAGGTCTGTGGTTTGAGACCAGCCTGGCCAACATAGTGAAACCCCGTCTCTACTAAAAATACAAAAATTAGCTGTGTGTGGTGGTGGCATGCGCCTGTAATCCCAGCTGCTCAGGAGGCTGAGGTGGGAGAATCACTTGAACCTGGGAGGCAGAGATTGCAGTAAGCCGAGATGGCGCCCCTGCACTCCAGCCTGGGCGACAGAGTCAGATTCCATCTCGAAAAAAACAGAAACAAGAATGTTTGAAATCCTGATTTCCTGAGGACTGGTGCTCCCGATTCTGCTCCAGGCTCCGCGCCTCCTCCCACACCCGGGCACGTGGTCGTTCGTCTCCAAGGAAGCCTGGTTGAGTGCAGAGCCTCCTCTTTCTTGGATAAGAGGGAATGTTGTCTTGTGTGAGTCTCTGGAAGGCAGGGCCTCTGCCCGGAGGCTCGGTGTCCGTGCATGCATGCAAGTGTGCGTGCGTGCATGTGTGCGTGTGTGCATGTGTGATGGCCTAATGGGCAGGAAGTGGGGTGGCCTTGTTAGGATGAGACAGATTTTGCCACAGGGCCGGCCCCTGCTCTGCTGGGTGTGACCCCAACTACCCTTCTTGTTGGCCCAGAGAGGGGAGAGGCTGGCCAGGGCTGTCCCAACCTGTGCACGCCCTTGGCAGATGCTCCAGGGTGTCTGCAGCCCCACCTGAGGCCTGCCCTGCACTCTGGCTAACAGACATTTTCAGTTTTCCAGGTCCCCTGGAGACAGGCAGGCCCAGGCCCACCCCCTGCCTTCTCTGCCTGCCTGCCTCTAGAAGGTTCTTGAATGTTTAGAGGTTCCCCCGTCACGGCCAGGCTCCCTTTTGTTTAATTCAGGAAGGTTTGACAGGTGAGTGTGAGGTCTGCCAGCCTGGGCCTGGGCCCCTCCATGCAGGCCCTGCCTGGACCCCCTGTGACTCCCCCAAGTCCTATCTCCACCCCCTTGGTCCCCAGCTCCAGCCTCTTCCTCCACTGCCTAGACTGTCCCCTCGGGATACACCTCCTCCCTGCAGCCTCCTCCCTGGCTGTCACCCTCTTTGTGGCCTGCCTGGGGGACTCCTCTGGTTACTCCTGTCCTCAGCTCTAGGTGGGGCTGGCAGTCCTGGGGGCTCAGCCTCCATGTGGCATCCAGCAGGTGCCCGGCAACTCCCTGTTTTTCCACCTGACCTTAAGAGCCTGGCTTGAGCCTCTCATGGGGAGGGGCCTGTGCCCCCCAGGGCCCCCTCGGCCCTCTGGCTGGGTGCTGGCAAGTAGGTCTCAACCCTGGAGCCTGACTGGGGCCTCCCACCGACATCTTTCATCTGGGTGCAGAGCAGAGAGGGGCTTTGGGATGCTCAGAGTGATACCCTCAGATCTTTAGGATTCAGATCTTTGGGCTGCCTGTGGGCTCCTGGCTTGGCTGACCCTGGGCCTCCTCCTGGTACAGTCCCAGGCTGTGCTTTGGGTCCCAGGCTGCGCTTCGGAGGGGAGGGACAGTGTGGGGGCTCTCATTTAATCTTCACCCCCCAGGACGGGGTGTCAGGAGACCCCTGAGGCCAGGCACGTCTGGGGTCACACCCAGGAGGGAGGCAGGCGTCTGCAGTCTGGCCCTGGCTCAGGCCCACCCTTGCCCATCTCTGGCTGCAGAGATGCCTGCCTCTGCTTGGAAGGGACCTGGATCCTGGAACAGCCTAGGGCTGGGAAGCTGCTTCCTCCTCCACAATCTGGTCCCCAGTGGGAGCTGCATCCCACCTTTGTTTGGGTGCTGGGTTAGGAGGCGGGAGCCAGGCAGAGGCAGCGGAGCGGCTGCAGTGCGTGTGAAATGCTTCAGGGTGGCACGAATTTAACTAGAGAGGTTCTTTTCCAACGTGAGCAGTTGTCTCCCAAGAGATGCGCCGCCCCTTCCCTCTGCACCTGGCACTGGTGGGCGGTGGAGGCTGTGGGATCTATTGATGTTCTGAGCGTGTGCTGAGGGCCTCGCTCCTTCCTGCCCCCTGCCCCAGCTCCTGTGTCGGGGCTGTTACCGTGGGTGTGCAGGGTGGGGGTGCATAGAGCCTGGGTGCCCCCAGACTGAGGAGGCCGAAGGGTCGGGGAGCAAGGGCCTGGGTGCTAATGAAGGAACAAGGCTTCAATGTCTGTGGCAACTTCAGAGGCCCCTCTCGGGGCAGGTGGGAGAACCCCCAGCCTGGGGAGCAAACCTGCCGGCCCAGCACCGGGGTCTCTGCTGGAGATGTGAGCACGGCGGCCTGACCAGGGCCCGGGAGAGAGGGGGCAGGTGGGGGTGGGGTCGGGGCAGGCTGGGGGTGTCACTGGGCCTGCAGGGGGTCTAGCCTGAGGTTGGGGTGCCCCACGGGGGGAGGGTGGCGCCCGTGCCTGGGCTGCATCATCGGGTGTATTCGAGGCGGGGTCAGAGCCAACTGTGTGTCGGGTGAGAGCCCAGCCCAGCCCAGCCCCAGCTGTGGGCCCCCCATGAGCCCCTCACGGGAGCATGCAGGTGGATGATCAGGGGTGAGCCAAGTAGATTGGGGGCGGGGGCTGGCCAGGCCTCATCGCAGCTCACAGCCCCCAGCCCCCTCCTGAGCTGTTTGGTACCCTGTGTGTGCAGAGTCCCAGGTGGGGCCTGCCCTCCTCCAGCCGCTCCTCCACCCTGTCTGCCGTGTGCCACCCATGGGGTGCTCTGGGGAGGGGTGGGGGTCCCTGTATTGCTGGGGAAGGTGTGCTGACCACAAGGGGAGCAGCTTATGGGGCCGAGGCTGGCTCAGGATGCCGGAGGCTCTGCGGTGGGCCCTGGCGAGTGAGGAGCTGTGGGGACGGTGCAGAGGGGCCTGTGCACCTCCTGAGTTTGCAGTTGCTACAGTGCCCCCACCCCGAGGATGCATGGCTGACAGTCCCCACTGGGTGGCCTTGACAAAGGTGTGGCCAGGGCAGGGCCTCTGAGGAGCTGAAGACCTGCTTCCAAGGACACTCCTCCCTGACAGTCCTGTCCATGGTGCTGGAAGAGCTCTGGCGACCCCACAGGCAGGCAGGCCTGACCGTCCAAGGCTCGGCTGCCTGTGGGGAACTGGACACACTTCCTCCAGAGTCTCAGTTTTGCCAGCTGTTTGCCCAGCGCCATGTCCACTCCCCAAGCCAGGACCGAGGGGGTGACGGAGATGAAGCTTGTGCTGGCCCCAGCTGGGGGCCGCTGCCCACCCAGCAAGCCCCACAGCCAGTCCCAACCTGGTGATGTGGTGTCCGGAGGATGGACCTCGAGGTCTCTCAGACCTGGGTTTCTGAGCTCCTCAGGTGTCTGTGTCCCCTCCTGGGAAAGGGAACAGAGCTTTGCGAAGATCAAGGGGAGGGCAATGCAGCTTGGGAGCCTTAGCTCAGCCAGACAGCAGCCCGGAGGGTTAATGTCCAGGTACCTCCAGGCCCCATGCACCCAGGACCTCCCCAAGAGCTGTGCCTCCATGTACCTCAGGGCCTCCCCCAGAGCGGTGCCTCGTGGGGGATGCGGTGCCTCGTGGGGGACATGGTGCCTTGTGGGGTACGTGGTGGAGACGGTGGGGTCGTGGCCGTCCAGGCTTCAGAAACGGCAGAACCAGGGACCCTCCCCACTGTCCTGTCCTTAGCGTCTTGAGGCTAGGGGTGAGTTCGAGACCTCGTAAATACTTCAGTGCAGAGCCTTCAGTTAGGAGCCGAGGCCTCTGGCCAGGTTCAGGCACGTGGAGAGTGTGTGTGGGGAGAAGTTCTGAGACTGTGGGAGGGGTAGGGGTGTGCTGTGGCCACAGTGGTTCTGGAATTTGAGGTGCCTTAGGAGGTTCATGATGAAGGATGCGGCCCACAGTCGTGTGAGCAGAGGACGGCACTCGCGAGCTCCCTGGGGCTCCTCAGACCCGGTCACCGAACAGCAGAGACGTGCTCTTTCACATTCTGGAGGCGGGAAGTCCAAGGTCCAGGGTGGGCTGGCTCTTCCAAGGCCTCAAGGAAGCCCTGCCCCAAGCCTCCCCCGCTGGGCGTTCCGGGTGCCCCAGGCCTCCCCCGCTGGGCGTTCCGGGTGCCCCAGGCCTCCCCCGCTGGGCGTTCCGGGTGCCCCAGGCCTCCCCCGCTGGGCGTTCCGGGTGCCCCAGGCCTCCCCCGCTGGGCGTTCCGGGTGCCCCAGGCCTCCCCCGCTGAGTGTTCCCGGTGCCCCTGGGCCTGCAGAAGTGCTCCCCCACCCCCATCTTGCTTTCACCCTCACGTGGCGCCCCCATCCCACCCCGTGTGTCCCCAGCCACACTTTCCTCGGCCTTTCTCTGATAGGAAGGCTGGTAGTTGGGTTTAGTGTCCACCCCAAATCTGGGGCTATGTTATATTGAGATCCATAACTTAGAAACCTCTGCAGAGGCTGTTTTTCCAAGTCGGGTCACATTCATGCGCCCCAGGCACTGGGACACACATCTTTTGGGGGTCACCATTCCACCCCCACATCCTCCAGCTGTGATGTGGGGCCATGGTGGACCCCTCGGCACCCCTGTGGCCTCCGGAACTGCTCCGTGAGCCCCGGGGAGCCCCACCATTCCCCTGGAGTGACAGTGGGTCCTGCCGGCCAGGCGGAGGGAGGTCTCTGCTGGGTGTCCACCTGCGAGGCCCTCACCCCCTACTGCCTCATGTGGGGGGTGCCCCAGCACTGGGTGGGTCTGAGTGTGGGGGCAAAAGGAAGAAGGACAGGGAGAGCCAGGTGGGGACAAGGTGTCCTGCCGGGGTGGCCCCCACCTGCCCTCAGAATCCCTCCAGGCAGACAGTGGAGGCTGTGTGACCAGTGTGGGAGTTGGGGATAGGTGAGGGACCCCCTTCACTGGGGTGGGGCCAAGTGGCAGGAACTCCCCCAACATCTAAAGGAGAAGGGTCCAGGACCCTTCGCCAGGACCTGGGCTGCTTTGTGCCCCGGCAGGACGGGACAGCCACACACCTGCTGCCCTGCCCTCCATCTGCATCCAGCCAACAGGCCATTCCTCCCGTGCTTCACCCTCCATCCTGGCCTGGGAGGCCCAGGCTCAGGACCCGTTGGGACTGTTTGGACAGAGGGAGTCGGGGGGGCCAGGCAGGGCCCTGTGGAGCCTGCTGGGGGCTCTGGACCTGGGCCTCTGCCAGGTGGGCTCCCTGGGACCTACTGGCGGGGGGGCAGGTTGCGGGGGTGGAGCAGGACCCCCTGGCCTGCATGCTTCCCCTTCCTGGGGCTCACACACAGCACCTCGTGGGCCCAGAGTGCTGGCGGGAGGGGTGTTCTCCCCGCCTCCATGGGCAAAGAATCTGGGGCCCTTGTCAGAGACCGCGGGGTCAGTGGGATTGGCGCCCAGGCCCTGCTGTGACGCCACGTGTTTCCCACTCAGCGAGGCTGTTCCTGCCAGGCGTGGGGACTCGGACCCTGGTCCTGAGTGCTGCCCCGAGGCCCGTGATGGGAAGCCTGACGTCTGCATCGTCCTGCGCTGCGTGGCCGGTCGGTCCCGGCGCTCTCAGCACTTGGAGTCTCAGCTCCCCGGGTCATCAGTCCAAGCCACTCAGCAGGTGGCTTCGGCTTAAGGCCTCTCAGGTGGCTCTGGTGAAGGCGTCACCCAGGGCTGCCTGATCTGCAGGCTGGGCTGGAGGGGCTGCTTCCTGGGGGGTCCCGCAGGCTGTGTGGGGGCCTCGGGTCCTCAGCACGTGGACGCCCTGCAGGGCACTGCTGCCAGACATGCCCACTGAGCTCCCCAGAGTCCAGGAGGAAGCTGTGGTGTCCTTGTGGTCTGTGGATGAGGCCCGCTTGGTCCCAGAGGTGCGGGTTGGTGACAGCGACGGGGCAGGTTGTCACCTGTCCTGGTCTCTGGGAGCCGCCTCAGTGGGGTGGAGGCAGGGCAGGCCTGTCCAATGACCCCACCCCCTCAGGACGTTTCCTCCGTGCAGCCTGGGCCAGGGGCCACGGGAGGCTCTTCACCTACAGGGGACGCATTCAGCACCGAGGTCAGCAGCCCATCCCGAGCCCCCCACACCCCCGCTCGTCTCCCACTCTGTGTCCTCTCCACTGGCCTTGGGGTAGATGAGCTGCCCCCGTCCTTTCTTTGGGAACCCACCCCCTTCTGGGCGAGGGTGGGTAGCAGGCACCCGACAGGGTCCCCAGGTGGCACTCCAGGCCGTGGCACTAGATGTGCACTGTGGAGATGGGAAGAGGTGTGGGGCAGGGGAGGGCGTGGGGGGAACGCTGAGTTTCCTGGGTACACCTGCCCCGGGGCCAGTGCCTCAGGCCTCTGGAGAGCGGATTTGCGGCCTCATGGCTGGGGAGGGCTGAGGTTCTGCTGTCCGGTGTGGTGCCACGGTGAGCACACCTCACCTGTCCAGCCTTCCCCCTAAACCCAGTGCTCTGGACGGTGGGCTGGCCCCTGGCTCCTAGCCTGTGCGCGCCCATTCAGGAAAGCAAACACCAGCACACACCGGTCCCTGTGGGGCCTTGGGTGCTCTGGGCACCCAGCTGCATGGGACGGGCAGGGCCACGTGGCCATCAGGGCCTGGATGGGGGCCTGGCACACAGCGGGCACTGGGGATGTGTGTGGGGCGTGCTCCGGGGATGTGTGTGGGGCGTGCTCCGGGGATGTGTGTGGGGCGTGCTCTGGGGATGTGTGTGGGGCGTGCTCTGGGGATGTGTGTGGGGCGTGCTCTGCTGGCGACTGGGCTTGGATCTGTGGGGTGTAAATACCTGAGACGGCCCCTCCAGGGGAAAGAAGAGGCTTGAACTGTCACTTTAATCCTTTCAGACTCCGCAGGAGACAGAGCACGCCGGGGAGGACACATGTAGCCCTTGGGGGTGCCCAGTCCTGGCAAATCTCGGTCTCGAGCCTGGGTCTGTCCCCGCAAATGTAGAGTGTGCAGGGAAGGCCCTGGGTTGCTGGGAACTTGCAGAGGCCCTGGGTGAAGGTGCCGCGTGTCTTCTCTGTGTGACTCCTGCCTGGCCCTGGGTGAAGGTGCCCCGTGTCTTTTCTGTGTGACTCTCACCTGTGAGGTGTCCTCCCTCCAGGAGGTGGTTGCTGGCAACGGGGGTGGGGGCAACAGATGGGCCAGCAGCCACGTGGTGGGGAGCAGAGAGGACCTGGGGGTGCAGACACAGGATGTGGCGGGGCTGCTGGGGAGGAGCTCAGGATCCCTCAGCCAAGTGCATGTGGGGAGGGCCCTGTAGTGGCCAGCAGCAGGCAAGTCTATGAAACGGGACCACTCCGCCTGGTGGGAAGCCCCCTGGGTCTGCATGCGGGAGATGGGGGGGCGGCACCCCAGGCTGTCCCCATACCTGCTGCGCAACTTTAGTCTGGTGCGTGCCGGGGCGGTGAGGGGGCTGCGCGGGGTCCTTCCCCAGTGCCAACACTGCCACCTGCCCCAGGGCCCCCTACCCAAACTAAAGAGCAGCCCGTCCAGCCCTAGGCTGGCTTGGCTCCTGGACCTGCAGCCCCCCATCCCCTCTCTCCCCACAGCCCCACTGGCTTCCTGGGGGCAGGGCGCTGCCGGCAGAGCTGCAGAACTGAGCCCTCACTGCCCCTCCAGAAAGTGCCAGCCCTCCTGGCACAACCCTGCCTGCCAGTCCTCCTGGGTAGCTGAGTGCAGGGGCAGGGGCTGTCCTGCTGCCTCGCCCGGCCCAGGCAGGAGAAGGCCCCTCACTTCTTGGCCAGCCTGGGACTTGAGTCAGGGCCTGCTCTCAGATACCACGTGCAGGGTAGTCCTGGGGCTCCCTTTGACTCTCCTGGCCGGCTCAGGAGCACCTGGGGGCACCCGTGTTAACGTGCTAGTCTGCTCCCTGAGGCCCAGCATCCTCGTGGCATACCCGTGGCTTCCCTGGGATGCCCTGGGGCTCCACATGCCCAGGCCCTTCCCTGTGGGGGGCGCAGGGAGACCCAGCACTCTTGGGCACCCGCCGGCACACGCTCCCACAGAAATGGGGCCTGGCGTGAGCTGCTGTGCACCGCCTGCCCCCTCAGGGCCCTGGGCAGTGATCTGTGGCACTGCGTGCCTTCCCTCTCGACAGCCAAGCCTGTGTTTGTGTAAAGACAGCAATTAGAGATGGACTCTCAATTGGAAAATAAGCCACAGTGAGTTGCAGGGGGAGATGATGAAGGGTGGCCCTGGGCTTCCCCGCTCCAGCTTCCAGTCCCCCATCCTCCAGGCTACGGCCCAGTCAGGAGGGCCTCTCACAGCACACTCCCCACTCCCTGCCTCCAGAAAGTGGCAAAACTGCTCATAACCCAAACATTCTGCTCAGAGAAACTCGGAGCTGAGGGATACCAGGACGCAGAGGCCTGCACTGCTGCCTAGGACCCCAGGGAAGCTTTACCTAGGAGGGACGCCTCTATGCTGGGCTCTGAGGAGTGTGTAGGAGTCTTCAGAGTACAGTAATGGGGAAAGGACTTTCT
Source organism: Homo sapiens (assembly GCF_000001405.40). NCBI lineage: Eukaryota > Metazoa > Chordata > Mammalia > Primates > Hominidae > Homo > Homo sapiens. The sequence continues at coordinate 162,340 of NW_025791792.1, forward strand.
AGGCATAGGGGCAGCAAGTGAAAGAAGATGGAGGCAGGAGGAGTGACCAGAGCTCCAGGATGCAGCTGGGGACGGCTCTCCTACATCCCAGCCTGCTGCGTCGTGGCTGCCTTTACCTGAGCCACTGCGAGGCTCCTGAGCATAGGCAGGAGGCTCTTGGTGGCTGTGGCTCCTCTGTGACTCTGTTGCTATTTGAGAGGCCACCTGCAGCCCCCAGACTCCAGCCTCAAGGACGTGGGCAGGATCTATGGATGCGGCAGGCCCACCCCCAGTGGCTCCATCCCCTCCGTAACCTCCTCTGGGAAGGTGGGTGCTTGCCAGGAATGCCTTCTTCCATGTGGTCCACTGTCCTCACAGCCCTTCTGAGCCACATGTGCTGGCAGGGGATGGAACCACTGTTTCCTCATCTGTGAAATAGGGGTGAAGGGGCCCCACTCAAAGCAGCGCCTGGAGCAAGGCCAGTGCTCCGAGACTTGGCTGTCCTGATTTGTGCTGGGCCCAGCAGTGTCCTTTCAATAAAGTTGGCCCAGGTGGTTGTCAGGCTCCCTCCCATTTTCAGTCCCCACTTTCTTTCCTTTTCTGGAGGCAGGATTGTGCTCTCCACACCTTTTGGCTCCTGTCATTCAAGGATGTGTGTGCACACTGGGAGTGTGCATGTTTGTACGTATGTGTGCATGATGGTATGTGCACGAGTGTGTGTGCACTGCGGGTGTGTGTGCATGTGCACTGGGGTGTATGTATGCAGTCGTGTGTACATGCATGGGTGTGTGTACAGGCGTGCGTACTGTGTGTGCATGGGTGTGTGCACACGGGTTACTGGGGGTGTGCACTGGGTGCTTGTGTGCACTGGAGGTGTGTACTGGGTGCGTGTGTGTGCACGGGTGTGTGCCCTTGGCGTGTGGGCGTGTGCACTGGGTGTGTCCTGGGTGTGTGTGCATGGGTGTGTGTACACGGGTGTGTCCTGGGTGCATGCACATGTGTACACAGGTGTGTGTGCATGGGTGTGTGTCCTGGGTGCGTGCATGTGTGCACTCGGTGTGTGGGTGTGTGCACTGGGTGTGTGTGCACGTGTGCATGGGTGTGTGTGCACGGGTGTGTGTCCTGGGTGCATGCGCGTGTGCATGGGTGTGTGTGCACGCGGTGTGTGGGCGTGTGCCCATGGGTGTGTCCTGGATGCATGTGCACAGGTGTGTGTGCACTCGTGTGGGTGTGTGCACTGGGCGTGTGTCCTGGGTGTGTGTGCGTGTGCGCACAGGTGTGTGTCCTGGGTGCATGTGCACTCGGTGTGTGGGTGTGTGCACATGGGTGTGTGTGCACTGAGTGTAGGCACAGGGGTGTGCACGCATGGAGGTATGCACACACCTAGGGGTGTACACAGGTGCATGTCTGTGTGCGTGGCCACACGTGCTGTCCCTGCCCAGGGCCCTGCTGCTCTGTCGCCAGCATCCTGCTGTGCCCAGCAGTGAGCGTCTTCTGCGGTCTGGTCAGGTTTTGCCACTGTGCTCAGCAGTGAGCGTCTTCTGCGGTCTGGTCAGGTTTTGCCACTGTGCTCAGCAGTGAGCGTCTTCTGCGGTCTGGTCAGGTTTTGCCACTGTGCTCAGCAGTGAGCGTCTTCTGCGGTCTGGTCAGGTTTTGCCACTGTGCTCAGCAGTGAGCGTCTTCTGCGGTCTGGTCAGGTTTTGCCACTGTGCTCAGCAGTGAGCGTCTTCTGCGGTCTGGTCAGGTTTTGCCACTGTGCTCAGCAGTGAGCGTCTTCTGCGGTCTGGTCAGGTTTTGCCACTGTGCTCAGCAGTGAGCGTCTTCTGCGGTCTGGTCAGGTTTTGCCACTGTGCTCAGCAGTGAGCGTCTTCTGCGGTCTGGTCAGGTTTTGCCACTGTGCTCAGCAGTGAGCGTCTTCTGCGGGGTCTGGTCAGGTTTTGCCACTGTGCTCAGCAGTGAGCGTCTTCTGCGGTCTGGTCAGGTTTTGCCACTGTGCTCAGCAGTGAGCGTCTTCTGCGGTCTGGTCAGGTTTTGCCACTGTGCCCAGCAGTGAGCGTCTTCTGCGGTCTGGTCAGGTTTTGCCACTGTGCCCAGCAGTGAGCGTCTTCTGCGGTCTGGTCAGGTTTTGCCACTGTGCTCAGCAGTGAGCGTCTTCTGCGGTCTGGTCAGGTTTTGCCACTGTGCTCAGCAGTGAGCGTCTTCTGCGGTCTGGTCAGGTTTTGCCACTGTGCTCAGCAGTGAGCGTCTTCTGCGGTCTGGTCAGGTTTTGCCACTGTGCCCAGCAGTGAGCGTCTTCTGCGGTCTGGTCAGGTTTTGCCACTGTGCCCAGCAGTGAGCGTCTTCTGCGGTCTGGTCAGGTTTTGCCACTGTGCCCAGCAGTGAGCGTCTTCTGCGGTCTGGTCAGGTTTTGCCACTGTGCCCAGCAGTGAGCGTCTTCTGCGGTCTGGTCAGGTTTTGCCACTGTGCCCAGCAGTGAGCGTCTTCTGCGGTCTGGTCAGGTTTTGCCACTGTGCTCAGCAGTGAGCGTCTTCTGCGGTCTGGTCAGGTTTTGCCACTGTGCTCAGCAGTGAGCGTCTTCTGCGGGGTCTGGTCAGGTTTTGCCACTGTGCTCAGCAGTGAGCGTCTTCTGCGGTCTGGTCAGGTTTTGCCACTGTGCTCAGCAGTGAGCGTCTTCTGCGGTCTGGTCAGGTTTTGCCACTGTGCTCAGCAGTGAGCGTCTTCTGCGGGGTCTGGTCAGGTTTTGCCACTGTGCCCAGCAGTGAGCGTCTTCTGCGGTCTGGTCAGGTTTTGCCACTGTGCCCAGCAGTGAGCGTCTTCTGCGGTCTGGTCAGGTTTTGCCACTGTGCCCAGCAGTGAGCGTCTTCTGCGGTCTGGTCAGGTTTTGCCACTGTGCTCAGCAGTGAGCGTCTTCTGCGGTCTGGTCAGGTTTTGCCACTGTGCTCAGCAGTGAGCGTCTTCTGCGGTCTGGTCAGGTTTTGCCACTGTGCTCAGCAGTGAGCGTCTTCTGCGGTCTGGTCAGGTTTTGCCACTGTGCTCAGCAGTGAGCGTCTTCTGCGGGGTCTGGTCAGGTTTTGCCACTGTGCCCAGCAGTGAGCGTCTTCTGCGGTCTGGTCAGGTTTTGCCACTGTGCCCAGCAGTGAGCGTCTTCTGCGGTCTGGTCAGGTTTTGCCACTGTGCCCAGCAGTGAGCGTCTTCTGCGGTCTGGTCAGGTTTTGCCACTGTGCTCAGCAGTGAGCGTCTTCTGCGGTCTGGTCAGGTTTTGCCACTGTGCTCAGCAGTGAGCGTCTTCTGCGGTCTGGTCAGGTTTTGCCACTGTGCTCAGCAGTGAGCGTCTTCTGCGGTCTGGTCAGGTTTTGCCACTGTGCTCAGCAGTGAGCGTCTTCTGCGGTCTGGTCAGGTTTTGCCACTGTGCCCAGCAGTGAGCGTCTTCTGCGGTCTGGTCAGGTTTTGCCACTGTGCCCAGCAGTGAGCGTCTTCTGCGGTCTGGTCAGGTTTTGCCACTGTGCCCAGCAGTGAGCGTCTTCTGCGGTCTGGTCAGGTTTTGCCACTGTGCCCAGCAGTGAGCGTCTTCTGCGGTCTGGTCAGGTTTTGCCACTGTGCCCAGCAGTGAGCGTCTTCTGCGGTCTGGTCAGGTTTTGCCACTGTGCTCAGCAGTGAGCGTCTTCTGCGGTCTGGTCAGGTTTTGCCACTGTGCTCAGCAGTGAGCGTCTTCTGCGGGGTCTGGTCAGGTTTTGCCACTGTGCTCAGCAGTGAGCGTCTTCTGCGGTCTGGTCAGGTTTTGCCACTGTGCTCAGCAGTGAGCGTCTTCTGCGGTCTGGTCAGGTTTTGCCACTGTGCTCAGCAGTGAGCGTCTTCTGCGGGGTCTGGTCAGGTTTTGCCACTGTGCCCAGCAGTGAGCGTCTTCTGCGGTCTGGTCAGGTTTTGCCACTGTGCCCAGCAGTGAGCGTCTTCTGCGGTCTGGTCAGGTTTTGCCACTGTGCCCAGCAGTGAGCGTCTTCTGCGGTCTGGTCAGGTTTTGCCACTGTGCTCAGCAGTGAGCGTCTTCTGCGGTCTGGTCAGGTTTTGCCACTGTGCTCAGCAGTGAGCGTCTTCTGCGGTCTGGTCAGGTTTTGCCACTGTGCTCAGCAGTGAGCGTCTTCTGCGGTCTGGTCAGGTTTTGCCACTGTGCTCAGCAGTGAGCGTCTTCTGCGGGGTCTGGTCAGGTTTTGCCACTGTGCCCAGCAGTGAGCGTCTTCTGCGGTCTGGTCAGGTTTTGCCACTGTGCCCAGCAGTGAGCGTCTTCTGCGGTCTGGTCAGGTTTTGCCACTGTGCCCAGCAGTGAGCGTCTTCTGCGGTCTGGTCAGGTTTTGCCACTGTGCTCAGCAGTGAGCGTCTTCTGCGGTCTGGTCAGGTTTTGCCACTGTGCTCAGCAGTGAGCGTCTTCTGCGGTCTGGTCAGGTTTTGCCACTGTGCTCAGCAGTGAGCGTCTTCTGCGGTCTGGTCAGGTTTTGCCACTGTGCCCAGCAGTGAGCGTCTTCTGCGGTCTGGTCAGGTTTTGCCACTGTGCCCAGCAGTGAGCGTCTTCTGCGGTCTGGTCAGGTTTTGCCACTGTGCCCAGCAGTGAGCGTCTTCTGCGGTCTGGTCAGGTTTTGCCACTGTGCCCAGCAGTGAGCGTCTTCTGCGGTCTGGTCAGGTTTTGCCACTGTGCCCAGCAGTGAGCGTCTTCTGCGGTCTGGTCAGGTTTTGCCACTGTGCCCAGCAGTGAGCGTCTTCTGCGGTCTGGTCAGGTTTTGCCACTGTGCCCAGCAGTGAGCGTCTTCTGCGGTCTGGTCAGGTTTTGCCACTGTGCTCAGCAGTGAGCGTCTTCTGCGGTCTGGTCAGGTTTTGCCACTGTGCTCAGCAGTGAGCGTCTTCTGCGGTCTGGTCAGGTTTTGCCACTGTGCTCAGCAGTGAGCGTCTTCTGCGGTCTGGTCAGGTTTTGCCACTGTGCTCAGCAGTGAGCGTCTTCTGCGGTCTGGTCAGGTTTTGCCACTGTGCTCAGCAGTGAGCCTCTTCTGCGGTCTGGTCAGGTTTTGCCACTGTGCTCAGCAGTGAGCGTCTTCTGCGGTCTGGTCAGGTTTTGCCACTGTCTAACAGCTGCCCTGTGCCCTTGGTGGCTGTGCCCTAATGACTCCCCTCCTGTTTGGGGCCATCTTTTGTGAAAATGCAGAGCCACCAGGGCTTCGCCACCTACCCTGGGAATGCTGTCCCGGTGCCCTTGGGGGCTTTGACCACAGCCTCCCTCCTGCTTCACCCCTGCACCCTCATGATGCCCTGGGGCAGGGTGTGGGCCCTTCATCCTTTGGGGTCTCCTGAGGGTGCCTCATGCTGGGCATTTCTGGGTCATTTCCTCCCTCCTTTGAGAGCCTCTGTCTTGGCCTCCGGCTGCATCCTCCCAGGAGTTTGTCCTGAGGGTTTTTAGGGGCTCCATGCCCTTCGGACCAGAGGCTTTTGTCACGGACCACGCCTTAGCCTTGCAGCCAGGTTTGGGGGACATTGAGCTCTTGCTCCTTTCCGTGTGTGGGGCTGAGTCCTTCCTGCAGGGACCCCTGCCCCGGGATGCAGGCCAGCCTCGTGCCTGGGGAGGGATGCGCTGTGGGCGCCTCCAGCCGCCCTGGATTATGGATGAAGGGCTCTAGGCCCTCCTGAGTGCTCCTCCGGCTGAGCGAATCACAAGCCTTGTGCTGGATCAAAGGCCTTCAGGGAGAAGCAGCTCTTCCTCCATGAGCACACCCTGCCGAGGCCACCCCCCACCCCTGGCACTGGGCTCCCCTCTGTGCCCAGCCTGTGTCACTGCCCGGCCTGCAGCTCCCCCTGCCTCTGGGGAAGCCCGCTTCTTCGGCAAGGTCCTGGGTCCCCCACCCGGCCTGGGCTCACCCAGATCCAGGCGTGACGCCACACAGATGAAACTGACGGAAAGGGCAAAATAAAGCTAAAAGCCGATGGGGCCGGGGGAATGGAGGTTTGACGCGTGAGACAAAGGATTAATTTCCCAAAAAAATCAAAGGGCTCTTGCAAATTGGTAAGAAAATGCACACATGTGCGTGCACCAGGATAAAAACGAGAACAGGAAAGGAGCCCAGAGCACACCCACACGGTCAGTAAACACCGGTGACGTCCCGCGGGTCAACAGGGCGAGGCCGAGTCTGGGTGAAATTTGAGCACAGCGCGTGCACGGAAGGATGGCGGCCACTAAAGCCCAGTGGGAATGCCAGCCAGGATCTGGGTGTCTGGGCGCACCTAGGAGTGGGGTCCCCTGTGATAACCTGGGCCGGCTCTGCGTGTCTGGGGGCACCTAGGAGTGGGGTCCCCTGTGATAATATGGGCCGGCTCTGCGTGTCTGGGGGCACCTAGGAGTGGGGTCCCCTGTGATAATATGGGCCAGGATCTGCGTGTCTGGGGGCACCTAGGAGTGGGGTCCCCTGTGATAACCTGGGCCGGCTCTGGGTGTCGGCGCACCCAGGAGTGGGGTCCCCTGTGATAACCTGGGCCGGCTCTGGGTGTCTGGGGGCACCCAGGAGTGGGGTCCCCTGTGATAACCTGGGCCGGCTCTGGGTGTCTGGGGGCACCCAGGAGTGGGGTCCTCTGTGATAACCTGGGCCGGCTCTGGGTGTCTGGGGGCACCTAGGAGTGGGGTCCCCGTGATAACCTGGGCCGGCTCTGGGTGTCTGGGCGCACCTAGGATTGGGGTCCCCTGTGATAACCTGATCCCCCCATGGTTCCAACATGCCCCAACATGGAATGGCACATGAGTGCGCCTGAGGACCTTTGATGGTAGGAAAGGGCCTGGGTTGTGGGCTCCTGGGGGCATCTCCAGTGTCAAGGCCACAGCTCAGGCCAGGTGGGGCTCAGGGGTGTGGCCGGGCTGTCCTGGGCAGGGGCAAGTATCTGGCTGTGAAAAGAGTGGGGAGAGGAGAAAGGGAGGGTGGGCCGAGGCGCGGAGGGGGACCGGGACCGTGTGCCCAGCCAAGGCACATTCCCAGAGCACCCTGCCTGCCTTTTAGGTGGGTCTGGGAAGGAAGGGGCTGCCGGGCCGTGGAGGTCTAGGGCAGTGCTGCCTGGGGAGCTACCTGGGGCCCGTCCTGGTGTCCTGGGGTGAACACAGGGCCGGGGCTCAGGTGCAGAGCATCTCAGCAGAGGAGGGGTGCCGGTGGGGGTCTCAGCGGAGGAGGGGTGCCGGTGGGGGTCTCGGCGGAGGAGGGGTGCCGGTGGGGGTCTCGGCGGAGGAGGGGTGCCGGTGGGGGTCTCGGCGGAGGAGGGGTGCCGGTGGGGGTCTCGGCGGAGGAGGGGTGCCGGTGGGGGTCTCGGCGGAGGAGGGGTGCCGGTGGGGGTCTCGGCGGAGGAGGGGTGCCGGTGGGGGTCTCGGCGGAGGAGGGGTGCCGGTGGGGGTCTCGGCGGAGGAGGGGTGCCGGTGGGGGTCTCGGCGGAGGAGGGGTGCCGGTGGGGGTCTCGGCGGAGGAGGGGTGCCGGTGGGGGTCTCGGCGGAGGAGGGGTGCCGGTGGGGGTCTCGGCGGAGGAGGGGTGTCGGTGGGGGTCTCGGCGGAGGGCTGCGGCTGAGGTATCTCTGCAGAAGGCTGCAGGTGGGGGTCTCGGCAGGGTGTGCGGGGGACAGCCTTCTTGGGCCAGGCAGGCACCTCGAGGGCACCCTGGCTCCCAGCTGAGGGTGGCTGAAGGCTGAAGGGAGGGGATTTGGGTGCCTTGGGATGGGGAGAGGGCGAGGGGGGCCACAGAGACCTGAGAAGCCCAAAGGGCCGGCGTGGAGGGAAGACACAGCTTTGCAGGGGCAGCGTGACGCCAGCACTGAGCTGTTCTGGACAGCGACCCAGGCGGGCAGGGGCCTCCGGCCCTGGAGCGGGTGGGACCCCTGCTGTCCAGGACGTGGGAGGAGGCCCCCAACCTGCACTGTCCGGCTGGGTGCTCGCTGCAGGCACCCTGGGTGGGTCTGAGCGCGGCTGCTTCTCTCCCGCAGGTCTGGTGAAGCTGGGGGTTCACTGCGTCACCTGCCAGAAGGTGGCCATCAAGATCGTCAACCGTGAGAAGCTCAGCGAGTCGGTGCTGATGAAGGTGGGTGGGGCCGGGGAGGGAGGCGGGGCCGGCGGTGGGGTGGGGCGGGGAATAGCACAGGGGTGGGAGCCAAGGTTGTGGGGACCTGCGGTGCTGGATGCGGGTGGGGGGGCGGGCCCTGCAGGCTCCTGGGCCGCCACACCCCTGCTGGTCCCCTGGTAGGGTGCCTTTGCTCTTGCTCCTCCCTCCAGCCCTGCCCACCTTTCTCCTGCCTCCAAGCAGAGTGGGCACCCCTGAGGGGACAGGCTGCAGCTGGGCAGTTCAGTTGCTGCAGGACCTGCTGTGCTAGCAGGCGGGGCTTCAGTGTTCCCAGCTAGAATGGAGAGGAGTTCCCTGCCTCAGAGCACCCCTCTCCTACCAGGGCACAGCTTGGCAGAGGGGAGCTGCACCTTCCTCTTCCACTGGGGCCTGGCCTCCGTCGGCTCCATCCGGTGGTGTCTGGTCACCATGGAGACCAGGCAGGCCCCCTGGGTGGAGGGTTTCTGGGCTGTGACCCACCTCTCAGTGGGGAGGGGGCGGCCCCGGCTGCTGGGAAGCCTGACCCTGGGTGTAGAGGAAGAGGCTGGGGCTCCCAGCTGCTCCGGGTCCCACCCACAGTGGGACCTGGGCTGGCAGCGTGCGACCCTCCCAGCACTGGGGCCAGTCGAGCCCCCTCCTCTCCCTTCCTCTCCATTCGCTCCTTGGCATGCAGGGCTGCGGGTGGGGCAGGACCCGGGGACGAGGCCAGTGGGAGTGGCCAAGAGAGGGGAGGCTTGTGGAAGGTGCTAAGGGTTGGGGACTGTGACATGTTGGGCACCCCCCAGCTGCTGGGGTGTGGAGGAATTAACCAGACTAAACTGGGGAGGCCTGGGGACCCTATGGGGAGGTGGGGGTGGGGTTAAGGGCTGCTGAGGGCTGCCTGGATGGGGCTGGCAGGGTCCCACCCTGCCTTGGAGGAGAAACAGAGGCCCTGGGAGTGATGGGGCCAGGACAGCGCCTGGCAGAGAGATCCAGTGCGGGGCGTAGCTGGGGAGAGTCCCATGCTGAATTTGGGAGGTGCCTGTGAGCCCCGACTAAAGGAGGGCCTGGGGATGCGGGAAAGGGGAGGTGTCCCTGTCACCTGCAGGCGCTGTGCACAGATGTCCGCCTGGGAGGGAAGGACTTGGGGACAGGCTGGCCAACTCGCCAGGGCTGGGACCCCATCACAAGACTGGCCCTAGCTCCAAAGCCTGGTCCACGCTGGCTCCTGAGGGCTGGGACCCCAGGCCGTGGCCTCACTGGCCCCACCACTGACACGGCCACTTCTTTGTGCTGGGCGGAGCACCAGCTGCCCGTGGCCAGGCTTGCATGTCTGAGGGAGGGGGCCCTGCCCTTACCTCGGAGCAGGACTGGGTGTCCTGAGTCAGGTGCCCTCTGGGGTCACTTCTGCCCCTCCCTGGGGCCCTCCCCACTTGGGGGACAGTACCAGCTGGGAGCCTGTGGATGGGGGGCACGTGCCCTGCCCACGGCCTGCACACCTACTGTATGTCCCACACACAACAGGATGCCTGCCCCCACCTCATGGGGCCCACAGAGGCCTGTCCCGGCCCCTCCTCCTGTGAGGCCTCCACCGTAAGGAAGGGCGGAGCCCAGGCACAGCCTGCCTGGAAGGGCCCTGCATCCGACTGGCTGGGAGCCTGGGAGGCCTTATCTCCAACAGCTCCAGGCCCCATTCCTGAGGCTGGGCTCACAGAGAGGCCCAGGCTGCCTGCCTTCCTGGGCAGTGTGGGGAGGGGCCCTCCTGCTCCAGGGGCCCCCAGTCCTCAGCCCTACAGGCTGGTGTCAGCCCGGCGGCCTGGGCTCCCTCCACTGAGGCCCCTGCCCTCTGCCCTCTCCACCAGCCAGGGCCCCAGCTGAGCAGCCCACGTCCCTGCATCCCCCACAGCTGGCACCAAAGGCCCCTGCGTCCCCCACAGCTGGCACCAAAGGCCCCTGCGTCCCCCACAGCTGGCACCAAAGGCCCCTGCGTCCCCCACAGCTGGCACCAAAGGCCCCTGCGTCCCCCACAGCTGGCACCAAAGGCCCCTGCGACCCCCACAGCTGGCACCAAAGGCCCCTGCGACCCCCACAGCTGGCACCAAAGGCAGTGTCTGTGGGGAGCGATGCGTGCCCCAGCCCTGTGAGCGTGATGTTCTCTGGCCTCTCCCATGCAGGTGGAGCGGGAGATCGCGATCCTGAAGCTCATTGAGCACCCCCACGTCCTAAAGCTGCACGACGTTTATGAAAACAAAAAATATTTGTAGGTATTGCTGGGTCTGAAGAGCTGGGGTGGCGGAGGTGGCAGCTGTCGCTGCAGGGGTGGGTGTCTGGGGCTTGGGGAGCACAGGGGCTGGAGGCCAGGGGCGCCTGCTGCATCCCAGCAGCCCTGGCCCTGCTAGCATGAACACCTGCCTGGGTAGGGTCTCAGCCCAGGCTGCTGTGGTCTCTGCTTCTGGACCAAACCGGAGACCTGGTCTGTGGAGGCTCGCAGAGCCACCAGCCTGAGGCTGGCAAGGGGGAACAGGACCTTCTGGAGGGGAGATAGGAGTTTCAGGGCAAGGGGCAGGAGCACCTGGCCCTCCCCACATGGCCACGCTGAGCCTCCTGGCCTCTGCCCAGGACGTCCCCAGCCCTGGGCAGTGAGCCATGTCTCTATCCCTGAGGCTCCCTCACACGAGGCACAGCCACCAGGATCCCGCCCTGGCTGGACCGTGGCTGAGTGTGGCTGAAAGTGTCACCTCCGCAGCCGCTGAGGCCAGCAGAAATCCCTACCCTGTCCCAGGCATGCCTGGCTGTGAACCCCATCCCCCCAGACCCAGCCTCAGGGAGCTCCTGGGAATGGGCACAGTGGTCACTCACGGCAGTCTCCTCTGTGTGCTCTGATGGGGCTTTCTGACAGATGAGGCGCTGCTGCCCAAGGGCTGTCTGGCCTTGAGCCTCATCTGACCCTCGCTGGTCCCAGGGCGGCGGCGTGACCTGCCAGGTGATCCTAGCCGGGCATCTCTGAGGCATCAGGCTCTGAGGGAGCAGGGAACATACAGGGCTGGGCTGGGGGCTGCCCTCAGGGTGAGCTGGCTGAGGGCCTGGCTGAACCCAGCAGCTCCCCTTCCCCCAGCAGCAACGTCCACGCTTGCTCTGGCCTGGGTTTCTGCATTCTCGTGGGGAGCATGTGCAGGTGGCCAGCTCGTGTGTAGCTGGGGAGAGGAAACCCAGGGTTGGGGTGTGGGGAGCCCGCCTGCCCCACCATGAGCAGGGGCTCAGAAACTGTCACCAGAGGACTGGGGGGGCGGGGGTGGTCCTGGCCCTGATGCTGGCAAGGTGGACTGTGACAAGGGGCATGGCTTCCTCATGGTGACACGGTGCCGGTGCAGTGGGGTCCTGGGGAGGCCTTCTCGGAGGGGAGGGCAGGGGAGTGCGGGGGGGATGGGCACAGCAGGCCAAGGCCCAAGAACAGGAAAGAGCCCAGGAGGTGGGCATGGCCGGGCTCGCGGCTTCTCCCGAGGTCTGGCCCTGGGTGTTGTCCCACCCCCTCTGGACACCATGTGGCCTATGCTGAGCCTTGGGCCTGGCCGCCCCCCTGCCCAGAATCCCACCCTGGCCCCCACCACCTTCCCCTGCCCTGAGGGCTTCACACCTTCCTCTGCCCTGAGGGCTTCACACCTTCCCCTGCCCTGGGGGCTTCACACCCTCCCCTGCCCTGAGGGCTTCACACCTTCCCCTGCCCTGGGGGCTTCATATCTTCCCCTGCCCTGGGGGCTTCACACCTTCCCCTGCCCTGGGGGCTTCACCACAACCTCTGCTCCCATCCCCACACTGGGCCCTTGACTCCTGCCAAAACCAGCTCCTGGGACAGCCAGTCATCCCAGTCCGCACGGCAGCTCTGAGCATGCACCAAGGTGCCACCCCCTTGGCTGTACAGCCCCCCTACATCACCACAGCCACACCAGGGGCCACCACCCTCACAGGCCTCCCCCCCGAGCTGGTTCAGCCTGGGTGGAGCGGCCCCCAAGCAGCTGCATGCAGCGTCCCACGGGCCTCTCACCAGGAACCAGCCCCTCAGGACCCTCCATGTGGCTGAGACCCCACGGGGGCGGTGCTGGGAGCCCACCAGGGCAGGAAGGGGAGGGCCAGGCCAACCTTTTCCTCACCCCCTTCCCCTGGCCCTCACACCTCCTGTTCCCCCCACAGAGGCCCAGACAGTCCCTGGGCCCCTGGATGCGGCTGCGTGGTCTCCCTGCTCGGTGCCTGTGCCACTGAGGACCACAGGGTGTGAGGGCCAGAGCAGGCAGGGCAGAGTCCCGAGGCTACCCCATGCACCGAGCCTTGGCCCCAGCACCCGCCACACTCAGCCTGTGGGTTCCAAACCCTCCCTGGCGGCTGTGCCCCCAGAACCATCCCTTCACCTGTCCCTCCACCCTCACCCCACCCCACCCCAACCCAGGCTCCTTGAAGACTCATTTGAGGTCCACCCCCAGGAGCCCAGATGGTTTGAGATCCACCATAGTCAGGGCTCCTCTCAGCTGCCCCCCCAGCCAGCAAGAGGATGGGGGCGGCCTGCAGAGAGGCTGGGCCAGGAGGCGGCTGTGGGAGGCCCTGGGATGAGGAGGGGCGGCGGGCAGCCACAGCTGGGCGCACTGGTGGCCCCGTCTCCTGCAGGTACCTGGTGCTAGAACACGTGTCAGGTGGTGAGCTCTTCGACTACCTGGTGAAGAAGGGGAGGCTGACGCCTAAGGAGGCTCGGAAGTTCTTCCGGCAGATCATCTCTGCGCTGGACTTCTGCCACAGCCACTCCATATGGTGAGGCCCCACCCCTGGTGCCCCCCACTCCCCAGGGACCCCCACACCCAGTGCGCTACCACAGATGCCCCCTGTGCCCCAAGGACTACACCCCCTATGGTGCTATTCCGAGGTACACCATGCCCCCCATTAGCTGCCCCTCAAGTGCACCATCTCCTCCTCCCCATTAGCTGCCCCTCAAGTGCACTGTCCCCTCCATTAGCTACCCCTCAAGTGCACCGTCCCCCCATTAGCTGCCCCTCAAGTGCACCGTCCCCCCATAGCGGCCCCTCAAGTGCACCATCCCCCCCATTAACTACCCCTCAAGTGCACCGTCCCCCCCATTAGCGGCCCCTCAAGTGCACCCTCCCCCCCATTAGCTGCCCCTCAAGTGCACCATCCCCCCCATTAACTACCCCTCAAGTGCACCATCCCCCCCATTAGCGGCCCCTCAAGTGCACCGTGCCCCCCATTAGCTGCCCCTCAAGTGCACTGTCCCCCCATAGTGGCCCCTCAGGTGCACCGTCCCCCCCATTAGCTACTCCTCAAGTGCACCATCCCCTCCCCCCCATTAGCTACCCCTCAAGTGCACCGTCCACCCCATTAGCTACCCCTCAAGTGCACCGTCCACCCCATTAGCTACCCCTCAAGTGCACCGTCCCCCCATTAGCTACCCCTCAAGTGCACCATCCCCCTCATTAGCTACCCCTCAGGTGCATCATCCCCTCCTCATTAGCTGCCCCTCAAGTGCACCATCCCCCCCATTAGCTGCCCCTCAAGTGCACTGTCCCCCCATAGTGGCCCCTCAGGTGCACCGTCCCCCCCATTAGCTACTCCTCAAGTGCACCATCCCCTCCCCCCCATTAGCTACCCCTCAAGTGCACCGTCCACCCCATTAGCTACCCCTCAAGTGCACCGTCCACCCCATTAGCTACCCCTCAAGTGCACCGTCCCCCCATTAGCTACCCCTCAAGTGCACCATCCCCCTCATTAGCTACCCCTCAGGTGCATCATCCCCTCCTCATTAGCTGCCCCTCAAGTGCACCGTCCCCCCCATTAGCTACCCCTCAAGTGCACTGTCCCCCCCACCCCATTAGCTACCTCTCAAGTGCACCATGTGCACCAGGTGCTTCCCTTTTCCCCCTGAGGACCCCCTGCACCTCCCCTTTCCCGAGTGGGCAGTGTGTCGGGAAGTTTTCTGCCTGGCACCCACCCAAGCACTCTGGGAGCCCCTCGGCCTTTCCAGGGGCCATTGCTTGCATCCCTACGTGCCTGGGGGCCCTAGGTTGGTCTAGGCCAGAGCAGGTGTGCTAGGGAGCAGGAGGGGGCAGGAAGGAGCCTGCCAGGGTGCAGGAGGGCATGGCAGGAGAAACAGGGATGCCTGACCAAAGGCCAGAGCCAAACGGACCAGGCAGGCGACTTCTGATTGGCTGCCTATGACATCACCAGGCTGGGCTGCTATTGGCCCTTATGTGTGATTGGCGTTTGGAGAGGCAGTGGGCTCTGGGCAGGGGGTCTCCAGGGCGGGGAGGCGCTCAAGGCAGAGACTGGCCCTGTTCAGCCTCACCACCCTCCTCCCCAGCCACAGGGATCTGAAACCTGAAAACCTCCTGCTGGACGAGAAGAACAACATCCGCATCGCAGACTTTGGCATGGCGTCCCTGCAGGTTGGCGACAGCCTGTTGGAGACCAGCTGTGGGTACGTGGCCCTCTGCCCTGGAGAGAGGCTGGGGGACAGGCTGGGCTGGGGGAAGAGGAGCCAGTGGACTGAGAGGCCCCCAGCCTGCCTGAGCCTCCCGGCACCCCACAGGCAGGCCCCCCACAATGTGCCTGAGCCTCCCAGTACCCCACAGCCTGGTGGTGGTGGGGAGACAGGCCTCCCGGCACAGTAAGGGTAGGGGTACAGCCCTGGCCCTGGCCTGCCTGGGAGAGAGGCTGGGACCCACTTACATGCCCCTCTCCTGGGGACCCCCTGGCCCCTGCCCAGCCGAGTGGGCAGACAGCTTTGGGCGCAGCAGAGACCCAGTGCCCCACCTTGATCTCCTCCCAAAAGCCCGCCTGGGGATGCAGGGAATGTGGGGGCGTCTGGCACCACAGCCCTGGAGGCCTCCTTGAGGGCCCTGCGGTGCACCATCACCCTGGGGGGAGGGCCTGGCAGCGCCCGGAGCCCCGCCGCTGACCTCTGCCCTTGCCCGCAGGTCCCCCCACTACGCCTGCCCCGAGGTGATCCGGGTGAGTCAGCGCCGCCGCGTGCAGCTCTGTGGGGCCCAGGGTGGCGGGGACCTGACCCTGGTGGGACCCCAGCCTGCCGCACCCCCAGGTGCTGCTAGGCTGCCTGTCCCCGGGCCGACTCCCTCTGAGCCCAGGCCCTCCAAGGCCCCCGCCCTGCCCTGCGCCCCCCAACAGCCCGGGCACTGCTGTCCACAGGGGGAGAAGTATGACGGCCGGAAGGCGGACGTGTGGAGCTGCGGCGTCATCCTGTTCGCCTTGCTGGTGGTGAGACCCTGGCCCCCTCAACCCTGCCCTGGCCTCTCCCCAAACCTGCCCCCCCACGCTGACCCCCACACCCGGCCGCCCGCAGGGGGCTCTGCCCTTCGACGATGACAACTTGCGACAGCTGCTGGAGAAGGTGAAGCGGGGCGTGTTCCACATGCCGCACTTTATCCCGCCCGACTGCCAGAGTCTGCTACGGGGCATGATCGAGGTGGACGCCGCACGCCGCCTCACGGTGCGTGCCCTCGGAGCGGGGCGGCCCCAGAGCGTGGCGGGGGGGCGCGGGGGCGGGCGTGTGCCTGTGTGTGCACAGGTGTGTGCCCAGACGTGTGGGCACCCAGGTGTGTGGGTCGGTGCCCAGGTGTGTGGACGTGTGCACAGGTGTCGGCTTGTGTTCAGGTGTGGGTGACCAAATGTGGGCCCATGGCCGTGTGTGGGTGCCCAGGTGAGTGTTCAAGTGTGTGTGCGCACCCAGGTGTGGGAGTGCCCAGGCGTGTGTGGGCTCGTGTTCAGGTGTGTGGGTGCACAAATGTAGGCACATGCCCAGGTGTGTGTTCAAGGGTGTGGGGGTACCCAGGCACATGCCCAGGTTCATGTGATTGGGTGAGGGCGTAGGTGTGGGCATGTGCACGTGTGGGGAGGTGTGTCCAGGTGCTTATGAGCACTTGTACCAGTGTGGGGTGTGCACAGGTGTGGGGGGCTGTGTGCACATGTAGGTGAGACCTGGCTATAAGTTACACAAAAGCACTGGTGCTTCCCCATCACGGCCATCCTGCCTCCAGACGCTGCTGGGGCAAGCTCCAGGCAGCGTGAATAGTTCTGCTGAGTGCCCCCAGCAGCTGTGGGGGCTAGCAAGAGCCAAAGGTAGCCCCCAGCTGCTGGTCCTGACCTCCTCCAGGGCTGCCTGGTGTGGGGACCGCACGTGTCCACTTGACAGAAGCAGGTCACACTCTGGGCTGACCCTTCCAGGGTAGCGTTGACCTGTTCCCAAGTGGCCACTGCCTCACACCCCACGAGCTGTCCCTGAGTCAGGGTGGAGAGAAGGGGCCGTGTGGCTGGCCGGCCCTCCCAGCCTCCTGCCTGCACCTGCACCCAGCCCTGCCCCGCCGCACAGGTGGGCCGGGTTCTTCTGGCTTCAGCTCCCTCCTGGCTGCTCCCTGCTCTCCTGCCTTGGTTCCTTCCTAGAGCCACGGAGGGGCCCAGCCCAGGCAGCACAGGCACCTGGGGCTGCCCTGGCTCCAGCTTCCCTCCCTCCCCCTCTCCCTCCGCTCCCCAGGCCCCTGCCCCTACCTGGAGCACCCCCTCCGACTCCAGCTCCCCCGACTTCTCTCCTCCTTGAGGTGTGTGTTTTCTTCTCCACTTGGGAGAGGCAGGAGCAGGGGTGCTGGCCTTGAGCCTCTGGGAACGCAGCCCCCTCCCTATCTTCCTCCCCACCTTCCCCCCACTCACTTGCCCTCACCCTCTCCTGCTCTCTCCGTGCTCCCAGCGCCCCTGCCTTCCCCCTCACCTCCTAATGTGGGCTCTTTCCGTCCCTCGTCCGTACTAACTCCCTGTTTCTCTTTCCTTGTAGCTAGAGCACATTCAGAAACACATATGGTATATGTAAGTAGCTTTTCCACCCACTAATCGCCTGCTTTGCCTGTTGCTGTGGCCTGGAGGCCCTGCTAGGAAAGGCGGGGGGAGGGCGCCGGCCCAGCGCAGGTCCTGCCCTGCCTTGGCCCTCCGTGGCCTGCGCTGGGTGCGGGGTGCGGGCAGGACGCAGGAGGCCTCCCCGGGCTGGGCACAGGGAGAGTGGCAGGATGAAGGGCCCCAGGTGAGGGCGGGCGTCCCACCCTCGCAGCCGCCCAGGCCCGGCCGGAGCTGATGAGCGGGTGGCCCGTCCTGTGTCCACAGAGGGGGCAAGAATGAGCCCGAACCAGAGCAGCCCATTCCTCGCAAGGTGCAGATCCGCTCGCTGCCCAGCCTGGAGGACATCGACCCCGACGTGCTGGACAGCATGCACTCACTGGGCTGCTTCCGAGACCGCAACAAGCTGCTGCAGGACCTGCTGTCCGAGGAGTGCGTCTGGGGCTGCTCCCGGGTGGGGCACGGGGCCTGAGGTGGGAGCGCTGCCCCGGAGGAGCCGGCGGCCCCGTGTGCCAGCGCGTCTCGCGCCTCTCGCCCGCTGTAGGGAGAACCAGGAGAAGATGATTTACTTCCTCCTCCTGGACCGGAAAGAAAGGTACCCGAGCCAGGAGGATGAGGACCTGCCCCCCCGGAACGAGATAGGTATGGGTCCAGGGGTGGCCTCCAGCCCGGCCTGCACTGCCCCACCGGGGTCCGGGGGCTGTCTGGCCTGACCTTCGTCTGTACTCAGACCCTCCCCGGAAGCGTGTGGACTCCCCGATGCTGAACCGGCACGGCAAGCGGCGGCCAGAACGCAAATCCATGGAGGTGCTCAGCGTGACGGACGGCGGCTCCCCGGTGCCTGCGCGGCGGGCCATTGAGATGGCCCAGCACGGCCAGAGGTGTGTGTGCCCCGAGGCTGCTGGGCCTCCCTCCCTGGGCCCTGGCTGCGCGGCACTGCCGCCTGGCTCATCGCTACCCATTGGCCTGGGGTCTCGGCTGAGGCCATTGGGTGGGGCTGTATGGGCTAAACTGGGCTTAGCTGGGCTGGGCTGGGCTGGGCTTGGCTGGGCTGGGCTGGGCTTAGCTGGGCTGGGCTGGGCTGGGAGCTGAGCTGGGCTGGGCTGTGCTGGACTGGACTGGGCTAGGCTGAGCTGGGCTGGCCTGGGCTGGGCTGGGCTAGTTTGGGCTGGGCTAGACTGCACTTGGTTGAGCCGAGCTGGGCTGTACTGGACTGCGCGGCTGAGCAGGGTTGAGTTGAATTAGGGTGGGCGGGGCTGGGCTGAGCTGGGCTGAGCTGGGCTAGGCTGCACTAGAATGGGCTGAGACGGATTTGACTGGGCTGAGCTGGGCAGGGCTGGGCTGAGCTGGGCAGGGCTGGGCTGGGCTAAACTGGATTTGGCTGAGCCGAGCCAGGCTGGGCAGGGCTGAGCTGGGCTGGGCTGGCTTGACCCAAGCTTGGCTGGGCTGAGCTGTGATATGGTCACACCATGCTCAGAGCCATCAGCCCAGCAAGCCTGTCCCCCTGGTCCCAGCAATGCTGGGCCCGTCTCTGGGTGGCAAGTGTGGTGTGTGTGGCCAGGGACATCACAGAACTCAGCAGTGATGAGCAGACCCGTGGCCGGAGGAAGGGCACCCAGCCCCTCTGGAGCCTCTGCTGGGTGGGGGCAGGGCTGGGCTGCCCGCACGAGGCCCTCAGCAAATCCTTGGAGCCGGTGCGGCCTCTTGGGGATGAGCTCAAACGTCCCTCACCAGGTGGCAGCTTCCAACACTTGGGGACAGCCCTTGGGCCCAGGAGCACACCAGGAGGTCCAGGAGCCCGGGCAGCAGTCTCTGGTCTGCCCTGTGATCTGGGCCTCAGCACCCCAGGGCCCCCTCCTTGTACTGGAGATGTGGGGGGTGGGACAGGCGTGGCCTGTTCCTCGGGAACTTGGGGGAAGCTGTGGGGAACTGCAAGGTAGCTTGGCAGCCATCAGGCTAAACCTGTTCCAGCCCCAGCCCTGGCCAGAGTACTGGTGGTCCCAGTTCTGGCAGCTCCCAGGCCATGGCCCCCTGGGAGTCCTAGGCCCTCCCCAGGGTTTCAGGCTGGCCCAGCTTCCAACGTGGGGTCCCAGCCCCCAGAACCTCCTTCCCAGGGCCCAGTCAGCGCAGCCCTGACGCCAGTACTAGGGGGTAGCAAGGGGCCCTCCTATCTACATTCTACTGTCCTGACCTTCAGTGGCCTGCATGTCATGGGGGCACCACAACCTGTAGCCCAGGTGCCTGCCTCCTGCCTGCGTGGCCACCTCCCCGGACTCCCCGACCCTGCAGGGCAGGCCCCACCACCCCACTGCCTGGCCCCTCCGGTCAGCGGCGTGGGAGGCCGCCCTCTTGGCCTCTGCTGCAACTCCCAGGCCTGGCTGCCTGGGGCAGGTGTGGGATGGGCCAGGCCATGGACCATTCCGGGGCCTCTGGAAGGCCACTAGTCCTGGCATGTCCCAGCCAGATTCCACTCCTGGTGGGGCCACCTGTGCAGCCAGCAGAGACCCAGCTGCTTGGTGTTGGGCCACACAGGGCTGCTGACTGGGGACGCAGGGGTCCTGGGGGCTGGGGTGGGGGCTACCAGGCCACCCTGCCCAGCAGTCACACGGTGCGGGGTGTGCTGTCTGGCCCAGCCTCCTCTCTCGCCATCTTTGTGCAGCGGCCTCAGAGCCACGTGGAGTTCTTACCCGGTGTGGCCCGGGCCCTGGGGGCCGACCTGTGCCCGCGTGTGGCCGTCAGTAACTGTGTTTTCTCGCTCTGTTCTGCTGTAGTAAAGCAATGTTCAGTAAAAGCCTGGATATCGCTGAGGCCCATCCCCAATTCAGCAAAGAAGACAGGTATACACCCCGACCACCCGTCCCCGCACCTCCCAGCCCCAGACACGCTGTCCTGCCTCAGGCCGGGCAGGCACATGGGCGGGTCTGGTGGCGGGCTGGGCTGCAGGGCTCCTGCTGCGGTGAAGCCAGCCAGCAAGCCAGGCAAGGGCCCGCGGGCCAGGCAGAGGCCGAGGAGGGGTGGGGCTGCTGAGGCGTGGCCCACGCCTGCCTGTGAGGGACCACGCACCATGGCTTACAGGGCCTGGGGCTAGAGCCCGGCGTGGCTGCAGGCCGAGCCGCTCCTCCTGCCAGCCCCTGTGCTGTGTCCGGTGGGCCTCGGTGGCCCTGCTGCCCCTGGGGCCGGCCAGAGTTGAAGCCGAGCAGCCGTCCTGTGCCCACCTGCAGGAGCTGAGGAGGGCAGGAGGCGCCGCCGTCAAGAGGGGCCTCTACCTGGGGCCAGTTTTGCGAGCCTGGGCGGGTGGCGCCGCCCCCAAGGCTGCAGTGTGCTGGCTGCCGGTCGGGGTCCTTCTCTTTGAGCCCTGGCCCCGTGCCTACCTGGGACCCTCACCTGTGTGCCCTCACTCTGCCTGCCCTGGCTGCCCTCAGGGCTGGCGCCGTCTCTCCTGCCCCTGCCCCAGCAACTGTAGCTCAGTGTTCCCAGCAGCTGCCTGGCCGGATAGGACCAGGGCTCGGCCCCTCCACCCCGGGGTTTCCAGCGCCTCTTCTGTCTTCCTCGTGCCCAGTCACGAGCTCTGGGCGGGCTCGACAGGAACCACAGGTCCAGGGCCTCACTGGTGGCTGCTGCCCCCATGAGGGCTGTCCGCGCTCCCAGCTCAGCCCTGAAAGCTCTGGGTCCAGTTCCAGCCCTGGGTGTCATCCTGGCCCAGACAGGCTGGGTTGTGCATGGGGTCCCCGTCGCCTCCCTGCCCCTTGGCTGTGTCTGGTGAGGGAGTTGGAGGGTCGTCACCGTGGGGACCAGCCCCCGGGTGTCCGGGAGCCAGGTGTGTGGCCAGCGTGGCACTCTCCACGGTCCGGGGCCTGGGCCGTGGTGTGGACTAGCGAGGCCCCTCGTGGCCGGCTGGCGGTGGGCAGGCCTGGTGGGTAGTGCAGGCCGGGCTTTTACTCTTCTCTGTCCTCTTCTCTTCGGCGGCTGCCTCGGCCCCTCCCTGCATTTCCTTCCTCCAAGGATGGCAGCTGCCACTGTCTGGGCACGTGGGCGCCGGCTCGTCCGTGCAGTGTGGTGGAACGACGCACAGCCGTCCTGGTCCCTGCACGGGGGTGGCGGCCACACACCGGAGTCTCAGCCGGGCACGCCGGGCCAGGGCCTCCCTCCTGCTGTGTGCAGGTCTCAGGCTGAGTAGGGCAGTGGTGGGACAAGGCCCCACCGTCCCTGCCAGCAGCTGCCCCAGCCTGGCCCTGCCCAGGCCCTCCTGGTTGTGGACAAGGGAAGGGCCGGCCGCTGACCCAGGCATCCCTCACGGGCATCTAGGGACATGGAGGACCAGGCTGCAGGCCCTGTGAGAGCTCAGCCAGGGGGGGCTTGGCAGGTGGGAGGCTGGAGCCAGCACGAGGCCTGGAGCAGAAGGGGCTGCATACAGGAAGCTCCCGTCTGTCCCCTCGTCCTTCCGTCCACCCCCACGCTGGATGGTCCTTTGCCGCGGCTGTCTGATGCCGTATCCTGTGCTGTGCCTGGGCTGCTGGCATGGGGTGGCCCCCACACGTGGGCTCTGATGGGGGCCCCAGTGGGGCTGGGCACAGCCAGGCGCCCTGGGCCCTCCTGAATTGACAGGGTGTGCAGCAGGACCCAGGGCCTCGAGGCTCTTGGCCCGGGCTCCAGGCCTCCTGGAGGGTTTACCTGGGGGGAGCAGAGCCCAGCACCTGCTGCTCCACTGCCCCCTGGCTGAGCAGTGGCCCTGTACCTTGTGACCTCCAGGTCTCGGTCCATCAGCGGTGCCTCCTCAGGCCTTTCCACCAGCCCACTCAGCAGCCCCCGGGTGAGTGACCCCCCGCCCCCACCCAGCTCGGATGCACAGAGGCCCCAACCCTCCCAGTCAGCGTGTGCCAGGGTGGGGGCAGCCTCGCGGACCCTGGGAAGCAGCCCCAGGCGCCCCCCATGCCCACGCTCCTGTGGCGGCTGCTGCTCTGTGGCGCAGGCTGCTCTGCTAACTGCACGCTCTTTTGTTTTGTTTTGTTTGTTTTCTTGTGTGTCACTTCTTTTCTTTTGTGGCTAATCCTCCTGCCCATGCCTGCCTGCCTCCCCACCCTCCCGCTCCCGCCTGTTTCTTTCTGGTCCTCCTGTGCCGTGTGCATGCGGGGGACTGGGGTGCATGTGCCGCGCGGCTGCCCCCACCCCGCTCGCTCCCTGCGCCTCCCCGTAGCCTATTAGGAAGCTTGTCCTGCCCCCACCGCCCCCCGAGCCGCCCTTCGTGGCCCGCCCCCTGGCCACCTCCACGGAGCCCGAAGCTTGTGGGAGCGCCTCGAGGCCTGGACACGTCCTCCCTCTGCAGGCCGCCCTGCGGCCCGACCCCAAGACCCAGACCTTGCCGTGCAAGGCCAAGCTGACCGACAAGCCTCTGCAGGGCACCAAGTCCAACCCCTTCCCGGCCAGCACCCCAGCCCGGCCTCCCGCCACTGGCCTTTGTCCCCAGCTGGCACCACCCCTGGGCCCGCCTGCCCTGCGGGTGCCCCCCCGGCCCCCACCCGCCGGGATTGAACCAAACACCAAATCTGTCCCCACCATACAGGTGACCCCTCACCCCTCACCAAGGGGCAGTCCCCTCCCCACCCCCAAGGGGACACCTGTCCACACGCCAAAGGAGAGCCCGGCTGGCACGCCCAACCCCACGCCCCCGTCCAGCCCCAGCGTCGGAGGGGTGCCCTGGAGGGCGCGGCTCAACTCCATCAAGAACAGCTTTCTGGGCTCACCCCGCTTCCACCGCCGGAAACTGCAAGGTGAGTGTCTGCCCGGAGGCGCCAGAGTGGGGCTGGGAGAGAGCAGAGGCTGCCTTGGGGAGGGCCCCGCCCGGCAGTGCCAGACCAGTCCGAGGGGCCTGTAGCTGCAGGGGTGGCCTGGGCCTGCCCACGTCTCACTGTCCCGAAAGCGCCCAGCAGCAGCCTGTGTCCTACCTGTCGCACAGGCTGGTATCCCCTCCAGACATTCTGTGTTCCTGAGTCTACCCACTCTGTGTCCTGGGGCCAGGCACACAGCAAGGAGAGCTGGCCACCGAGGGGGCACTGCCAGTCAGGAGGCCCCATGTGTGGGGCACCAAGGGCCAGCCAGTGCTGCTGGAGAAGGCACAGCCGACTTCAGCACCAGAGGCGGGGACAGCTCCCCTTAGCCTGGGGGGCGCCACTGCCAGTGGGCCTCTAAGGTGGCCGGGAGCTGGGGTGGACCAGTGCCCCTGGGGGGGCTGTCCCAGTGTGTGTGGGTGGACTCCTGATGACCCTGACCTCGGCGCAAGGTGGCCAGGGCAGGGGAAGGATGGAGCGGTCACCACGCCTTTCCTCCTGTTCATCCTGTGTGCACAGTTCCGACGCCGGAGGAGATGTCCAACCTGACACCAGAGTCGTCCCCAGAGTAAGTGGCCCCTGCTGGAGGCCTCCTGGTACCTGACACCAGGCTGGCCGGGAGAGGGGCATGGAACCCTTCCCCTATGGCCAACGGGGTGCTCCTTCTCCACGTGGCCCCACCTCCCACTGCAGGCAGGCCCGTCTCGGCCACTGAGTCTCTGAAGTTCGAATTCCCGGCTGTGAGGGGAAGGCCAGCCAGGGGAGGAGCCCCCAGCCCTGTTGAGAAGCTTCAGGCCTTGGGAGAGCCTAGGGTTGGCTGGAGGCGAGCAGGGGGTACACTGGGCAGAGTCTCCCCAGGGCCTGAGCTCGCCAAGGGCAGAGACCGGGTCGCTCAGGTCTCAAGGAGAAAGCAGCCCGTGTTAAGAACAAAGGGGCAGCAGGCCTGGTGGGAACACGTGTGCAGGGGCGGAGCGGAGCAGCCAAGCCGAGGTCTGGCCCCGCCGCCTTTCTGAGCCGTGAGAGGTGCCACTGCAGAGACTCTACAGCGCCCAGGTGCTGAGATGCCCTGGGGGCCGCTGTGACTGGTGTCTGGACAAAGATGTCCCCAGAGAGACCCCTTCCCAGCGCCCAGGCCCTCTCCCTCCTCTCCACGATGGCCTCAGTCACTGGGCAGTGTCTCGGAGACCAGGCGACTGGCGGTGTACACATATGAGCCTGCAGCGTGACCCCAGGCCAGGCAGCGGCAGAGAGCGGCGGTCAGGCTGGAGTCACTTCACAGGAGACCCCGGGAAATGAAGATGTGGCCAGCTGTGGACTGAGTAAGACGAGAACCTTCGTCCTGCTGCTGGCTTTAAACCAGGGGCCCCTGTGGAAACTGCTCAGTGCTAAGCCCCAGGAGCAGCATCTGCAGCCTGTGCCAGGATTCCACCCAGTGGCCTTTCTGCGCCGATCAGGTGGCCCTTCCAGCTGGGTGCCCAGGTCGGAGGTGTGTAGGTATTGTCGCAAGCCCAGATGCACAGGGCTCAGCAGACTTGGGAACCTTCCGCCTAGGCCCTGACATTGCCGTTTCTGCTGCTACCAAAAGCTTTCATGAACAGACTCATAATTATCTTCCTCAGAGAAGGTGGAAAACATCAAAGCCGAGAAGGTGGCTTTGATGCCACTGTGGCTGCCTGCGCTTCTCCCCTCCCCCATCTTGAGATGGCCTGGAGGCCCTGACCCCTCTCAAGGGTCCGGCACGGATGCCTCCCACAGCCCCACCCAAGGGCCCGGCACAGACACCCCTTCCCAAGGGTCCAGCACAGATGCCTCCTACAGCTCCACCCAAGGGCCCGGCACAGATGCCTGCGACAGCCGTTCCCGAGGGTCCAGCACAGACACCTCCCACAGCCCCACCCAAGGGCCCGGCACAGATGCCTGTGACAGCCCTTATTGAGGGTCCTGCACAGACGCCTTGGACGAGGGTCCAGCACGGATGCCTCCCACAGTCCCTCTTTGGCGACAACTCGCTTGCTGGGGACCTGAGATAACCCCCAGCCCCAGCTGCTGCCAGCCCCATGTCAACCAGGCACCCCAGAGGAACAGCACCAAGGGAGGCAGCTGGCTTCAGGAAGGGATGCATGCGGTTGTCTGGGACACTCAGGGCTGATGTCCTTGAGTCTGAAGTGCTAGCTGGAAGCCCAGGCAGTTTCCAGGTTGCAGCCTCGAGGGGCGTTCTTTCCCCAGGAAGACCGAACCTGGCGGATGCACCCACCCTGTGAGGAAGGGTCCCCCGCCAGACTCAACAGGCGACTGATTTAAGTTCGTCTCATCTAAAAATAGCTTCATAGCAACACCCAGACTAGTGTCCGGCCAGGCTGTGCACTGCCCACCACGTGGGTGCTGGAGTCACAGTGCAGGCCCCTCACCCCTCGTCGGCCTGGCCTCCCTGGGCCGTCAGGCATCTTTCACACATGGGACTATTTTTGCCAAATGCTGCACCCCTGGGCCGCAAAGCAGAGAGTCACGTTTGTACCATCTGTCCTGTCTCTTCATCGGGCAGAACATCGACCATGTAGAAACTCACCTGTGCTTCCAGAACTGCCAGGCTGCTTTGTGCACTTCCTGGCTCCAGGCCCTGGCATGGGGCTGGGGTAAGGTCAGGGCCAGTGGTGGCCCTCGGAGTTTTGAACCCAGAACAGACAGCCGCCGAGACCGGCAGGACACTGAGGAGGCGTCGAGGGGCTGAGTGAGGGTTGGACCTGGTCCCCGTGCTTGTCCGGCAGGACTCCCAGGCCGCACAGTGGCCGAGGAGGCAGCTCCAGGAATGGGCAAGGGAAAGGGGAGTTGTGAGGCCGCTGGGAGGGGCCTCAGAATCAGTCGGGAGAGGGCACCACTGAGCCCCAGCCCTGCTGGCCCCTCCTCCCGGTCCCTGCCTCTGCCTCTCAGCACACCTGGTTCCACCTCCAGGCAGCAACGGCAGGGGACGCCAGCAGAGCGTGCCACCTCTGAACAGCCACCCAGGCGCGCTCTGCCTGAGTCTCGGGCTGTGCTAGAGGCGCCTCTGGCCATGGTCCTCTCACGGCTGGGCTTCCTGGCCCCCGCGCTGGTGGGTGGGGTTCGGGTGCTCTTGAGCTGGAGAGCAGAGGGCCTCTGCATGTTGGGGTGAGCCTGCCAGCAAGACAGGAGTAGCCTTCTGTGGCCTCAGAAGCGCCTCCCCACTCTCCTGTTGGAAGCGAGTTGCAGGCCCCGCCTGCTCCTGGGGGTGGGGGGCACAGCTGACTTCAGGAGCCCAGCTTGAGCCACCTCTCACAGCGGCCTTGGTGAGGGGGGGCTCACCTGTGGGGGGCTCACCTGTGGAGGGGCATCCCCAGACTTGGGAGTGGGTGGCATATGGGCCAGGGTCAGGGCGTTAGGGCTTGGAGAAAGGTTAGGGTTGGGGTTGGGGTTAGAGCCACGGTGATGGTCAGGGCATATGGGCTAGGGTTAGGGCGTTGGGGTCAGGGCCATGGGTTCTGGCTAGCACTGTGGAGACAGCCGTTTCTATCACGAAGCGATGGAAGATTCCGCCGTTCCAACCCCAGATTCGAGGGAGGCAGGGGTGTGGACGGTGCCACACCTCAATCCTCACAGCCTCTGTCTCCCACTGCCCAGGCTGGCGAAGAAGTCCTGGTTTGGGAACTTCATCAGCCTGGAGAAGGAGGAGCAGATCTTCGTGGTCATCAAAGACAAACCTCTGAGCTCCATCAAGGCTGACATCGTGCACGCCTTCCTGTCGGTGAGGCCACAGGGCGCTGGGGGAGGCGGGCAGCCCTCCCAACCCCACACGGCCCAGCCCCGAGAATCCAGCCTCCTCACGTAGACAGGACATGTCCACGCGCACAGCACGGACGTCCGCTCACCCGTGGGCCTGCCTGGCCGCCTTCACTGGACAGGCGCTCTCTCCTGCCCACCCTCGTGAGGGAGGGGTCACTGCCCATCTGGGGTGCTTGGCCTGCGGAGGGAGTCAGGGCTTTGCTCACTGGTCCCCAGCAGCCCTAGGTGTGTGCCGGACAGGCCTGGGCAGCTGGCACGTGGGGCAGAAGGAAGGCTCCAGCTGGGTGGGTCTCAGAGGGGGACATTTCCATCAGACTCGGGGAGAAGCCCTTGTGAGGCCATGGCCCTAGGGACCGGTGGGGCTCTGCTGGCCCTCAGTGGACAGCCCCAGCCCTCAGGTGTCTCAGTTTCCCTGGTCTCACCCTGCCCTCGGAGGCCGGGTGGCTCTCCACAGAGTGGTCGCGCTCGGGGTCTTGGGTGGGCTTCATTTGTCTTTGCTGGGCATCTTTGGGTTAGGAGGAGCAGAAAGGCCCTAAAAGCCTCAAATGGAGAAAGTTTATTGCCAGGACTCCAGCACCCAGTCCCATCAGGACGCCCCTTCCTTGCCGGCCCTGCCCCACCCTGTGCTGCACCCAGCGCCCAGGCATCACAGGGGCTGCCCCCCACCCGCCTCCCCCACCGCCCCCAGCCTGCCTCCCCAGGGCTGCTGTCCTGCCCTGTGCTCACCACTGCCCGGGCGCCCTCCCTGGCCCCAGGGTCTTGGCAAGATCAGGCCGTGGTTCGCTTCGGCAGCCTCTCTAGCTAGGGACTGGCCCCCACCCCACCATATGCTCTGCCCCCGGGCACTCAGGCCACTGCTGCCCTGGCTGCAGCTGAGCTTCCCTTACGCTGTGGGGACAGCTTGGAGCCCCTGCAGAAGGCTCCAGGGCCAGGAGAGCCCAGCGCTGGGCAGGGCAGGCCTCAGACTGCACTTGGACCCTGGCCTCAGGGGTCCTCAGCGTCCCCGTCCCCGTCCCCACAGGCTGCTCACTTCCTCGGCCTCCTCCCTCACCACATCCCTTCATGCTGCCCCTGGTTGCCACGGCTAACCTCAGACTCAGCCCCTCCCCATGCCGGCCCCAGTGAGGCGGCTGTGTGCCAGCCTGGGCCCTGTGCGCTGGGTGGCCCTGAGTTCTGCTTCCTGCAGCTGCCCCCTCGGTACTGTGAAGCCCACCCAGCCAGTGCCCAGCACCATAGGTCCCGCAACCAGTGGGAGTCCCAGGAAGCCCCAGCAGGAGGGCACAGCCCCAGCCCCGCCCTTGCACCTCCCTCTCAGTGGCAGCTCCCAGACCCCCCACCTCCCACTCAGCTCCACCCTGGACCCCCACCTCAGGCTGCAGGGGTCACCTTCCACCTCCATCTTTGCCCTTAAGGCTCCTCTGTAAGGTCCTGGTCATCCTGTGCTGTGGCTGCCTGAGAAAAGCCCGGCAGGGGCTTAGCTGTGCCCGCTAAGTGGACCAAAGCTTTGGAGGGTGGGGGCTGGAAACGCCCCTCCCCCTGCTCCAGCCGTCTCCAACCGCACTGTGCCCCTCACGGAAGCAGAGGTGCCTGGGTGCTCACAATGTGTGCACGGTGGGGCTGGCTCGCCCCAGGGCTGCCTCCCCAGAGGGCCAGGGTGGGACCTGCCAGGCCAGCCACGCTCACGCTGCTCTCTCTCCACAGATTCCCAGTCTCAGCCACAGCGTCATCTCCCAAACGAGCTTCCGGGCCGAGTACAAGGCCACGGGGGGGCCAGCCGTGTTCCAGAAGCCGGTCAAGTTCCAGGTTGATATCACCTACACGGAGGGTGGGGAGGCGCAGAAGGAGAACGGCATCTACTCCGTCACCTTCACCCTGCTCTCAGGTGAGCTGGCGCCCCCAGGGCGGCTCCGGGCCCAGGCCCGTCCAGGGCATAACCCCCTGTCTCCCCTAGGCCCCAGCCGTCGCTTCAAGAGGGTGGTGGAGACCATCCAGGCCCAGCTGCTGAGCACACACGACCCGCCTGCGGCCCAGCACTTGTCAGGTGAGGCGGGCTCAGCTCCGGCCAACCTGCGGCCTGCGAGTGGGGCGTGGCCAGCTGGTGCTGCGCGGACGGGAGGCGTGAGGACCCGGGCGCAGCCTCCTGGCCCCTCTTGACGGACGCCCCCACCTCCCTGCCCCGAGCTGTGGCTGCACCCCTCAGGGAGCAGAGCCCCTCCCTGGCCTGGCGGGACCACCCGCCTCGCCTCTGCACGCCAGGGACATAGGGCGCAGCCGCACCACACTGAAAGGCGCCTCTTGTCCACCGTAGAACCCCCCCCACCAGCGCCAGGACTAAGCTGGGGTGCTGGGCTTAAGGGCCAGAAGGTGGCCACCAGCTACGAGAGTAGCCTCTGACGCTGGCAGGTAAGGCGCCCGGCCTGTGCTGGGGCGGGGAGGGGCTGCGGGCAGGTCCTCGGCGGAGCCAGGCTGGCCCTGAGCAGGGCCCTCCATGCCCACCCACAGGTCTCGGCCCTGGACAGGCCAAGCATGCCCCGGGCGGCCCATCTGCTAGGGCAGCCTGCACAGGACCTGGGAGAGCAGTGACAAGGCCCTGCCCTCGGGACTCCCCGCCATGGCACCCTAGGAGGGCCGCGGGCTGCCTGACGGGCTGTGACTTCTCATCTCTCCATACTTCCTGACAGCCCAGGGTCATGCCTCCAGCAGGGCAGAGGGGCTTGAGCCCAGCCAGAGCGGGGGCTTCACCACAGCCTGATGGGCTCACACAGGGGAGGGTTGCCCCAGCCTGGAACCACCAGGGTCTAGGACCCGAGGGTCCGTGCCACTCGGCATACGGCAGGGAGGGCTCCCCCCACTCCCCTGGGCCCATGTGTGGTGGGGGCAGGGCGGAGCACTGGGCACATGCATGGGCCTGGTCTGTCAGCAAGGGGGTGTGGGTGTGCCTCTGAACGCTGGTACGGCGTGGGGGCGCTGGGCGTCGTGGGGGAGCACCCGGCTGGACCCTGGGGGTCCCCTCTCCCAGCCTGCATCTCAGCAGCTCCGTGGCATGCTAGGGTCACCTCCTGTGTTTCCATGTGGGGTCCTGGAAGCCAAAGAGGGCCCCACTGCCCCTCCCCATGACATCCTCATTCCATCATCATGCCATCACCTGTGGGAGCCCCCCCAGAGTGTGCTTCACCTTGCTGCGGGCTGGGGGCTGAGGTCCCCAACAGCCCTGGCCCTAACCGAAGCCCCAGTGGGTGGAGGAGTAGCCCCCTTCTCCTGATTTTGGGAGCCAGGCTGGCACAGCGGGTAAGGAGGAGCAGGGTTCCAGGTGCTCGGCCCCGCAGGTACACGTGGCGCTTCCCTACAGCGGAGGCCATGCCGTCGGCCGGCAGCAGCCTCTGGCTCTCTGAGCCTTGAAAGCCTTCATCTTAGGAAGGGAAACCGAGGCCAGGGAACGACAGGGCAGCCACCTAGGCCAGGGATGGACAGGGCTTGTCTGGTAGGGCAAGCAGAAACGGGCCCCGGGGTACTGCCCAGGGTGTCCCCGCACCTGAGCAGCCATCTGGGTGCCTCAGTCGAGCGCTCCTGCGTGGGCTGTAGGCAAAGCTCCCCCAGCCTGGCCCCTTAAAGTGTGGTACCGCCTGTCAGCACGCAGCACTCCCCTGGAGCCAACTCCAAGCCCCTCTCCATTCCTGCCCCGGACCCTGACCTCAGTGGAGCCCACTGCAGAGGCTCTTGGGGGTCTATTCTGGGCCCCATCTATCTCCCTGTGGACTTGGGGAGCCCAGCCTATCCCCGTGATCTCGCTACGCCCAGCCCTTCCCAGCCCTGCCCCCCTCCCACACTGGATGCTTTTGTCCAGTGAGCCCAGCTCCAAGGATGTGTGGAAGGTGGCTAGCCAGCAGGGGGCCTCCTCAGACACTGCCCACCCCCCCAGAGACTGCGGCCGAGGGAGGGGAGGCTGAGAGCCCCCAGTGAGCAGGCACAGGCAGACCAGGGCGTGTGTCCACCCTGTGCAGGCGCCAGTGAGGGCCTTGAGGGAGTAGCCCCTCCCAGGGCCTTGCTCCCACCCCAGTCCTGGACTGGCAGCACCAACATCCCCAGGCCCAGCAGTAGGGAAGAGGGCCGAGGAAGAGGGTGCCTGCCTTGAGTTGAAGGGCAGCCGGAAGCCACAGGGCCCTGGAGCTGCTGAGTGGCACAGTGAGGATGCAGGCCACGGCCAGGGCAGAGTTGTCAGCCCAGGGGAGGGGCTAGGCCCACCCAGGGCACCGGCCATATCCAGGCTCAGGCTCAGGCTGCTGGAGGTCCGGCTGCTGCCCAGGTGGCTCCGCCTTGTTCCCTGCCTCCGCAGCCCCGCCTCACTCCAGGCCCTGCCCCTGCACTGCCCCTTATAAGCCCCGCCCCCTCTGGCTCTGGCCCCCCCAGTATTCCCCACCCATGCCTCTGGGGCCCTACCCACTCCTGGCTCCACCCCCTCCCCATCGAGGCTGTGGGCGTCCAGCCAGAAGGCCCAGGACAGCCTTTCACTCACTCCCTCCCTCCTCTCTCCATTCTGTACTCCAGACACCACTAACTGTATGGAAATGATGACGGGGCGGCTTTCCAAATGTGGTAAGAATCCCCCACGCTCACCTGGCACCTCCACCTGCCACTTCACCGCTCACCCTCAGCCCGCTGTGGCCGCCACCTGCCGCCCGGGTTGTCCCGGCCTCCCTGTGTAGATGTAGGCACCCAGCAGCCCAGATGTCCCCGGCCCCATCCTCTACCAGGAGCAGCCCAGGTCGCTCCCCTACCACAGCAAGCCCAGGCGGGGTTCCTGGCCAGACTCACCTCTGCCAGGCCCTAGGATCAGGGCAGGCCCAAGAAGGGGCTCCCAAGGCCTGAAGCCAGTGAGGGTCCCGCTGGTCCCACTGGTGCAGGCTGTGGCCTAGGGGAGGGGCCGGTGCCCATCCCTCTGTCCACTGGAGGCTGTGCCTGGCAGGGAGCGGAGGGGCCCACAGCTCAGGGCTCAGGTGGGGGTTAGGCTTAGGAAGTGGGATTGAGGGGCCTCCATCGACACACCTGGGCAGTGAGCACAGGGCCCCAAGAAGGGTGGGCTCCCCATTTCCGCCCCTCTTCTCAGGACTGCCCCCATCCCAGGGACCCGGGACATGACTCTAGCTGCTTGCCCCCAGCCCCCCAGCCTGCCTCCCACATCCACCCCTCCATGCTTGTCCACCCATCTGTTCATCTGTCTGTCTGCTGCTAAACTGTGTCCAAGCTGGCCAGGGGTCGGGCTTCAGGCCTCTCTGGGGAGGTGTGGTGGGCACACCCTCTCCCTGTCATCCACTGGGCCTCATGCAGTGGGGCCAGCAGCTGCCCCCAGGGTCCTGCGAGGCTTCAGAGCTCCCAGCAGGCCCTTGTCTTTACGCTGTCATCTCCGGCGTTGGGGTGGGTCGGCCCTCACGGCTGCAAGGTGGGGAGGGAAGGGGGGTGGGGCAGGGCCTTCCGGGCCAGGCCTTGGTGGGGAGGGAGGGGTCTCACCACCTGCCCCGAGCCTCGCTTCGCCAAAGGAGCACTGGGTCCTGCGCAACAGCTCGGAGGCGCTGGGGTCCTAAGTTCCTGGCCCCACGGCGCACAGCTTCCCCACCGCACAGCCCCCAGCGTACAGGGCCCCTGCCGGCCGCCGCCTGCCCACCCTGCTTGCCGCCCACCGGTCCCCGCTCGGCCCCATCTCAGCCTCATCTCTGGGTTCTTTCCCTCGTCGAGGCCTCTTCGTTCATTTGTTTGTTTGTTCTCTTTCTCTCTCCTTCCCTCCCCTCCTCTTTCTCTCCCCCTTTTTTTTCTTTTTTCCTTTTTTTTTTTTTTTTTGTCTCTGTTCTGTGTACCCAGGCAGCCCATTGAGTAACTTCTTTGACGTAATTAAACAACTTTTTTCAGACGAGAAGAACGGGCAGGCGGCCCAGGCCCCCAGCACGCCCGCCAAGCGGAGTGCCCACGGCCCACTCGGTGACTCCGCGGCCGCTGGCCCTGGCCCCGGAGGGGACGCCGAGTACCCAACGGGCAAGGACACGGCCAAGATGGGCCCGCCCACCGCCCGCCGCGAGCAGCCTTAGACACACTAGCCCCCCCCCCCAGCACAGCACTGACAGCGGCTGCCTCGCCGCCCGCCGCCCGCCCTGCCCCGAGTGGACCCGCGGCCGCGCCGCCCGTCCGTCCAGACTGTTCTCAGAGCCTGGGAGGAAAGGAAAGGGGCGTTGGGGCCGGCCTGTGGGCTGCGCCACCCGCGCCCGCTCTCTTTTCTCTCTGTCTCTGCCTCTGCCTGTCTCTGACAGCATCGCTTGTTTCCACTCTGATACCAGGAATTATCCCGAAAAGTTAACATGTCACCTCCACGAGGCCATCCTCTGTGACCGAAGGCAGCTGCTGCGGACCCGCCCTCCCTCCGCTCCTGCTGTTGCTGCCGGGCAGTGAGGCCCAGCCCAGCGCCCCGTCCACCCCGCGGCAGCTCCTCGCCTCAGCTCCGCACGGCCCGTGGGAGGAAGGCCAGGCTCGGGGGAGCCTCCTCCAGCCCGGCCGACCCGGACTCCCGGTCACCTGACCCCTCAGCAAGAACAGCCTGCCTGGTGGCCTTCTGGGGCCAGGACCCCTGGTGGGCAACGTAGCCACAGGAACAGGCCCCGTCCACCGCCTCCACGCCGCACCTGGAGGCCTCCTCGCAGGCCCGTGCCCCGCCTCCCTGGCTGCGCCGCCTCCGTGTAGTCTTGGCCTCCTCAGGCTGCCTCCCGTCCTCTCGTCTCACCCGCGCCTCCCTTGCCTCATCTGGGGCGGCTGTGGGCTCTGGCGCTCCTCTCTGGCTGAGGTGGAAACAGAGACACCCTGCGGCACCAGAGCCTTCCCAGCAGGCCAGGCCGCTGGGCTGGGATCAGTGTTATTTATTTGCCGTTTTAATTTATGGATTCTCCGCACCTCTGTTCAGGGAAGGGCGGCGGCCACATCCCCTGCCGTCTGCGTGTCTCAGGCAGTGGGGGGGCTGGGGCCAGGGCGCCCTCTGAGGACAGAGCTGGTGGGGCGCGGGGGGGCTGGCGAGCTACTGTAAACTTTAAAGAATTCCTGCAAGATATTTTTATAAACTTTTTTTTCTTGGTGGTTTTTGGAAAAGGGTGTGGGGGTGGGGGCGCCGCTGGGGCAGGGCCAGGTTTTGTGTTTTAGTCCCTTGCTCCTGCTTCTTTCTACACACACATCTAAAGACGGTGCGGCTCGCTCTGTCATGGGTTCCGTCTCTCTGTGGAGAAGCAGCTCCACCTCTGGGGGGGCTCGGGGCAGAGGGGCGGTGTCTTGTAGCGGGCGGCAGCGCCAGCGCCCCTCTGTCAGGCTGGGGCAATCTTGGTTTTGTGTCCAAAGGTGAAGGGGTAGGAGGAGGGCCCTCAGCTGGCCCTCCCCACACACAGGACGGCAGGGGCACTGTGAGGCTTTTCTTATTAAAATGAAAAAATTGAAAAAAAAGGACAAAGAGTCGGTGGCGCTCCTCTGCAGGGCGTTCTGTGCAGAGCGAGGCCCAGGGCGCAGCCCTCAGAGGGCTGCAGGCCCACCCTGCCCAGTGCCCGCCGCCGTGCTTCACCCCAGCTCCAGCTTCTGTGTTCCCTTCCGCCCATGTGCCCAGCCCTCCCAGGCGGGCACAGCCCGGGTGCGGCGGCCGTGGGGGACGGCGGGTCTGATGCATGCCTCTGCCATGGAGTCGTCTGTCTGCTTCGGTGCCTGCCCCTGCCTCCCACCCACCTCGTGTATAGATTTTAACGCTTCTGTTAACATTAGACCTCTGCCACAGGCTGGGATTTCTATACATAAGAACAAAAGCAAACACCTAGGACAGCAAACGCCAGGCGGTACAGGCGGGAAGGGGCTCTCCACGGAGATCGAGGACACGAAGCAAACTGCCTCTTGCTTGCCTTCCCCTTTTGTGCTTCGGACACACGCGGACTCCAGCAGGCGCCACGGAAATGGGCAAGCCCCTGCAGTGTACCCCTGTCATAACTGTGAGCAGCTGCAGCTCCGGAACAATAAATCCCTTCCGCAAAGACAGCGACGCAGGTCTTCATCTGGGCAGGGCGGGCGCGCAGGGCTCTGTGACAGCCCGGGACAGCTTCTTGTTCCCCACTTGCAGCCCCTGGGCTGCGCCAGTGTGAATGCAGCTACCCTCTGCCCAGCTGAAGAGGGTGAGATTCCGGGCGGCCAAGGTCAGAGGTCACTTCCGATGTGTGGGGCCATCCCCCGAGGCTGCCCCAGCCTGAGGCGGGCTCCCGTTGAGGGCCAGGGCCTGGGCGGAGCTCTCTTTGCACGGCACCTCTGCCACCCCACAAGGCCTGCACGGCCACCCAGGGCCTGGGCCTTTTCCTGGAGAATGAGCCTTCTTCCCACTCCTTACTTGGGAAGGGTCCGGATAGGGTGCCATGACCCAGCCTTGGGAGTGAGGGGCCCAGGCTGAGCACAGCCCCTGGAGCTAGAGCGGGGATGGTCCCAGCCATACCTGCCACAGAGGGCAGCCAGGGCCGTGGGCTCCACTGGCACGACGCCCTGGCCCAGCTGCCCCTCTGCCGCCGCAGCAGAAGGGCAAGTCCAGGCCCATGCTGTGTGAGGCCAGTGGCCGGGAGTCCACCGCGGCCTGGAGGAGGCCAGCAGCAGGCCTCAGCAGGGTCCACGCAGAGACTGCGGCGTCCACAGAGCTGCCCTGGGAGGCCCACGCACACTTCCCTCCCACGTGAAGGACTCAGATGCGCCGGACTGCACCCAGCTGTCTATCATTGGAGCAGGTGCTAAGCACATGGCTGAGGGGGGAGATGATGATGGGGTGGGGGCCACATCCCTGGTCTCAGCCCAACAGAAGCTAGTAGCTGTCCCACCTCCATTGTGACAAAACGTCCCCAGACATTGCCATGAGTCTCCTGGTAGGGGACAGAATCACCCCCAGGTGAGAGCCACTGCCCTGAACTTCAAGCTGTGCCTGTACCCATCTCTCTGGAGGGAGCCAGGGGGTCACCATGTTAGTCAGGCTTAGTTAGCTCAGGGCTCCGCTCAGAGCCCAGGACACAGAGGGAAGCTGAGCCGTCCTCTGTTTGACCCTGGACTGCCAAGTGGCTGAGCTCACAGGAGGTTGGTACCCTGAAGAGAAGGCACTTGGGAGGGGCCCAGGGAATCAGGATCCATTCCAATCCCTGGATTACAGTTTCCCAGTTCATTTTACCTTAAGAAACAGGCTGAGGAAAGGAATTTGGCTGCTACGGTTCAGTGAGGCACAGGACAGTCTGTGGGGTCGCAGGCTACTGGCCCTGGACCGGAAGCCTTCCTGACCTGTGGTCCTGCACCTGCTTCTCTGAGAGCGGCTGACACACGCACTCCTGGCCCTCCTCTAAACATTCACGGTGAGAAGTCAGCCTTCTCAGGCCCATGACTGGAGGCCCAAAAGGAAACAGTGTGTCAAGAGTCCTGCCAGCTCCCCACTGCTCAGGAAGGGGCTGTGTCCTGCAGTCCCACTTCTGACACCAAGCTCTCTTGGTTGTAAGTAACAGAACCCAAAGCGAGCTAAGCCAGAATCTGCTGGTTTATATAAAAAATGAAAACAAATATGGCAGGACTTCTGATGTGGCAGACACTAGTCTCACTTTACACCAGTCGGTCCTCACATCATTTCTATGAAGAAATTAAAATGGAGATTGAAAAAGGATGTGGTGGCCGGTCTGCCCACCTAGAGGATGGCTTCACAGTCCTGGTCCTCAGTTCCCAGGTGGCTAATCCGACGGACACATCTGGGCTCAGAGCCTGCCACGGCCTGGCCTGAGAGCTAGGGCCCTGGTGAACGAGCCGACTGGTGAGCCCACCCATGGGATGGCAGGTGGGTGGCGGGGGACGACAGTCTGACCCACCTCCTGTACAGGATGCAGGTGGGAGGTGGGTGCTCCAGGGAGGGGCCCTGCACACAGCAGTCCAGGCCTAGGTCTGCTCCATGGGGAGCCTGCCCTGGGCTTTTCCGTCAGCTGAAGGCAGAGGCACAGAGCCCCAGCCTCCTAAGCTATAAGATGGAACAATTCCTGGTGTCACAAAGCCTCAGAGCTTGCAGGAGGCTGATGCCCGCATGCCAGCTTCAAGGTGGGGCGTTCCAGCTGCCCTGCTCCCATCCCGCCAGGGAGCTCACCACAGGTGGACTGGCCCTGCCTCCCCGTCCTGCCTGCCTCCTGCCCTCCAGTGGTGTGGTGCCCAGGCCCTCTGCCCTAAGTCCAGTGCCTCCCCACTCACTCCAGTGACTTCTCCCCATCCCACCCCAACTCCCTACCACCAACCCAAGTCTCTTGGTGTGATCTGGCAAGGGGTCGGGGTCAGCAGAGAGCCAGAGAGGAGGAGGCCAGCAACAGGAGGGAGAACCAGTGGCGACTTTCCAGGCAGCGGGGCCTGCTGGAGAGCGGGCAGGGCTGACAGACGTGCAGGGAACACTACCCGGGGAGCCACGTTCGTGCCAGCCAGACTGGCACAGTCTACACTGTGGGTCTCATGCCGGGGAGTTGGGCCCTCTTGTGCACCTGCCCCCAGGACCCTGTAAGAACGCCTTGGCCTGCTTGGTAGATGCATTGTCTCCTGTGGTTTCCTATCACCGCCATAGTTACCGCAAAGTAAGAAGCTTAAAACACCAATACCTCACAGTCCCAGAGTCAAGGACTGGGCAGGTCTCACTCAAGGGGTGCCCTGGTCTAGAATCAAGGTGTGCTCCTCCTGGAGGCTCCAGGGGAGGACCTGTGGCCGCCTGCATCCCGTGGCCTGGGGTCTCCACCTTCGCAGCCAGGAGCGTGGGTGGAGCCTCCTCACAGCTGTGTCCTGCGCATCCCAACCTGCGTCCAGCTTCCACGATGAAGGCCTCGTGCTCTCACTGGGCCCAGACCATCTCTGCCTCTCAAGGTCAGCTGATTGCCTTAATCCCATCGCTGCTTTCATTCCCCTTTGCTGCTGGGTGGCACGTTCACTTCCATGGGACTAGATGTGGACATCACCAGTGGTAAGGGATGTCTCAGGCCGAACGCAGTACCCTCCCACTCCCGCTGCTTCACACCCATCCCACGTGCAAATGCATCCCTCCCCTCACGGCCCCAACAGTCTCCACCAAACACAGCACCCAGTCCAGTCCCAAACCTCACGTACAGCTCATCAGCTCACAAGTCGCAAGTCGCACCCTCTAAGCTACCCCGATCAGGTATGGGTGACACTCTGGGCATTCCACCCTGGGGCAGTTTCCTCTCCATCTGTGGACCCCGAAAGCTAGAAAACCAGTTACCTGCTCCCAAAATACGACCAGAGAACAGACGCGGAATGCCAGTCACAGACACTCCTGTTTTCAAGGAAAGTTTGGCTGGGTGTGACGGTCCAGCACTTTGGGAGGCTGAGACAGAAAGGATCACCTGAGTCCAGGGGTTCAAGACCAGCCTGGGTAGTGAAACTTCAACTCTACAAAATATTTCAAAATCAGCCGGGCGTGGTGGCTCGCACCTGTGGTGCTGGCTACTCAGGAGTCTGAAGGGGGAGGACCCCTTGAGCCCGGAAGTCTGAGGCTGCAGTGAGCTAGGATTACCCAGCACTCCAGTTTGGGTGACGGTGAAACCCAGTCATTTATATGTGCATACACACACACACACACGTGACACACAGAGAAAGCTGCAAGGTGCTTGTGTCGCTGCTCCCAAGAAATCCAAAATCCAGCTGGGTACACTTCCTCCGTCCCAGCAAGGCCTGGGAACTCCTTCTGTGGGTCCCAACTCTGCCTCTGTGCTGACACCTCCACCCTCAGGGCCATGCTCTCTATTTATGAAACGTAGCAAGTGTTTGCAGCTGAACAGTTTAGTCTGCTTCCTGCCTGCTGATTTTTGGGGCTCAAGAGCCTTTCATCACATCCCCTCTGCCTCAGTCCAAGCCAGCTGAGTTTCTGATGGTTTAAGAGCCTCTCGTGGTTCCCACAGGGCTTCACCGGATCCGTAAGACCCAAGGCTCGTCCACAGACCCAAGGCTCGTCCACAGACCTCCCACAGCGGTCCCTGCTTTGAGCATCTGCTTGGGTGACCCGGGGCATCCACCAGCCACAGGCTCGCCCTCCTCCAGGAGCTCTTGGTGTGGCCGTTACTCTGAGCACACATTCCTGACAGTGAATCTCCTGACATCAGCATCTTCAGCTGAGAATTCCCGATGGCAGGGTGCTCACCCCTCTGCTAATGTCCTTCTCTCACTTAGTGGCCAACCTGAGCAGCGCAAGGGGCCCAGGCTGACCACCCTCGAGTGCTGCCCGCACGTGGCAACGGGACAGAGTGCAGCTGCACCTCTGCCCCCATGGACGGGGCTCTCCCTGGCTCCCGTTCTTTCCTTTCCCTCTGAGCTCCCACCTGCACCTTTAACCCCACATGTCCGAGGACGGGCGGGTCAGAGGGGCTCTGACTCTTCTCAGAGCCCAGGCTGGTTCCTCCGAGCCCCTCGAGCCCCGCTCGCCTCCATCCTTCTACCACCTGTTTAACAACATCACGGGCTTTTTCTATCACCCTCAAAATTCTTTCAGCCCAATTCCAAAGCCACTTCCACCTTTCTAGGTATTTGCTACAGCAGTGCCTCATGCCTAGAACCAAAATCTGCCTTCATCTCCTGTTGCTGCAGTTGCCATGAACTTCGTGGCTGGAGGCAAAATGAACTTACCTCAAACGGACCTCACCGGGCTAGTCTGCAGGGCCAGTTCTTTCTGGGTGCCTTCCTTTCCCAGCTTCTAGGAGCTGCCTGCACTGCTGACTCAGGCCCTTCCCACGCCGCGCTGTCTTCCTCCGCTGCCTCCCTGCTCAGTGCCCTTGGCTCTCCTGACAACACTGGGCCCATCCAGATAACCTCCCCTTCCTCAGGTCAGTGACCGGGAACCTGATTCCATCTGCAGCTTCCATCCTGCTGTGCTATCTAAGGAGACAGTCTCTTAGGATTAGGACACGGATCTCTTTTGGAGACCATCATTCTGCCTTTCAGAACACAGACCATAGATAGAGACTTAGTGAGCCATGGCTGCAGCTGGGGGCGAGGCTGAGCCCTCAACACTGAGACCCCCCTCAGTGTACAGGCCTCCTGTTCACGGAGGGAAACGGAGGCAGAGGCAGGAAGGCTTGACCAGGACTCCAGGTCTTACAGCAAGAACCCATCCCAGTGGAGGACAGCGCACAGCACAGTCCCCTCAGCCCAGGAGAGGGACAGGTCCACCAGACAATGGCCTAGCAGCAGGCGCCCCCAACGCCCAGCGCCAGCCCTCATCCCAGGCACCCTTCCCAAAGGAACTCATGCCCGCGACTCCCACGTGCCCTGGGGACCCTGCAGCTGCATCCTGAGTGTGAGACCGGCACGAATGCGCGCCCTGGACACCTCCTAAGGCCGTCCCACGGGCTCCACACACGCTCCATCTGAGGCTGCCTTGGAGGCTCTGGCTGGAATCCCGGTGTCCTCCTAGCCCCTTCAGCCCCAGTGGAGCTGGCCCCCAGCCCCCTGTGCCCTACAGCACTCTCAGTCCAATCTTCCACCCAGCCTCCGCTCGGCAGCCAGGCCCCAGGTTCGCCAGCACACAGCGACCCAGGCTGTGTGCCAGGCTGGCTCCCTGTGGCCTCAGCCAGGAGCTCCCTGCACACCCTAGACGGGGCCTCAGCCAGAGGGTGGCCCCACCAGGCCACCCGCCCCTGTTCTTGCCCTCCCTCGCCGGGGGACCTCCTTGCTACCTAGGCCAGCGCCGGTCCCTGCCTCAGGTTCCTACGCTCAGCCCCTTCAGTCAAGTTCTGTGGGTGTCCTGGGGCCTCCACTCTGGGGGTCCACGCAGAGCATCAGAAGACAAGGGTGGGTGGCACCCAGCAGGCCTCTCTCTGGGAACTGGGTTTGGCTCCAGGCACTGACTCACCATGCAGCCCAGGGTCACGGAGTCAGTGCGGGCCCTCGTGGGGAGGTGGCGGACCAGGCGGTGAAGGCCTTAGGGTACGCGTGGATGTCGGAGGAGACGCCCCCAGCTGACTCCAGACATGTTCTGAGAAGCCCAGAGGCTGTCAGCTCTCGGGGTGGGAGGCAGAGACAGGGCAGGGGAAGGGCCTCTGACCTGCAGCTCGATCCCTGGGAAAGCCAAGAAGGGGCCTGTTGGCCACAGGTGCATCATGCAGGCTGAGCCCGAGGCCAGGGGAGCACCACGACCTGGGCAGGCCCCCCTAGCTAAGGGGGATGGGGGGGGGGCGGACTGCCCGAGGTCACTGTGC
Organism: Homo sapiens; assembly: GCF_000001405.40. Lineage (NCBI taxonomy): Eukaryota > Metazoa > Chordata > Mammalia > Primates > Hominidae > Homo > Homo sapiens. Next base: position 203,162 of record NW_025791792.1, read on the forward strand.
AGCAGGCGCCATCGGCAGGAGCCCACAGTCCTGAAGTCTGAACCAACTAGGCCCTGACCCTGGAAGCCCTCTCTTCCCGCTTCTCAGCCCACTCAGGTCCTGATAAGCTCCAGGCTTCAGCTTAGGGCCCCTCTCCCTGCAGCACGTGCCCACCCACTCCCAGGCTGAGGACACAAACCTGCTTGCCCCTGGGCCACGCTGTCCCGGCCAGGAATGGCCCCTGCGGCAGAGCCACTGTTTCAGGCTGGCCCAGAGCCCTTCGGAGAAGATGTCTCCAGCTTACTGCAGCCACATTTGAGGGTCCCCGCCACCAGCACGGGGAGAGGCAGGGGGCTGAGGCAGCTGGGAAGAGCGAGTGACACAGGGTATGTGCTGCCCCCACGGCACCTGCAGGCTGGCTGTGGACCCTCGCAGGCAGTGAGGGGCGAGTCTGCTCCAACCCCCACTCTCGGGGCAGCCTCCGGGGTGCCTGCTCCTGGGGCTGCCCACCAAGCAAGTGGCCGGGATGCCCACAGTGTGGGGGGGGGGCGGTCACCGAGACGCTGAGACGTACACAGGCTCTGACCTGAGAGAATTCTTTTTATTACGAGTGAACAGATGAACTAAGGTAAGCGGGTCTCAGCCTTCCGCTGGTGCAGCATCTCCACGCAGGGCCTCAGCCCCGTCCTGGCCTTGCCTGAGGACTGCACCATGGGTGTTCCTTGGGCATGGAGGAGGCAGCAGGAAGGGGTGACAGGAGCAGGAGCAGGTGCAGGGCACCTCACACCACAGGCCTCCCCCACCTCTGAGCTGCCAACAGCCAAGACTCCTGGCGAGGCCGGGAGAGGAGGGGTGAGAGGGAAGGAGGGTCTCTGTGAAAGCAAGCCCCACCCCCAGAGCAGAGCAGAGACCCAGGTCTGCAAATCACACCCTCCCCCCACGAGTTCCTCCTTTGAGGCCAGCAGCACCCGAGGGAGGGCAGGGGCTGCACGGAGACCAGAGAAAGGAAAACCCCACAGAAGAAAACTCAAAGCATCAGTCCCATGCGTGTCTGCTGAACGAGTGAATGGGCCCAAAGGCTCTTCTCTACAAACGGCACGCATCCATCCGACAGGGGGCCACAGGACACGGCCGGGGCCGTCTGCGTCTGTGCCTGTGCAGCCCACACCAGTGCAGCCCGGGGCCCTCTCAGACCTCACCACACGCGTGCCCAGCACATGTGTGCACACGCAGATGCAGGAGAGAACACACACCACCGTCTCTTTGCACACGTGTGCCCCTGTCCGGCCCGGGGGGCTCATCTCTCCTTCACGTGGTTCTGTGCTCCCGGGCCCCCGCTGCCGGCCCCATCCCCACTGCCCCCACTGTGGACCCCGCCGGCCCCGCTGCATAGCACCTCGGTGAGGTCGTCCATGATGGCGGTCTCTTTGGGGTCCAGCAGGTTGAACTCCCGAGCAAAGAGGATGAAGTGGACGTAGAGCGTGTTCAAGTGTCCGTGCAGCTCCAGGGCCAGCGTCTCCTTGAAGTGGGCCCAGTAGATGTGTGCCAGCACGTGGAACAGGTGTCTGCAGATCTTCCTCACCAGGGACTCAAAGGAGCTGGGGAATTCTCTGCCTGGGGAAGGCCACCGTGTCACAAGCTGCAGACATCCCTTGGCCCCAACAGAGGCCAGGCCCCTGGCACCCAGCCTGGTGGGTCTGGTACCTGCCACCCACACCTTGACCCTGCCACCCTCAGGGCCTACAAAGCCCCAGCAGCAACAGCTTCTGCCCATCAGCAGGCACCACAGGGACTTGCCAACCCCGGGTCTGGGCTGCTGAGACCTCCCTGCGTGCTCAGGCTCCGGAGGCTGCACCTGCCCTGAGGGCTGGGAGCTCGTTGGGCCATCCTGGCCACCTCCTCAGGAAGGGGCCTGTGATCGGGCACTCGGGCCCCCGTGGTGTCTCCCTGATGGACACTTGGGGCCATCTCCCGGGCCAGGACGGAGGTGGCGATGGTGGCACAGGCCTCTCCTGTTGTCCCCTGCCGTCCCTCTGGCAGCACGGGAGTGGCGTGGAGCCCCACCACATCCCACCAAAATCTGGACACAGGCTTGGCGGCTGATACCCAGCCCAAGTGCCCACAAGCTGGACGGTGAGAGCAGCATGAGCGGCAGAAACCAAGAGGGGCCCAGTGCAGCCGCATGGCCCAGAGGGCCAGGGAGATGGCCCTTGGCCCTGGCTGGGCTGACCCCTGCCCAAGGGCTCCGGCCTCACCCCACAGCCCAGGTGGCTCCATGCTAAGCAGGGACTGGGGTGGTGCAGCTGCCGCCCTCCGTGCCTCTGCCCCTCCCGGCACAGGAGCTTGGTCACTTGCAGACACGTCCTGAATGCTCCCTGCCCCACTGTGAGGATGACCGCCCAGTGCTGGGGGAGACGAACCGTATTTTGTGGGGAACACGTCCTCATCCGTCACCAGCTTCTGCACGGAGCTCATGACGAAGTCAACGTACTGTGGGGCCGTGCACTTGACCTTCTTCCCCCGCTCGTCATACCAGTAGTACTGTCTGTGGAGACAGAGACACGGTCAGGGCATGCGCCCGCTGCACACCCACCCAGCCACTGGGTCCCACCCGCTCAGGTCATCTGCGGGCAGAGGTGGCGCCAGCAGCGGAGGTGTGGCAGACCCAGGTGTCTCCCTCCCTGGACATGCACACTGTCCCCACACACTGTCTGCGGGGACCACACTGCACTCTATGGAGGGGTCTGCCTGCGCTGACTTAGAACTACGCCAGGATCACGCTGGGGAGCCTGCCAGCCACATGGCTGTACAGGTGTGTGATTAAATGAAGGGGTCATCTTCGTTTTCTCCGCTTCTACATGGCTTCAGTTGTATTCGTTTACACAAGTGCGTGCTGCTGTTTTTCTGTTGTATTTTGAAAGCACACAGAGGCTCCTTCTCTTCCCAGGAAGCTGTGCTGTGGCTCGCCGGCCAGGCCCCACCCTTTGGGAGAGCCCTGCTCTGACTGCTAGAAGCCAAGCCCCTCTCCGGGGAAAGCAGAGGAGGGCGGTGGTCTCTGTGGGTACCTGCGGCTAACAGCCTGGCCAGGACAGGGACCTGGCCCCCTCTTGCCCCTGTACACAAGGGCGGCCAGTCCTCATGTGAGACTCGTGGCCCCAGAGCAGGCTGGAGCATCCTAGGGACATGGACACCCTGGGTTTGCCTCTTACTGTTGGGTCCAGCCATGACAAGGGTGTGCTCTAGTTCATGTTAATATAAGGTGACCCCCAGCCCCTAACACCCCTCCTCCCCCAGCACAACACCAAAACCCAGGGCACCCACCTGGCAGCCACCACCCCTCTCCCCCTGCCACGGTGCTGGGTCTCAGTCCTCCAAGGCCATGCCCACAGCGGCCGCCCCCGCAGGCCTGAACCAGGGCATGCTGGGGCCGATGCCGCAGCCCCACCCACAGGCAGTGGAGAGTGCTGTGGTGGGAGTGCTCACACCTGAGACACAGCCAACACTATGGGTCGGGATTTCCTCCCTGAGAGCCAGCTCCCAGCTCACCACAGGTGGGAATGGGCCACACAGCACAGAGCAGTACTGGCCACTGAGCAAACGCCCCCTCCACACCATGGCCACAACCACCATCGCCTCCACTGCCCCAGCTAGACCAACAGGCAGTCTGCCAGTACCAGGCTCCACATGAACCGCTCCCACCCTCCTCATCCAGTCACGGTTCCTCTTGGAATGGCCCTGGGTGGGGCAGTGCTGAAAAGGATGGACCCAGGCTCCACTCTGGAGGCCACTCTTCTCTTGGCCAGCTCCAAGCATCGTGCCCTGGGTTCCAGAGCCCACCAAGGCACCTGGGGAGACGCCCCAAGGGCTGAGACAGGGCCACGGGGGGCTCGCCCACTTCCTGCGCAGCCAGAGAAGCCATCCTCCCAGCTGGGCACAGGGCCTCCAGTGTCTCCGGGCACAGGGCCTCCAGCGTCTCCGGGCACAGGGCCTCCAGCATCTCTGGGCACAGGGCCTCCAGCGTCTCTGGGCACCCCTCTGCTGTGTCCAAGAAGCCCCTCAGCCTGTGCACTGCAGATCCCGGGGGGAGTCACCAGAGTTACCAAGAAGCTAGAGGATGACACTGCAAGCCCTGCATGCTGGCACCCTGCCCTCTGCAACAGAAACAGCCATCAGGCCACCTCCCAGCACCACCAGGGCCCTAGGACAACCCCCTCCCAGCACCCACCTCCAGAATGCAAACCAGGAGCTCTCATGTGTGCCCTGTGCGGGGCTGACTCAGCCCACCCGAAGGGGAAGTGCAGCCCCAAAATGGACAGGCCATGAGGACGGGGATGCAGTGCCCACACCTGCCTCTCAGGTGCTGTCCTCCCCCTGGGACAGCTCTGCATGACCTTCACGCCCACCTTCCCAGGCTGCAGGCCTCACCGTGGGCATCGCCACCAGGCTGTCAGACCCTCTGAGAATGCAGAGACAACAGTCCTTTCAGCATCTGCTCCTCGAGAATGATGTAGAGGACGCACGTATCCCCACTGTCCTGGGGTTCCCAGATGGTGTAGGGGAGGCCCAGCCCCTAAGGGCCAGGCTGAGGCCCATGTTTCCAGGGCGAGGACCCAGCCAGGATGGCTCAGCACTCTGCAGGAGTCAGACACTGGCTCCAGGTACCCTGACACTGCAAGCTGACATCTGATGCACCTGGCCACAGGTGTGCGACAGGTCTCAAAACAGTGGAGGTTAGAGACGGAAACCCTTTTCCACAATGCAAACCCAGAGAAAGCAGTAACTCAGGGACACTGTGGATTGTCCCATCTGTTCTGAAAGATGGAACACCACTGTTTCCTGTACTTCTTCAATTATCAGTAAACCGTTTCTGGTATATAGTTCTAAGATTTTTATCCACATGTGGACTCACGCATTCATAACCACAATCAGGACACGCGGCGGCTTACGTGGCCCCTCACACCCGTGCTGCTGTGCCCCCAGCACCCCGGGGATGGCTCCTCAGGGATGGGCCGCGGGAAGGAATCGCACCGCGCGGATCCTCCCGATCTGGGCCCCTCTTGCACGGAGGCCCCTGGGATGCAGTCACGTGGCAGACGTGTCGGAAGTCCACGGCTCCTCACTGCCCAGACACTGCCCCTGCAGAGATGGACATGGCGTGCTCATCTATTCACCTGTGTCCCTGCCAGCAGAACAGAGTCCCAGGTGGCCACATCCTGGCCAGCACCAGTGTCCCGACCGGCATGTGGGCAGGTGGACATGGGTCTGCCCATGGTTTCGGCTTGCCTTTCTCTAATTGCTAACAACACAGGATAGCCCCAGCTGCCATCCTTACACCCTCTTTGGCAAACTGTCTGCTCATTTCTTTTGCTGACAGTTAACTGGACTGTTTTGTTTTCTTACTGCTGAGTTGTGTATGTTCTTTATGTATTCTGGATATCAGTCCTTTGTGGGATGTGTGATTTGCAAATGTTTTCTCTCCCAGCCTGGAGTTTGTCTTCTTTCTCTTAAAAGTGTCTTGAAGCAAAAGTTCTGAATTTTGCTGCCTAGTGTCAGGTCATAAGGATTTCCTATGGTTTCTTCCAAAAGCTTTGGAGTTTTAGATGTTTGCACGAGGCATGAGGGATAGGTCAGCGTTTGGTTTTTGACACAAATGACTGCTTTTCCCAGCAGCATTTTTGAACAGACTACCCTTTCTCCCTTGAATTTATTTTGCTCTTTGTCAAAACTCTGATGGCCCCGTTTGTGTGGGTCTATCTCCGGACTCTCCATCCACACGTTTGTGTGGGGCTGTCTCCGGACTCTCCATCCACACGTTTGTGTGGGTCTATCTCCGGACTCTCCATCCACACGTTTGTGTGGGGCTGTCTCCGGACTCTCCGTCCACACGTTTGTGTGGGGCTATCTCTGGACTCTACTGTGTTCCATGGAGCTCTGTATCCATTCCTTCAACACTGCACACTGTCTTAATTACTAGAGTTTCACAGTAAGTCTCAAAAGTGTGAGATTCCTCTTATTTTTTCAAAATCATTGTAGCTATTTCAGTTAATTTGTCCCTCCATATAAATTTTAGAACTAACTGGTCTATACTTGAACTCTGCTGGGATTTGGATTGAGACTGCACTAAATCAACAGATCAGTTTGGGGGAGAATTTGTGTTTGGAGTCATCTTCCAGGTGATAAACGCAGTGCGTCTCTCCATTTATGTAGACCTTCGATTTTCTGTAACAGCATTTCGTAGTTTCCAGGGTGCAGATCCTGGGAATGTCTTGTTAAGTTTATAACTAAGGATCGCATTATTTTTGGAGCTATTATAAATGGCATGTTAAATATTAATTTCAGTTTTAAATTTCACATTGCTAATATACAGACCTATGACTGATTTGTGCGTGTTGACCTCACTAAATTTATATTATTATTTGCTACAATCCTTGAGGTTTTCCCAATCACACGTGTGCACAGGGATACAGCAATCCCCCCCATCCACAGGGGATGCACTGCAAGACCCCCAGGGGATGCCTGAAGCCACAGAGAGCACCAAACCCTATATATGCTGCGCTTTCTCCTATACATACATTACTAAAATAAAGACAGGCAGACTTGATTGATTGACTGAGATAGGGTCTCGCTGTGTTGCTAAGTTAGTCTCGAACTCCTGAAGTGATCCACCGCCTCAGCCTCCTGAGTAGCCAGGATTACAGGTGTGAGCCACCACACCCAGTGTAATTCATAAACTGAGGACAATCAGTTGCAGTGAGTGGCTGGGGTCGCATATCAGGGGGTCCCTTGCTGGCCTCCTGCAGGCTCAATGGCAACACGCTGCTGCTCCCATCCTCTCACCTCCTCCACCCACAGATCCAAGTACTCAACACGCACTGTGGCTGTCACTTTTGCAATTTCAGATGTAACAGCGAAATTAAAGGGACTTTTTTTCCCTTTTTCACAATTTCATAAAGAAGAGATTTGTTCTTACCTTAGATCTTAGCAACCTCACACACAATCTGTTTCTTTCTAGTCAGGAACTTTCACCTTTTCATCTTTAGGTCAAGGAAGTGCTTTCTGTCTTCTCTTTGGCATATCTGAATTGCCAGCATCACGCTCTTGCGCTTTGGGCCGCCTCATGTCACATAAGAGCAACCTGAGCACGAGCACCCTGGCACTGCGGCAGTGGATCCACACGGGGGCCGAGGCACAGCTGGGCCGAGGGAGGAGGAGGCACACCTGGAGCAGGACGGTGGAGACCGCATCACACTGCTCAGAACAGCATGCAGTTGAAAACTTATTAACTGTTTATTTCGGGAATTTTCCATTAACTATTTTCAGACCATAGTTGACTGTGGGTAACGGAAACTGTAGATAAGGGGGGCTTATTGTTTTATTTCTTTTCCAATTTGGATGCCTTTTATTCTTTCTTCTTACCTTATGGCACTGCCTATCTTAGGCGAGTTCTGATATACTGCGCTTTCCAAAGAGTTGGTCCATTTAACCCAAGCCATAGAATTCATGTGCACAGAGGGTTTTTTTCCAATACTTCCTTATTATCCTTTTAACATCCACTGGGTCTACAGTGATACTCCTCTTTACATCCACAGGGTTTAGTGACACTCACTCCTTTTTATTGATCATTGCATCTTCTCTCTTATCTTTGTACCTACTAAAGGCTTACCAATTTATTACCTTTCAAAGTCATCACATTTTGATTTCACTCATTTCCCCTATTGTTTTAAAAATCAATCTCAGTGCTTTCTGTTCTTATTTACTTTCTTGTCCTTGATTTTGACTTATTTTGCTCTTTTTCTAGTTTAAGTTGGAAACGTAGATTACTGAAAGTCATCTTCTTTTTCTAAGAAAGCATTAATCCTATAAATCCCCTCTAGGCACTGCTTGAGTTATGTCTCACAAATTCTGACATGCTGTATTTTCCTGTGTACAGTTTGTTAAAGTTTTTTTGTTGAGGCATCCTCTCGGACCCATGGACTACTCAGAATTGTATTAGTCTGCAAGTGTTTGGAGACTTTCCTGTTCTCTGTTACTGATTTCTAATTTAACCCCACCATGGTCAGAAAACTTACTTCGTATGGTTTTGATTTTTTAAAATTTGTTAAGGGCTCTTTTGTGACAGGTATGCTCCATCTTGGTGGCTAATCTTTGTGAAGTTGAAAAGATGGGTGTTCTGCTGTTGAGGCTGCAGTGCATGTGTCATTTCAATCCAACCCACGGGTGGGGTCATCGGGCTCCGTGCTCTCGCTGACTGTCTATGAGGCTCCATCACTGAGGAGAGGGCTGCAATCCCCGGCGATCATGTGATTTCTACACAGGCCGTCCGTTTGCTTTGTGTGGAAAGCCCTGTTGTCTGGCGCACACACATTTATGGCAGGATTTCTTCAAGAGCTGCTCCTTTTCTAATTAGATAACCTTCTTATTCCTGGTCACTTCCTTCCTCGGAGTCTCCTTTGGCACTGACATAGCCACTTCCGCTTCCTTCTGATGGGTGTTTTCTCAGCACATCTTGTCCTCTTACTTCTCACCCGCCTGCACCACAGCACCTAGAGTGGTGTGACACACAGGGTGCTTATGCCCCACATTCCTATGTTGAAAGCTTAACCCCAGACGCAAGGGTATCTGGAGATGGGGCCTTTGGGAGGCGATGAGGTTGCAAGGGTAGAACGCTCATGAACAGAACTGGTGGCTCCGTCGCCCTGCCTTCCTTCCAGCAAGAAGGTGCTGTCTGTGGACCAGGAAAGGGACCCTCACCAGACACTGAATCTGGCTAATCAGATCCAGTGACGTGGTCAGTGCCCCCTTCCTGGTCCACAGTGGATCTTCACCTTGGACTTTCAGCTTCCAGAACCGCAAGAAATAAGATTCTGTTGTTCACAAGCCACCTAGCCTATCATGTTTCGTGACAGCATCCCGAATGAAATACAACAAATGAGCTTCTTGTAAACACCAGAGAGTTGGTTATTTTAAAAATACATTCTCATAAGCTGCCCAGTCCCGTCTGTTCATCTGTTAGCATTTAGGTTTTCCACTATTTGCTGTTTGTTGCCTCTGTTTCTCATTCCTTATGGTATTTCTTCTTTCCTGCTTTCTCTTGGGCCACTGAAATGTTTTTGTATTTCATTTAAATTTACCTATTCTGATTCTGACTGCGTCTCTTCACATAAGCTCTGCAAGGCCTGCTCAAAGGGCTGTAACACGCAACTCAACCCCACATGCTCTCCATGGCACCCACACATGTGCTTCCACTGGAGCATAGCAGCTCTCTTGCCCACAGCCCCACCGCCGCCAGGCCCCACAGCCGCCACAGCCCCACCGCCACCACAGGCCCCACGGCCGCCCTGGAAATGGCACTGCACAGGCCCCACGGCCGCCCTGGGAACGGCACTGCACAGGCACTGCCGGACACTACTCTTGTCTTCTTGCACCATCACTGGCGTCTCCACAAACACTCAGTGGGAGGAGGCCCTCCTGTTGGGAGAACTCTGCAGGGAGCCTCTGGAACAGGTCTGCTGGCTGTGAGGGCTCTTGGTTTTGAGTGACTTTGGACACTGACTGGATGTGGAATTCTGGGATGACCTTTCTTTTCTCCCAGCACTGGAAGATGTGTGGGGCTTCCTTCTTCCTTCTGGCCTCCTGGGTTTCTAAAAGTGCCACGGTCATTCACTGCGGCATCTGTTGTCAGTACCAGGCCACCGCCGTCTGACTGCTGACAGAGGATGGCTGCCAAGGGCTTTTTCTTTGCCCCCAGTTCTCAGCATTTGGTTGCATGCATCTGCACGTGTCTGTGAGCCTTATTTGGGGTTTGCTTAGCTTCTTAAGTCTGCAGGTTTGTGTCTTTGTGGGAAGTTCTCAGCCATTATTGCTGCAATGTGTTTCCGGCCCCGCCCCCTTTCTCGTCTCCCTAGGAGTCAGACATCAGCCTTTTTGGGACTGTCCTACAGGCCCTAGCAGGGAGGAGACGCGCCTCAATCCCAGAGCCCTCACACGACCCAGGCAGACTTGCTGGTCTTTTGGGTGGCAAGTGGCCCTGAGGCCCTCTGAGAAGTCTCCATGTTTCTCTTAGTTTGAGTGGATTTCTGTCCCTTGGTTTGAAAGGATTCCTGGAAAGGCATTACATGCAATTAATTCACACACATCTACTACCACCATGATGCCAGCTCCAGATGAGAAGGACCAAGAGGCAAATCTGGGTGGCCTAGGCCCTCCAAGGGGACATAGGTCTGCCCAACACCACATCCTACACTCCTCCAAGGACCCCTTTTCCAAACCAACCCAGTACCACAGAACATGCAGGAGCAGAGCCTCTGGGAAGGGTGCCAGGCCCCGTCTGCCCAGGAGCAGAGGCGCTGAGCCAGCACTTGGCCACAGGTGGCTCCAGAGCCACAGTGGACACAAGGCTCTCGAGTAGCTCTCGGGTGCTGCCCTGCCACCTCAGGACCCATCTCCATGCCTGATCCATGGAGGCCACCGCCGTCTCACATTGAGCTTGCTCCCCTCAAAGCCATAAGCACTGTCCCCATCTTCCTGGGCCATGCCTGGCTGTGACACCTCATTTTCCTGGGGAATTAAGACAGTGAAGCCAGCTGTTGTCTGTACCTGCCCCGGTGTCACCCATAACCAAACCAAGCTGTGACCCATCATGGCCATGAGGGCAGGGCCCAGCAGGACTGAAGCCAAGGGGACGCCTGCCAGCTGCCTGTGCAGAAGCTCCCCTTGGCTTCTTGAAGGCAGAACTCAGCTTTGTCTGGGGACCACGTCTCCCTGTGCCAGGGCCAGGAAAGCCATGTCTGTGGGCAGGATGACTTTCAGGACGCACTCACAGGCACACATTCTGTCCCTGACCTGTGTGCACTGACAACAACGGGACATCAGGGAAAAGCTTCCGCCCTCCTCAGCCGCACATGTCCCAGGCTAAGCCCAGCAGACCCAGCCTCCTCCTGCCTGCAGCCTCCAAGGCTGCTTTCAGCAACCCAGGCCTGGCGGCGCTCCTTCCCATGCTACGCAAGTGAGGTGCTCAGGGCCACTAACGGACACCCATTTACTGAGGAAATCAGGGTGCAGTGCTTCCAGGAGAGAGCTACCAGCACCAGGCATGTTGGATGGTCACGGAGAAGGTAACTGAGCCCCCATGAAATGAATGGCCGAGCAAGGACCTGTGGCCTGCCCAGCCCAGCCCTCACTGTCCCATCCAGAGCTGTCACGGGAGCCAGCGGAGAAGGGCTCTCTGCAATCTTAGGGCATTCCTTCTGGAAACGTCTCTGTCCCTAGAAACATAGCCCATCAACCCCCACCAGCTCCTGCACCTTCTGGGCCCCACTGGGGACCTGGGTAGCTGGGCCACTGGCCCAGCCTGTGGCCTTTCCACAGGAAGGTGGATGTTGTGGAAGGCCTGTGCCAAGACTTCTCAGGGTCTCCAGGTGAGAACGGAATCTGAGAGGACAGGAGCCTGGGGCAGCGGGGGCTCAGAGCCCCACCGAGTCTCCCAAGAGAAAGTGGGCTGTAGCCAGGCAGCACTCACGTGTTGCACACGGCCATCGTCTGACACGTCTCTCCTGTGCAGAACTCGGAGATGGTGCTATACTGCAGGTTGATGTGGTGGAAAAACGTCGTGGCTGGAAGAGAAGAGAAGGAGCCAGATGTGAAAAACGCCAGAGCTGAGCCGCCCCGTCCACCCCTGCTTCCAGCAACAGGTGCAGGAGCTCGGCTGGGTGAGCTCTGCCCGTCCACGGGCCACATTCTCCCCTCGCGGCAGGGGGCTGCTGAGCACCAGCCGTGGGGGTCCCCCTTGAGGAGGGGCTTCGAGGAGGAGCAGGGAGGAGGGAGGGGGCCCGCCCCCAGGCCCCCGCGCACTGTTGCTGGCCAGCCACTCGTTAAGGTCAATCTCGCGGGGCAGCACCACCAGCTCCTTGAACTGGAAGTCGGTGATCCTGGCCTTGGTGTGCTCAGGCTCCAGGTAGGCCTTCCTCTCCTCCGCAGCGGGCTTCTTGCCATTAGGCTTGGCTTTGGACTTCCTGCCAAGAGAGGAGACGCGGTGTGGTCACTACACGCCCATCAGACCCAGGGTCTGCCCGGGGGGTCAGTTGTGGCCAGCGCAGGTGTAGAGGGAGCTGCCCGAGCCCATCGGGGCGACACTGCCTCCCTGCCAGGCTCAAAGGACACCAACGGGACACCAACGGTGAGGCTGCTCCGCAGAGGGGCCAGTGGAGCTGCCTTGCGTGGCACCTCCTGGGAAGAAGGGCTGGCGCTCCCACTTGCCACACGGGCCCCTGCACGGAGGGCATCCTCACCCCTCACCAAGTCCTCCAACCAGGGAGGGGCCCAGGGTTTAGGGCCCCCAGCGCCCACCTTCCAGTTTTCCAGTGCTCTTGGAAGGAAAGGAGAAGCAAACCCTCTCACTCCTGGCTTCTTTTGAGTTGGCCAGCCTGTCCCTGCCCCTGCCGCTGGTGGCCCCGGTGAAAACATACCACAGGCCTTGTGCAGGGCACCTGCCTTCCTGGCCAGCCTGAGAGCACGGGGCCCCTGGCATCAGGCGGCAGCCTGGCCTGCAGCTCCAGTATCCCTGTTGTCCACCAGGCCTGGGGAGGCCACAGGGTGATGAGGATGGGGGCCAAAGGTCTTTGTGGCAACCTGACCCTGTCCTTATTTTTTTTCTTTCTTGTTTTGAAAAGTTGCTAATGGTTTATTTAAGAGAAAGAGAAAGGAAAAATGCTCCCTGAATGCCAGGGAAATGTTTCCCTTTCAGCTTCTCACAGCAGATCTTCGCCTTAAAAGGAGACCAGCGCAGGCCTCTGGGGGCAGTGCTGGGAGTAGCCAGAGCCAGGCAGGGAGCAGGGGCAGGAGCAGGGGCAGGGGCAGGGGCAGGGGCAGGGAGGGGCAGGGGCAGGGGCAGGGAGGGGCAGGGGCAGGGCCCCTGGGCCCTGGCACTCCCACTCTGCCATCTCTCCAGAGCACAGGGCGTGGGGTCTGAGGAAGAGGAAGCACAGGTGTGGATGGGCCACATGCAGCGTGGGCACTTGGGGTCCTCACAGTACAGGGGTGGGACAGACAGGGTGAGCTTCCGTGTAGCCTGCAGCCCCTCGCCCCAGCACAGCGAGGCACCCAGACTCCACACCAGCCTGTGCCAGGCCATGCCCAGCGTGTCCACCACAGGGAAGGCTCTCCCCATGACGCTGGGCCTGGCCCTGACCACCGGCAGGTGGGCCTGCACCTCCCTGCCCTGTGCTCTCACAGCACAGCACACCACACCCCACCCGGGCAGCTACAGCCTGGGCTCGGCCTTCCCATTTGGAGGGGTGGGTTGCAGTGGCCCAGGCTGCCAAGCGGGCTACAAGCCGTCTCCCTGCTCTGTGTCTTAGGAGCTGTGTCAACTGGCAAGCTCCAGGTGGCAGTTACCTGGTGGTCGGTCACGCAGGGCTGCCAGCAGGAGCAGCTGTCAGCGCGCTCACTCTCAGGGTGTGCCCCAGGGCCCACTCAGGGAGGCTGCCCTACTGGCAGTTCCTGCCCCCTTGCCAGCCTTCCAGGCTGGGGCTACCTTCCACCTCCGGTCCTCAGAGAGGGCTGGGCAGGGGCAGAACCTGGAGACCTGGCTTCCCTCTCCCAGGCTCTGGCTGTGGTCAGGAGGTAGTGAGCAGCCGCCACTCCGGCACTGGCACCTCAGCCTCCCTGCCTCTTCCCGTCCACACCTGCTCTCCTAGAACACAGAAGAAAAGTACGCACGAGGCCCTCCAGGCTGGGCCTCCCCGAGCTGCTCCCCCAGTCTCACCCTGTCCCCAGCACCCAGGGCTGGCCGGGCCCCGGAGCTTAGTGCACTGTGAGACAAGCCTCCTGCAAGCCTACCTTCTTTGGACCGGGTCACTCATTCCCATGGGGCAGGTGGACGGGCACTGGCCCAAAGGTAGTAGGACCAAGGGGACGCGCAGGACATGGCCTCTGCTCCAGGAACGGCTGTGCGGGCACCAACAGAGGGACTTCCATGGGAAAGCCCCGAACGCCTGGCAGCACCCACGTCTCCCTGACCTCAAGTGCCCTCCTTCCCAGAAGGGCAGGCTCTCAGCGAAGGCCCAGGCCTGGGCAGGAAGCAGTCACTCTGAGGCAGCCCATTGCTCGGTCCAAGCCAGCGGCAGCTACCGAGGAGGCCTCAGAGCACACGACACCTCCATGGCACTCTTCTCGTCCTTAGTCATTCTTGGCTTTGCCCAGTGGAGAAAACACCTCTGCGGCGCCCCCCGCAGGCTCACAGGCTCTGAAACAGGCTCTGTGCCGTCCAGGCCCAGAGGTCTGCCCAGTCACTGCCTCAGTGGCCCAGCTGCCCCTCACCCAGGGAAGTGCCGAGGCCCTGCGCCCTGCTCCCAGCTCCCCCTGTGCTGCTGGCTAGGAGCCCCGGGGCACAGAAAGACCAAGTCCTTCGATGTGGAGGGAGGACTGTGGGAGCAGGCCCCGGCCGCAGGCAGGACAGAGATGGCGCTGAAGGGACTGGGGAGTGGACCCTGGACCTCAGCCCACCCACAGGGCTTCCGTGACCACTTGGAAGAAGCAGAAGGGCAGATGCTGTGTGCACAGCCCCCAAAACAAAGTCCCTCACACTATTCCAACAGGTGGGCTCTGAGCCTGGGTCCTGCCTGGCAGGCACCATGCACTTAGGAGGGCCGGGCCAGATGGAACCACCTCCTTCCTGCCTCCCACACACTCACCAGCCTCACCTCCCTCCTCCCTGCTCTAGATGACCTGTCCTGCCTGCCACAGGGGTCTGCACCCTGTTTGTGGGCACCAGCTGCTGCTCTGCCAACTTGCCCATCTTACACCAGGCCTAGCAAACTTCTCCTGGTCCTTTAAGAGCCTGTCAAATGCCACCCTCCCCATTCTCGCCAGTGGTACCCATGACGTGCCAGTCGGCCTCCTTGGCACCCAGCACGTAACTGATCCCTACTGGGAAGTGAGGCAATCCCTGCTAGACACAAATTTGGTGGGCAAGGGAAGGGGCACAGGGAGGCATCAGAGCTGCTGGGCTCCCGTGGAAAACTTAGACAACCACACAGTCAACACACAGGGGGTCTCACCCTGCCCACAGCAGGTGCACACTGCTTCACAGGCAGGGGGAGCTGGGGAGTGGGCTGGGAGCCGCCCACTCCTCATCCGCCCTGAGGGACGAGGACAGCACAACCGAGTGCCCTGCACCTTTGCCACGAGTGTCAACTTCATTATCACAGGGATGGAATCCTGGCCAGGCCCCACGGCCCACAGGAATGGGGTGCTCCAGGCTCAGAGACCCCCACTCGCCCAGAGCACGCTTGCTATGGAAGTCGAGCCTGTAGACCCTGAGGTGAGTGGGCAGCAGCAGGAGGTGGCCCTCATCTGGCACTTCCCACCACAGGTCAACGCCAAGGGGTGGGGCAGGCACGAGGGGCCCAGAAATACAAGTCCCCAAGCCCAGGCCTGGAAAATACGGTGACCAGGCAGCGTGTGGGGTGCAGGAGAAAGGCCCGCAGGTGACGCCTCTGAGGAGGGCATGGTCCTTGGACCCCACTCAGCCATCTGCACCGGGCCCCTCATGCTCCTTGGTTCGGGTGAATGTCAGTGCTGGTTGGTCCACCCAGAGCCTGAAAGTCAAGGCTCCCAGTGACCCCTTCCCCCAAGACCCGGCCAGGCAGAGCCCCCAGTAGCCACCCGGTACAGAGCCTGGGTCTCAGCACACCTTGCTGCCCAGGGTGCACGCCACGGGCACCTCCTGTCACCCCAACATGCAGGGAGGGCACCACATGCTGGGGTGCTTGGCGCCACCCCCACCCCTACATTTCTGATGTGGCCTTCTGGGTGTTGAGGGGGGGCCTGAAAACTGCATTTCTAACACCGTGTTCTAACCCGAGTTCTCCCTGGGTGCTGATCCCACTTCTGTCACACGGCCTCAGGCTGAGGGGTGGGAAGGCCTCCGGAGCCCCTGTCCATCTCTCAGCACAGCCTGCACTGCCCACAGGCTTCAGCCAGCTGGAAGCTGTGGAGTGTGGCTTCTTTTCTTCTGAGTTTAATTGTCTGCCCCCCCAAACAGGTCAGCAGCCCCAGACAAAGCGAGCTTTTACCAGCCTACTGTGCCCTCTGCAGAGGCCCATTGAGAAGGAAAAAGCCAAGATGGCACAAGGAACGCCCGCAGACATCCCAGACCAAACGTCCAAACAGGCAGGTGCTGCTGCTGTCCTAGAACCTCAGCCCCACGTGGCCACCATGCTCCACTGCGCCTCGGCCCCTCCATGCATCCAGCTCCCAGCCAAGGTGGCTTCCTCATCGCTTCCTTTGAAACCTTCCTGAGCCCCAGGGAAGGGACTCCGCCCGTCTTCCTTAGGGCCTGGCTGGGCTCCAGGCCTGCCTCTGTGTCTCCTGTGGAGCTGCCTTCGGCATTTGGCCTCAGACACACAAGCACACACTGGCACAGGCACACACACACACACGCCAGTCCCCTCACACCACTGATGTCAGGCACCATTCCTGATTTGAACTCACGAGTACTGCCAACTTGCCCACACATTTCCAAAACCTCACAGTTTCACCTTAAGATAGGACATCCTAGGCAGGGTCACCGGCCGGCACTCTTGTGTCTACTTGTGGAGCCCTCCCTGTTGAATGCACAGGTGATCGGGAGATAGGGAAGGAGCCTATGAAGAGAAAGATGGAGCCGGGTGCCCAGGGACAGGCAGAGGCACGGAGATGCACACGGGTGCCGCAGCCCCCGGCCCTTGGAGGGCACGTCCAGCAGGCCACGCTCGCCTCACACCCCCACCAGGCAACCCCACCCGGGAGGACACACTCACTGCTGCAGCTGGCTGTGCCTGCCCCACTCCCCCGGCCCCTCATGCCCACACACGGGTGCACACTCCCACACACACGGGTGCACGCTCCCACACACTTGGGCGCACACTCCCACACACGCCCCTGCACACACCGAGCTGAGTGGTGTGGGCAGGGAGGCACCCCCGCAGCAGGTCAGAGAAAGTACAGGTGAGAAAAATGTCAAAAATGGATTTTCCGGCAACATCCCTATGGCAGCCAGCACAAAAATAGGCACCCGGGAACCCCATGCCACTTCTCTGGACAAGGCCACACAAGGACAGACTCCGGGTCACCTCTGCCTGGGTGGCTGAAGCCCCTGCCCAGGGCACAAACAGCCGCACGCTGGGACAAAGACAGGCACACCTGCTGGCGGCTGAGGAACCACACCCTGTGGGTTGCGGGAGGACAAGGCAGGCTCCTGTGCCGGCAAGGTGGGGTCAACCCCGAAGGTCGAGGACACCAAGACCCGCTCCTCTCCCACAGAGCAACAGGAAGTGCAGGCGGCTAAGGAAAGCCCCACTGGGCAGGGCTCCAGAGCAAACCCGCCAGGCTGGCCCGGGACTGCACAGCCGCCTCTGCCCTGGACAGCTTGCGTGTGGCCCAGCACAGCTCGCTGCACAGCCGCCGGCCACACTGGGAGGGCAGCCACGGACACAGTCCGCCGCCTCCCCACCCTGACCTCCTTCCTGGGGGCAAGAACAGGGCAGACAGATGTGCTACACACCCCTCCCCCAGCCAGGCTGGCAGGTGTTACCTGAGCACTTTGCTGACAGCCTGAAGCACCATTTTGCAGCAGAGTCCACTTTGCAGGGACTGGCCGGGCCGGGCTTGGTCTTCAGGGAGACTGCAGTGGTCTCCCAGCATGAGTGGGCGACGGGAAGGTGGGGAGGAGAAGCGGGGCGGGGTGCCGGCTGGCCAGCACTCGCAAATGCCTGCTGCCGGGCCCTCCAGCCTCACTCCCTGGCCAATGGGACGCCTGGCAGAGACAAACAGCTGCCCCCTTTCCAGAGGCAAGGGCTGGCCAAGGCTGGTGAAACGAGGGAGCGTCTGAATTGGCCTTTTCCAAGTGGCATGGCTGCCAGAAGAGGCGGTGGGGGTGGGACCAGAAGGGAGGGGACAGGGCCGTCCTTGGCCTGCAAGAAGGGTCCATCAGAAAGGTCCTGGGCTCCACCTCAGGCTGCCAGAAGAGGCGGTGGGGGTGGGACCAGAAGGGAGGGGACAGGGCCGTCCTTGGCCTGCAAGAAGGATCCATCAGAAAGGTCCTGGGCTCCACCTCAGGCTGCCAGAAGAGGCGGTGGGGGTGGGACCAGAAGGGAGGGGACAGGGCCGTCCTTGGCCTGCAAGAAGGATCCATCAGAAAGGTCCTGGGCTCCACCTCAAGGTCCTCTGCTGCCAAGCCCCCAGGAAAGGCCTTCTGAACACAGGCAGCAACTCTGCTGACGAGCTCCAGGTCGATGGCACTCCCCTCTCCCTTGTCCGGCCCAGCCTAGCCCAGTCAGTGCTCGGGCCAGGGACGGACAGACGGACAGACAGATGGGCCGCCCTGCCCTGCAGTGTGTACGCAGCTGGAGGCACTCAAAGTGGCTTTCCTGCTGGATGGCCCTGGAGAGAGAAGGGGCCGACCAGCTTCTGCGGTGCCTGGACGGTGCTGGGCTGAGGCTGCTGCCAGCCAGGACCACAGGGCACCCAGCCCAACAGAAATGCCCACAGCAGCTCCCCATGGGGGCGCACAGAGCGGCACGGCCCCGGCCTTCCTTCTGGCTGGTCTGCACACAGGAGACCACCACATCCTGAAAATGCAAACACCTGAGAGGGCAATGCTCTCTCCTCATCCTGAGTCAGCGTGGACCCCACTGGCAGTGACAGCCCCCTGACAACACGGGGTCATCAGGAGCATCCCCCACCCGCATGGGAGCCATACTTCCTGTGCTTCCTGCCAATCAAGAGACCCCAGCATCTCCAGCCACTGCCCCTCAGAAGCTGTCCCAGCACCTCTGTCGGTGTGAAGCCCTGT
This sequence comes from Homo sapiens, assembly GCF_000001405.40. Classification (NCBI taxonomy): domain Eukaryota; kingdom Metazoa; phylum Chordata; class Mammalia; order Primates; family Hominidae; genus Homo; species Homo sapiens. Next base: position 221,973 of record NW_025791792.1, read on the forward strand.
AGGAGTCAGGACACAGCCTGAGGTACCAGCTGCTGCGGGGAGCACAGAGCCATCAGGAAAGCAGCCAGGGTAGGCTCACCCCCATCAATACCAGCCCCCATGGGAGTTGTGGTGTCTGGACTGCACGCACACACACAGCCTGGGCGCACGGGGAGACAGCACACCAACCCAGCACAGACACACTCTCCAGGAGCCACAGCAGAGGATGGCCCCAGGCCGGCCCCCGCCTCCCTAAGCAGCAGCAGCAGCAGGCCCAACAGGCTGCAGTTTCATTTTCCCCACTAGGCCAGTCCCTAAGCCATGCTCTGAGCAGTGCGTAACTGGTCTCTACAGAACAAACAGCCCGGTGAGGCTCAGGACGTCCATGCGCCCACAGGCCTTCCTCTGCCTTGGCAAGGCCATCCCACAGCCCTGTGGTGCCACACGCACCTAGGCACCGTGCTCACGGCTGCCGGTCTGCCCTCGGGGGCTCCACCAACAGCAGGGACACAGGTGCTGGCAGGTCACCCAAGTGGCAAAGGGAGCCACAGGAAGAGCGGGCTCCAGGCCTGGGGAGGCCCCCGTGAGTAGCAGGGCTGGGACCAGGAGGTGCATGACGCAGACCTGCCCACTCTCGGGAGGCATGGCCTGGACAGAGAAGGCCGTGCAGAGGCCCATGACAGGGAGAATGAGCTGCTGGGGGTTGGAGGGCAGAGCATAAAGGAAGCTGGGGATGGTGGAGGCTTCGGGCACAAGAAGCCAGGCAACCAGGCAAGGCAATGGTGAGGGTGGCACGGGGGCGGGGGAACAGTCAGGACAAGGTGCCGGGTAGGGTGGGGGGAGCACACCAAGCGTGCCTAGTCTGGTCCAGGCAAGGCAGTGGTGAGGGTGGCACGGGGGCGGGGGAACAGTCAAGACAAGGTGCCCGGTAGGGTGGGGGAGCACACCAAGTGTGCCCAGTGGGTCTGGTCAGCACACGGCAGCTCTGTGGCTTATGCCACTGTCCCGAGAGGGCTGGGCTGGCGCCAGAGGAACGTCCACATTCATCTGTGTTTGTTCACTGGGGGACACGTGCAGGGAGCAGGTATTCCTATTGATCAAAACTTAGGTAGTGGGGCAGGAGTGGGGTAGGGTGAGGGGCAGCTGGAACCCACAGACACTGAGCGACAGACACTGCACTGGGAAGAGGAGCAGACCTGGAGCAGGCTCTGCAGACTCCACGAGGAGCTGCCACAGAGGCCCGCAGGCCAGTGACGGGTGCCAGTGTGGCCTGGCCCCGCCACCCCAGAAAAGGAAGAGCAAAAGCACCTTCTGGGCACAGCCAGGGCCAGGAGCTGGCCAGGAACAGAGAGCACAGGAGCGGGGCAGAGGCACCACGCAGGGGGGAACGGTCGCAACCAAGGCGGGACGGGGCAGGGGGCACGGGCCATGTGTCTGTGTCAGAGGTTATTTTACCTTTAATAAGCTTTTAGTTTTAGAAAAGTGTTAGATTTACAAAGAACTGCAAACACAGAATCCCCATGGCCCCCCACTCACTCTTCCTATTGCTAACCCTTACACTAGGATGGTCTGTTTGTTAACAATGAACAAATCCACATTGATGCAGCAAGGTCCAAACTTGACTCAGACGTCTGGATCCATCCATTGCTCTCCTCACGACGAGGCTGGGCTGTGGGTGTGGGTAGGAAGAGCACAGAGGGAAATGTCCCCCTCGTCGCCCCGTGCCCACGGCCCGTCCTGTCAGCACGGCTCATCGCGGGAGGTGCTCCCGATCTCCTGGCTGAGGCTGTGACTGCCAGGCCTCCCCACGCAAAGACGCTCTCGTCTTCCCCGCCCCGCACCGCGCTCTCGAACGAAGCTGCTGCACGCAGACCACACTGAAGGGGTGGGGACCACCCCTTACCACCCTGACGGAGGAGTAGCTACGGGAATTACTGGAAGTTCGGCACCAGAGAGCGGCCTCTTCTTGGTCACTCATTTATATATTCAGCCATTTGTTTATATTGGGATGAAGTCCTGGCTATTGAGGCTGCACTCCGAGCTAGAACACAACACTACTTTGTTTTGTGAATCACACTGTCCGTCCTTGGCCCTGGGGAGCTCCTGCCATCAGCTGCTGGGTCCCCTGATGCACCCCCATCAACAGACTTTTCATTTTGGGGCATGTCCTGATTTCCTGGCACTGCAGGGTGCTCCAGGCTCCCCCTGCATTCCCAGCCCCAGCCCGGGAATCAGCCCCTTCTCCAAGGAGCCCTGGTTCTTTTCATTAGAAAATATTAAAAACTGGCCAGGCAGCCGGGCGTGGTGGCTCACGCCTGTAATCCCAGCACTTTGGGAGGCCAAGACGGGCCTCCCACAAGGTCAGGATCACAAGGTCAGGAGATCGAGACCATCCGAGCTAACACAGTGAAACTCTGTCTCTACTAAAAATACAAAAAAATCAGCCGGGTGTGGTGGCAGGCGCCTGTAGTCCCAGCTACTCGGGAGGCGGAAGCAGGAGAATGGCGTGAACCCGAGAGGCAGAGCTTGCAGTGAGCTGAGATCGCACCACTGCACTCCAGCCTGGGCGACAGAGCAAGACTCCGTCTCAAAAAAAAAAAAAAAAAAAAAAATGGCCAGGCATGGTGGCTCATGCCTGTAATCCCAGTATTTTGGGAGGCCAAGAAGGGACCATCACTTGAGCCCAAGAGTTTGAGACCAGCCTGGGCAATAAAGGGAGACCCCATCTCTACAAAAAATGTAAAAATTAGCCAGGCATAGTGGTGTGTGTCTGTGTTCCCAGCTACATGGGAGGCTGAGGCAGGAGGATCACTTGAGCCCAAGAGATTGAGGCTGCTGTGACCCATAATCACACCACTGCACTCCAGCCTGGGTGACGGAGCGAGACCCTGCCCCAAAACAGTAATGAATGAATTCAAAACTGAGACCTGGTCAGGCACGTTGATTCACATCTGGAATCTCAAGAGCACTTTGAGAGGCCCAGGTAAGTGAATCGCTTGAGGCCAGGAGTTTCAGATCAGCCTGGGCAACACAGCAAGACCCCCATTTCTAAAACAATTTTTTTTTTTTAATTATCTGGGCATAGTGGCATGTGCCTGTGGTTTCAACAACTGAGGAGCTGAAGTGAGAGGATCACTTGAGCCCAGGAGGTTGGTGGCTGCAGTGAACCATGACTACACCACCTCACTCCAGCCTGGGTCTACACAAACGAGAAACGAAAACACTAAGATCAGAGCACTGGGTGGGCTCGTTGCTAGTGGGTGTCACTGCTTCCAGGCCCTCTCAGCTGGAAGAACACGGAGGCACATGTGTATACACACATGCACTCATACGCCTCAATCTCCACCCACATGTCGACATTTGTATCTATACTAAGCTAAGCAGGGGTTCCCCTGAGGTCTCCAGCCCACCCCTGCAGCCATCACTGCCTGGACCACACTGGCCCCTCCACTTGCTCGTCTGTAGCCTCCCCTCCAACAAGGAGACTCGTGGAGAGCTTCGTGTTTTTAATCACTTTGTGAAAACAACAGAAGAAGGAGCTCAAAAGCTACGGAAGCAGCAAAACAATGCCCCCGGCACCCTCACAAAGGCACAGGGAAAGTGGGGTCACTTAAAAGCAAGCAGGAAAGTTTCACAGTTGAGTCCAATGAAAATCAAGAAGAATAGAGGAGAGTAACACTCTCCCACTGACAATTAAAACATCCCAGAAAGACACACACATAACACAGACGAAATCACACAACACAGATGAAGACACACAACACAGACGAAGACATACACATAACACAGGCAGAGACACACAACACAGACGAAGACATACATATAACACAGGCGGAGACACACAACACAGACAAAGACACACAACACAGACGAAGATATACAACACAGCCGAAGACACACACATAACACAGGTGAAGACACACAACACAGACGAAGACACACAACACAGACGAAGACACAACACAGATGAAGACACACACATTAACACAGGTGAAGACACACAACACAGGTGAAGACATACAACAGATGAAGACGCACAACACAGACGAAGACACGCGCATAACAGATGAAGACACACAAAGACACACAACACAGACGAAGACACACAACACAGATGACACAGAACACAGATGAAGACACACAACAAAGATGAAGACACAACACAGATGAAGACACATAACACAGATGAAGACTACAACCCAATAAGACAATCAGGGAAACAATGCAATTTAAGAAAATATTTGAGGCCAGGTGCAGTGGCTCATGCCTGTAATCCCAGCACTTTGGGAGGCTGAGGCAGGTGGATCACCTGAGGTCAGGAGTTCAAGACCAGCCTGGCCAACAAGGTGAAACTCTGTCTCTACTAAAAATACAAAAATTAGCTGGGCGTGGTGGCAGGCGCTTGTAATCCCAGCTACTTGGGAGGCTGAGGCAGAAGAATCGCTTGAACCCAGGAGATGGACGTTGCAGTGAGCCGAGATTGCACCATTGCGCTCCAGCCTGGGGGAGAAGAGCGAGACTTTGTCTCAAAAAAGAAAAGAAAAAAGAAAAAGAAAATATTTGAAAAAAGAGGCAAAATAAGAATCAGGAATGAGAGGATAAACCATTTTTGAAATGAAGTCTAAATTAGAATACAAAAACCACCATGATGTCCAAGTAGAAGATGGGAAGGAAGAATTTCTTAAAATAATAAAGGAAAGAAGAGATTTCTGCTTCCACTCATGACAGAGTAACTGACACTGGACCTCACCTCCACTGTCAACAACTACAAACTGGGTAGAATATATGAAGTGCTTGGCTTCAGACCCAGGATACCGCCGTGCAGGACGGTGGCCCCTGCGCACAGGCGATGACTGGGAGCCTCTCAGGCTGCAGGTGGGGATGGTGAAACCACATGGGGCCTGCAGTCTGGAGAAGCTGAGGTGGCAGGGATGGAAGTCTCAAGCCGCTGAGCTGTTGAAATTTGCAGGATGAGGAGGCAGTCAGGACAGAGCTGCACAGAGAAGGGACTCTAAAAACATCAACAGGGATCCAAGGAAGCTTCTGGACAAATAGCTGAGGGTGTCAGAGAGAACATCTGCAAGACCTGGCAGAGAACAGCTCTGGGAAGCGTGAGGAAGAGAGGTTCTGGAGGCCACACGGGGCAGGAGACAGACGTGTTCCCACACCCAGACTGGAGACACCTTGGGCGAATAGATTTAACAGAGATTCCACAATGGCTGTGCCATGGGGACTGGGCTACAATAGCCCAGAGTGAGGGGGTTCTCTGGACCTGGCATAATAAAGCTTAAAAACAAGCCTCAAACGGATCCTAGCTAACCAAGAGCAAATTAACTGCCTTCCAGAACAAACCACACTACTCTTTAAGGGAGGAAAACAGAACTGAGACTTTCAACAACATTGCTACCACAATACCTAGTGTACAAAAAAATTACTAGACAGGTGAAGCAGAAAAATGTAACTCATAACCAGGAAAAATAAGTCAACAGAAACAGGCCTAGAGATAACAAAGATAATGAAAGTAACAAACAAAGACTTTAAAAGAATGAAATAAATATATTCAACGATTTATTTATTTATTTAGACAGTGTCCTCTATTGCCCGGGCTGGAGTGCAGTGGCACAATCTCGGCTCACTGCAACCTCTGTCTCCCAAGTGATTCTCCTGCCTCAGCCTCCAGAGCAGCTGGGATTACAGGCGAACGCCACCAAGCACAGCTAATTTTTGTATTTTTGTAGAGATGAGGTTTCACCATGTTGGCTACGCTGGTCTCAAACTCCTCACCTAAAGTAATCTGTCCGCCTTGGCCTCCCAAAAGTGCTGGGATTACTGGCATGAGACATTGTGCCCGGCCAATATATCCAAAGATTTAGAGGAAAGGTTGGACATAATCAACAAAGCAATTAGGGCTCTGAAAAAATCGGAAACTCCACAAAATAATAAACAAAAATTCCTGGAACTGAAGAATACATCGAAAATGAAATTTTTGAGATGAAATGAACATCAGATTAAACAGTGCTAAAGAGAAGATTACAATAAAAACATCACTTATAAAAATGTGTAGAATGCAGCTAAAGCTCAGCTGAGGAAGAAATTTATAAATGTTCATATTAGGAGAGAAGGCTTAAAATGAGTGATTCATACATCCACCTTCAGAAGCCAGAAAAAGGAAGTGCATATTAAATGCAAAGTGGAAGGAAATAACAGAAATCTATGAAATGAAAAATAGACAAATAATGAAGAATTAAACACAAAGTTAGCCTGGAAAACTTAAAAAAAAAAAAAGATCAATTTCCCAAGCAGACTAAGCAGAAAAGAGACAGAGAGCCAAGAGAGGAAGAGGGCATAAATTACCGATATCAGAAATGAAAGGGACATTCCTACAGATCCTACAGATATTAAGCGGGTAACAAAGCACTATAAGGAACTGAATGCCAAGAGAAAATGTAGATGAAACAGACAAATTTTTCACAAACACAAGCTACCAAAACTGACATACAAAGAAGTAGAAAATCTGAATTTATAATTAAAAATCTTTCTACAAGGAAATGGTGGGTGCAGGTGGCTTACGGATGAACTCTACACACGATATAAGTAAGAAATAATACAAACCATACACATACTCTTTCAGAAAACAGAGGAGGAGGACCAGCATAATGCTGCTGCCAAAGTGAGACAACAGCATTCCTAGAAAAGGGAAATTACAGCCCAATATCCTTCATGAATGTGGATGCAAAACTCTGTAATAAAATAGTAACAAACTAATTCAACAACGTATTGAAAGGATAATACAGCATAGCCAAGAGAGATTCACCCAGTAATGTAAGCTTAGCTAACACCTGAAAATCAATGTCATTCACCACATTAATGAAAGGAGAAAAAAATATGGCCATCTCAATTAGATGCAGACACAGCACATGGCAAAACGTGTATGCAAACTCTCAGCAAACCAGGAACAGAAGGGACCATCCTCAGCTGAGAAAGGACACCTATAAAAAATCTGAAGCTAACATCAAATGCTGCTGATGGAGTAAAGATTTTCCCCCTAAAATCAGAAACAAGGAAGGGGCTCTGAGCACTTCTCACTCTCACCACTCTTATTCGGTGTCACTCTTATACCAGCGGCACAATGAGGCCACTGTAATGAGGCAAGACAAAGGTATACAAGGCATAAATACTGGAAAGGAAAAGGTCGTCTTGTTTGGCAGGTAACATGGTTATGTAAACAGAAAAGTCTAAGGAAACTGGGGCAAGTCTGCTAGAACTAATAAGTAAATTTAGTGGCATCACAGGGCACAAGGTCAGTAAAGAAAATTAATTTTATTCCTATATAATAGCAACAAATAAATGGAAAATACAATTATAAAACTGCTATTTACAATATAATTTTTAAATTTAGGAATAATCTTAACACAAATGTACAAAGCCTCTCACTGAAAAGCACAAAACAATGCTGAGAAAAATTAAAGACCTAAACACATAAAAAAATTTGCCATGGCCATGGATTAGAAGACTCAATATTGTTAAGATGTCAATTTTCTTAATTAAATACAATCCTATCAAAATCCCGGGATAATTTCTTATTTTTAAAAGAAATTAACAAGAAGATTCTTGGTTTTTTGTTTGTTTTTTGTTTGTTTGTTTTGAGACGGAGTTTCACTCTTCTTACCCAGGCTAGAGTGCAATGGCACAATCTCAGCTCACTGCAACCTCTGCCTCCCGGGTTCAAGTGATTCTCCTGTCTCAGCCTCCTCAGTAGCTGGGATTACAGGCACCCGCCACCATACCCAGCTAATTTTTGGTATTTTTAGTAGAGACGGGGTTTCACCATGTTGGCCAGGCTGGTCTCGAACTCCTGACCTCAGGTGATCTGCCCACCTCAGCCTCGCAAAGTGCCGGGATTACAAGCATGAGCCACCACGCCCGGCCTAACAAGAGGATTCTTAAATCCACGTGGAAATGCAAAAGGACTTTGAAGGATCCAACCATTCTTGCAAAAGAAGACCCAAGTAGCAGGACTCACACGAATTTCAAGACTTACCTTAAAGCTACAGTATTAAACACCGAAATAAACATAAATAAAACAGAATAATGTTCAGAACTAGACCTACACTTACATGGTCAACTAGACTTCAATAAAAGTGTGAAATCAATCTAAGGGGGAAAGGAAAATGTTTTAAATAAATAGTTTGGAGAAAACTGAGTATCTCTGAAGAAAAAGAAACCTTCAATCCCTACCTCACACCAAGACGGATCAGAAACTCAGACATAAAAGCAAAACTACAATGCTTCTACAATAAAACACGGACAGTATCTGTGCCAAGCTCAAAGTAGGCAAAGATTTCCTAGAATGTAAAAAGCACTAACCAAAAAGTGACAAAATACATTTCATCAAAATTTAATCATACACACACTTCTATTCAATATACTGTTAAGAAAAATGAATAGGCAAGCCACGGATGGCATATATCCAACAAAAGACTTCTAGCTAAACTATAGAAAGCAGGTCTACAGTTCAACAATAAAAGAGACAACTCAACATTTAAAAAGGGCAAAAGACTGGAACAGACATTTTACATAAGAAGACAAATAATGGCCGATAAGTACAAGAGCAAGTGCCACGCCTTCCAGAATGGCTAAACCTGCACAGACTGAGAACACCCAAGGTGTGGAGGAGGCAGGAACCAGGAGACTGATGCGCTACAGGCAGGGCGAGGAACTACTGAGGAAAAAGCCACAACTACTGAGGAAAAGGGCTGGCAGTTTCTTGGAAAGTTAAATATGCATGTAGGATTCCATAATTCCATGGCTAAGTACTGACCCAAAAGAAACAAAAACATACATCCACATAAAGGCTCCTACAAGAACGTTCACAGCAGCAGTGTTCACAATAGCCAGAAACTGGAAACAACCCAAAGTCCATGAACAGAAGAACAGCTCAACAAACGACAGTATATTCATACAACAAAACACCACTCAGCAACCCAAAGCATAAAACCACCACCAAGATGCAATGCACAGCTAAGCCCCACAGATGTGATGTCAGTGGGAAAACGCCAGAGACAAGAGCGGGGACCATCAGACTCCATGTATCTGATGTTTAGAAAAGGCCCAATTAGTCCTTGATGAAAATAAATCAGACAGTGGCTGCCTGTTGGGAGGGGAGGTGGCAGGCAAACAGGGCTGACTGGTAAGGCATGTGGTGGTGTTTTCCGGGAAGACGGAAACATTTTGCATCTTGACAGGGGTGTGGGCTACAGGGGAATTCATATTCATCAAAACTCACTTAACTGAATACTTGAGATCCGTGCATTTCATTGTTTGTAAATTATATGTCAACTTCTGAAAAACTAAAAGTTTCTACAAAGGAGGAAAGAGAGAAAGCATTTAAGAGAAAATGGCAGACAAAATTAAAGGGAAAAAACACTTGCAACTACATATGGAAAAGGCACATGTCACCTCAGACCAACTCACACCAAGGCGTTCTAGTAATATTACTAGACTTATGACGAACAGAAAGTCCTTTGATAAAAGGTAAGTTTGCATACAAAGGAAAGAAAATTGTATTTCCATTAGACACCAGTAACACTTTAAATCAAAAGGCTATTGTCATGGATGGAATTCCCACGAATTCACAGGTTGAAGCCCGTACCCCCAGTGTTGTGATGCTATTTGGAGATGGCACCACTGGAGGTAATCAGGGTTAGATGAAGTCATGAAATAGGGTGGGGCCCCCCAGATAGGATTACTGGCCTTATACTGAGAGGAAGGTTCTAGGCAGAGGTCAGCAGTAGCTGCAAACAACACAAAAAGACAACGAGATATTATGCACCTCCTGTGGTGGAACACAGCCACCAGCGGAGCCAACTGGCCTCCAAAGAAGAATGAGAATGCGATCAAGGTCTAAATCTAGCTGCCAATTTACAGGAAATAAAAAGAATGTTCTAAACAATACCACAGCATGCAATTAGCAAAATTCAGACCCTGGGAGACATCACAGGAAGAGCAGGCAGGCTCCACTAACAAAGTAAGTGGATGGGAAAAAAAACAAACAGGAAGGGTGGAGTGGATCCAGAGACATGGGGCGGAGCCTGCAGCCTGGTCACCACTCGGCACCTGTGCCCATCACCTCTGGTCCAATGTCGCGCTCCAGTGTGTAAGGTGCTGTCCCTGTAGGGGCTAGCTGAGGGTGGCCCTGGAATTTGTGCTATTTTTGCAACTTCTTATGAATTTATAATGATTTCAAAATAGAAAGTTAAAGAGTTTCAAAATCTGTCATCCAAGTGCAACGCATGGACCTTATTTGAATCCACATTCAACACTCTAAAAACAAGTCATGAGACACCAGACAAACATAAAGGCTTGATACTCAATGTTATGAAGAAATCACTACTTTTGGTATGATAATGAAACATCTTATGTTTAAGGAAAAGAATCCCTCTCCTTTACAGACATACAGAATAGTCACGGATGAAACATGTTCAGAATTTCCTTCAAAATCATCTGGGTGATGCGGGAAAATTACAGCTGAGGTGGGTGTGGCTTTGAACACACGTACCCACCAAAATCACTCACCCTTCTTTTAAAATCAGTTCATGAATCCAATCTCTATCAAAGACATGCACAGAATTTCTCCAGAGAGAAGCTGCCCCGTGAACACTCCAACTAGTCTTTTCCCTAACAACAGCTTTCCATCGGTTCTCCCGGCTCCTCGGAACAGCAGAGCTACCTGAGCTTAGCGATTTATACTCCATCGCAGCGTCGCAGCCGTGGTGGGGGCATCATGGGGCCACAACGGAAGAGCTCTACGGTCAGGTGTGGCTCGAGGATGTGAGCTCTTCTCAGCAAGGGTGCATGCACAGCACTGCTGGCTCACAAAACTCATGTGCATGTGTGCATGTGTGTGTGTATGCATGTGCACGTGTGCCTGTGTGTGCATCAGCACAAAGCCAAGAGGTCACAGTGTTTTGCTTGTAATCAAAGATCACCACGTGTTCAAGGAAGAAAGGAAAATAATCCCTTCCTAGGAGTCAAATCGATCCACAGGAAAAGTCCCATAAATGGCCGAATGGCAGAATTAGTAGATGACATTTTAAGTCAGGCTACCTGTATCCCACCCATCCAGAAAGCCAGAAGAAACATGAGACGTGGTAAACAGAGATAAAGAAGATTTTTCTTAAAATCCAAACTGGACTTCCAGATGTGGGCATGAAGATGTCTGAGATGAGCACCATGGGGGCCGCTGCAGAGCCAAGGTGGCTGAACTCAAAGACACAGCAGCGGCAACTCTGCAGAGGAAACCAGAGCAGAAAAGGACTGAAAATGAACAGCCCATGCCTGAGCTCAGGCCACCTAACAAGGACAAGCCACAGGCTGGAAAACATTTTTTCAACACACAGATCTGATAAAGGACTTCTATCTAAAACAGATAATGACCTCTTACAACTCAATAACAAGAAGGCAAGTCACCCAATAAAAAATGGGCAAAAGACTGAACAGAAACTTCACCAAAGAAGAGAGATGATTAGCCGAATGAAGCACATGAAGAGATGCTCAACATCACTGGCCATCAGCAGAACGCCAAACACGAGCACAGGATGCTGCAGCCACGCAAGGGATAGCTGCAACCACAGGACGGCCAGGCCATGTGCCTGCAGGATGACCACAGATGAGCATGCCACATGCCTGCGGGACGACCACGGGATGGCCACACCACGTGCCTGTGGGATGACCACAGGATGAACATGCCACATGCCTGCAGGATGACCACAGGACGGCCAGGCCACGTGCCCACGGGATGACCACGGATGAGCTTGCCACATGCCTGCGGGATGACCACGGGACGGCCAGGCCACGTGCCCATGGGATGACCACGGATGAGCTTGCCACATGCCTGCGGGATGACCACAGGACGGCCAGGCCACGTGCCCACGGGATGACCACAGATGAGCTTGCCACATGCCTGCGGGATGACCATGGGACAGCCAAACCACGTGCCTGCAGGATGACCACGGATGAGCATGCCACATGCCTGTGGGATGACCATGGGATGAGCATGCCACATGCCTGCCACGTGCCCACCACTGTGCCGAGAAGCAGGGCCCTGAGGCTGCTGGTGGGGATGCAAAATGGTGGAACTGGAACTGCTTTAGAATGCAATTGGGCAGCTTCTACAAGCGTTAAGCCTATATCCACCTACGGTCTGAGCACTGCACTCTCAGCTACTTCATGGAAAGCACACATTTCTACTGAGACTCGCACACGAATGTTCACGGCAGCTGCAAGTGTGCTGGTCAGAAAGGAGAGAACCTGCACACCCACCATGGGGAGGTGACACAGTGCGGCCTCAGCATCCACGGACCGCGCCTCAGCCACAGACAGGAGTGGCCTGGGAGACACGCGGAACACGGAAGACTCCTACAGCAAGTGTGCTGAGTGACGGAGGCCAGGTGAACATCAGGTTCACACTGTGATTCCGTTCACGGGAAATTCCAGGAAACATAAAGGTGTGACCACAATGACAGAAGCTTGTCAGTGGTTGGGAGCGAGGAAGTGGGGGAGAGAAGTGTCACAGAAAGGCAGGAGTAAACTGGAACCCCAGGGTGATGGGTGTGTTCCTCTCCCTGGCTGTGGCTGTGGCTTCAGGGATACACATGCATATGTCCACACTTGTCAAGCTGCACCCTTTAAACACAGGCGGTTCACGGTATGTCAAGCAGACTGCAGTAAAGGTTTAAAAGAAAAGCAACTCCTCTCTGGGCTCCTGGCCCAGTGCCTGCCCATTGTCCCCATTAGACTAATGGGCATCTCAGACTTGAGGCATTCCTTCCAGAACTGGCTCCTCGGGTGTCCTCTGCAACTCCAGAGACACTTGCTCCATCCTCCCACTGCCTCAGAGGAATGTGGGAGTCCTCCCTGGACCCCTCTCAGACCCCACATCCATCCATCAGCAGGTCCTCACGGCTCTACCCACAAAACACGCCGGGGGGTGTCTCTTCCCCCTACGTCCCTCACCCACACACCCCTGCGGGCCTCCTGTGCCACTACCATGGTCTCAGGCAGGCCCCCTTGTGCCCCCACCCTCCAATCCACTCTCCACATGACTGGGAGTGTGATCCTGGCAAGTCAGCTCTGATCCCACCCCCTGCTGCTCAAAGCCCCTCACGACTCCTGCGCCATGCAGCGAATGAGCCTGAGTGCTCCCCACGCCGCCTTTGTGCCCTCCCCACTTCCCCTCGCTCTGGTCCCTCGAGTCTCCTCTGTGGCCTGGGCACCCAGCACATTGGCACCGCGGGGCTGGCCACCTGTCCTTTGCTGTGGCTGGAGCGCTCCTCCTCAGACATCCCATTTTCCGGTCGGCCACTCATTTCTTCCGTCTCTGGCTGCCCTACCTGGCGCTCCTCAGCCTGCGACAGACAGGCACATCTGTCCAGCACTCCTGTTACAATGTAAGGCCTCTTGTGTCCACTATATTCCCGGCACCCGGAACAGGAGGGCAGGGGTCTTGTGTCCACTATATTCCCGGCACCCGGAACAGGGGGACAGCAGGCAGTCAATATTTGCTAAATGAACGGAAGAAATGCCAAGTCAGCATCAGAGCAAGAAAGCAGCTCTCAAAGCAGAGAGGTGCTGGGTGAGTGGAGGGCAAGCGAATGAAACCTGTCTCCCCTTCTCACCCATGTTCTCAGTCCATGCCCGTGCCCTGCAGTTGCACAGTGACATCCAGGGCAATGCTAACACCCAGGGTGCCAGGGGATCCTCAGGGGGGCTGAACCTCTCCAGCCAGGTGTGATGTCTGCACGAAACACTCTGCCCCGGTGCTTACCAGGGCTCAGTCACCCACACTAGGGCGGACGCCAGCACTAAATGCGCACTCAACTAGAAGGGAACCACAGCCCCGGCACTGGCCATGGTGGCATCTGGGGGAAGCAGACCTCGGGACTTGTGGCACCTGTGCCAAGGGAAGGGACTGGGGGAGAGCCAACCACGTGCCCTGTCTGTTGAACGTGGGATCTGGCCCAGTTGAAAAGGGCCTGCGGCAGGGTGGCCAGCTAGGCAGTGAGCGTCGGGTCTGCGGCTCTTCCCGTCCCTCCAGGCTTGCCTCCCGCCCCGCCACCCCGCAAGTGCACATCTGCACACACAACCACCTCCTGTGGCTGCACTGCTACCTCTCATCTGCTTCTACCTCCTTTGATTTGCCTCCAACCCCACTGCGCCTGCCATGGAGATGGGAGGCCAGGGGACGAATCCTGCACCCCTCCACACCCAGCCAGAACCACCACCGTCTCTCTGTGCCTACAGTCAACCCTCAGCCCAGCCATCTGTTCATACTTGCGGCCTTCCTCGTGCCTGATCCTGCACTGGACGATTCCGGTGACACTGAGCATTCATCACTAGCTGCAATTGTGTTAAGGGACAGAGATGAGGGTGCCGGACAACTGTACATGAGGGGGCTGCTCTGGAGATCCCCCAGGCCTGCTGCCAGACGCTGAAGCCCCAGCCCTACCCAGTGCACAGATACACAGCTCCACACATCGCTGGGCTGGGGTCCCATCAAACCTCAGCTAGGAAGGCCTGTTCCATGGATTACCCACGTCCTCCTCCAGCCCACCCAGGCCAGGGGCCTCAGGTGCCACCAGAGGGAGGAAGGCCTGATGGTCAGCCCCGGGGTCAGCCCAAGGTGAAGATGTGGCCTCATAGGTCCACAGGCCCTCGAACTGCAGTGTCCTGCCTGGTGCTGTAGGGAGACGGCCCTGCTTTTTGTCCCCAGGCCTGGGCCCCCATGACTCCCACCAGGCACGACCTACTGGCTCCTGGGCACCTGACTTTGAAAAGCCAGCATCTGACACCCTGCTCTCCTGCAGATCCTTCTATGAGCAGATGGATACCTGCTCCAGGCAGTACCACGCGGCCAGGCGAGGACACCCTGGCAGCCCCCAGCGCCCTGAGGGAGAAAATGTGGCACCACAGGACATCCTGGGTTCCATCCCAGCTCCCCCACAGCCCAGGTGGGGCCATCAGGCCAGAGTGCTGCTCCTGGGGAGCTCCAGGCACAGCGTGCCGGGGGCGCTCCGGGCAGGCTCCCCTCTGAGCTCAGGTCACACGCCCTCTGCTCACGGCGAGCCCACCACAGCCCGGACCTGTGGCCAGTAAGCCCAGGGTCTCAGCATTTGAATGTCCAAACCGATAGGCTGCGGGAAGAGGCGACCAGGGAAGGGGAAGGGCGTGGGATGAGGGAGGCCTCAGGGGTGAGGGGCTCAGGCGACAAAGAGGAGGAGGGCTCTGGATGGCTGGAGAGAGGCATGTGCAGAAGAGAGCTGGGGAGGAGGCTTTAAATCCACCCACCAAAAGCACAGTGAGGCGGGGTGCGGAAAGTGTGTGAGGTTCGGCTCTGGACTCTGGCCAAGGCACAGAAAGCTGAGGCTGCCCAGCCTGCAGAGCCTGTGGAGAAGGGATGGGGAGGGGAAGGCTGGCAGCCCAGAGGAGGCAGACGGAGAAGTGGACAGATCCAGACAGCCCTGGGCCGCAGCCAGACATGGGCGCGAGGCTCGTCTAACAGGGCTGGAGCCAGGCCCTGGCCCTGACCCGGACATCCTGGATGCCACACCACGCACACTGTCACCTCAGGTGGCACTGCTCATCCCCATGTAGAAGTATGGAATCCCTACCTAGGCCCTGTCCCACCCTGGAGACAGAAATGAGGCAGCCCCAGGTCAACCGAGAGACACCCCCAAACAGCTCCTTCCTCTGGCTCCAGACTGGGCCCTGTCCAGGTGACCGCACACATGGTCTGTAGTGCCGGACACAAGGGCAGATGGCCAAGACCACAGAGGCCACAGGAGCCCACAGAGCCGGCTGCCGCACTGCACAGCTACTACCGTGGGTCCCCAGAACAGCGGGCACCCCAAAGCAGGGCCCCTGCGTGGGCACAGGTGTCCCCCACACACTCTCATACATTGATGTCTACAAACGGCCACATCTGGGGCAACTTCACAATTGGATCGGGTTCCTGGGGCAAGATCCACTTGTCAGGAAAGCACAGACAATGGCAAAGCGGCTTCTCAGTGCCTGTCACGAGTGAGCATGGCCAGCACGCTCTCCAGAGCACATGGGAGAGTCTGGTGAGGGGCCCTTGGTCTCCAAGGTCACATGGCACCCGCTGGCCCTGTGGGCTCCTGGACTTCACTGGAAGTGACAGAGGTGGCTGGCAGGCGCTGGCCAAGGGCGCACCCGGCTGGGGTGTGGGAGCCACTCCTCGCAAGCCGCATGCCCGGGAGAGCACTCTCAGGAAGAGGTCCAGAATGAGCGGCAGCCTTCTGATTGCCAAGAGAAAGCGCCACCCGCTCAGCCCTGGCTGGGGCAGCTCGTTCCTGCCTTCCAGTCACCAGAAGCCCACAGCTGAGAGCCTGCAGAAAAGGAGATGCCCCCAGGCAGAAGGAGGCCAGAGAGCCCAGGGGATGCAGAGAGGGTGACTGCCTGGCCCGCCCACCCATGATGGGAGCAGAGTGCTCCTAGAACGGAGAGGAGACTGGCAGGGGCAAGGAGGTGGGAGGGAGCAGCCTTCAGCTGCACTCCAGATAGCATCCGCTGCCCTTTCTCAGCAGCTTACGCAATTTATAGCTGAGAAATGGCCCATGAGGTCGAAAATCACAATGACAGCTGCACCAAGGGGGATGTCAGCCCTGGGAGGGCGAGAAGAAGGGAGGTCTGGACTCAGGAGGCAGTTTTCTGGGGCCGCCAGGGCCTTGTCCATGGAAGGGCTCACAGCACCTGCCCACTGGGCAGCCCACATGGCTGGCGGCTCCTGGCACCCACGCTATGCTCTCAGCTGCCCCAGAAGCTAAGACTGTTAAACAAGGGGCACTGAAAAACCCCAGGTGACAGGAGAGCCCCATGTGTGAATTCTTCCCCACAGCTCCCTTCAGAGTAGACTCAGCCAGCTAGAGAACTCAAGGTGGAGGCTGCAGCGAGCGGGGAGAAACCCACGCTGTGTCTGCACTCACGCGAGTCCAAGACAGCCAGGGCAGGGCACTCTCGGGACTCCCAGAAGACCCCCAGGGCTTCCGCAGCAGCTGTGTCACGAGACATCTGCGGCACAGAGTGCCTAGGCTAGGCCGGGGACCTGCTCTCCTGACCACACACCAAGCCCGGCAGCCACCCGAGGGTGAACTGAGGGGAAGGGGACCGCACTGGGGCACGGACGCCAGGCACAGACACCGAATGGCTGGCTTTGTCAGAAGACTCTAGGCAAACCGTGGAATAAAACGCGAGGGAAGGGAAAGAGACTCGTTCACAGAGAACCTTCTAAGTGCCAGGCCTCGCATGACATTGGCGTGTGCTTCCCAGGCATCCCCCGACTTCAGCCAACAGGCCGCTGCAGGGCAGACCTGAACAGACGTGCACAGCCTCACCGGACCCTCCGCTACCAAGGAGGCCTTTGATTGGAACTCAAGGCTGCCTCCCTCTAAAGCACGGTCCTGTTGCAGAAAAAACAAATTTAGCCACCCCAGCCCAACACTTTGGGAGGCCTAGGTGAGAGGATCACTTGAGGTCAGAAGTTTGAGACCAGCCTGGGCAACATAAGGAGACCCCCCCACCCCATCTCAAAGAAATCTTCAAAATTATCTGGGCGTGGTGGTGTACCTGTGGCCCCAACTACTTGAGAGGCTGAGGTGGGAGAACTGCTTGGGGCCGGGAGTTCAAGGCGACGGAGCTATGGTTGCGCCACCGCACTCCAGCCTGGGTGACAGTGCGAGACCCTGACTCTCTAAATAAATCAATGATAGTTAAAGGAAACACAAATGTGCGTTTTAGGAACCAAACACACTGCCTTTGAACTTGGTTCCAGGACCCCCAAAAATGGCTTTTGAAGCAAGTAAGCCCCGAGGTAGGGATCGGCAACACTACCCAGAAAGGAACCACGCCCACATCAAGCTAAAGGTTGACCTGAAGGGGCGCTCTTACAGGGCCTGCCCAAAGAAGGGAGTAGCTGGATTCTGAGAACAGCCAGTCCAAGAGCAGCGCTCCAGCCAGCTCTGAATAACCAGGCTTCAGAACCCCTCGACTTCCTCAACTGGCACCCCCGAGACCTGTCCCTGCCCATTTTACTGATAAGGAAGCAAGCTCAACAGGATATTCATACAGGGTCCTGGCATCCGCTGATGGCGTTTTCGGATCTAGAAAAGAGACCCTGTACAAACACTGAAAAGTACCACTGGAGGTTCCAAGCCTCCCTAGAGTCCTGGAATACCACCTCTGTAGCGGCAGGGGCAGAGAAGGTTTTAAAAAAAAAAGCCGGGCGCGGTGGCTCACACCTGTAATCCCAGCACTTTGGGAGGCCAAGCAGGGCGGATCACAAGGTCAGGAGATCGAGACCATCCTGGCTAACATGGTGAAACCCCGTCTCTACTAAAAATACAAAAAATTAGCCGGGCGTGCTGGTGGGCGCCTGTAGTCCCAGCTACTTGGGAGGCTGAGGCAGGAGAATTGCTTAAACCTGGGTGGCAGAGGTTGCAGTGAGTCGAGATTGCGCCACTGCACTCCAGCCTGGGTGACAGAGCGAGACGCCGTCTCAAAACAAAACAAAACAAAACAAAACAAAAACAAAGAAACGTCTCAGGAGCCACCTGAGAAAAGCTGCTCTATGACTTCGGACAGTCAGGAGCACTGCATGGAGCCTTGGACGTCCACGTGGAGCCTCCATACTGTGCATCAGAGGCAGGGAAAACTGGAGTTGCCAAGCAAGTAAAACCCCGGCTGGAGTCGGGGAGAGACCACTCAGGACACACATGTCCATCGGCAACACAAATCAAAAGGAGACCACAGACCATGAGGAAGACGCAGTCTGGACTAGGAGGGGATGGGCAGATGGGGCAGGTTTCTGCAGGGAGAGCCACTGGTGCAGGGGTGAACATGGCCCCCTAAGCCCCGCACTTCCCCTCACACAGCAGCCAAGGCTATTTCTGTGCTGACCCCCGTGCTGGCAGCCTGGCTCTAGCCTTCACACGTGACTGTCCCCCAAGAGGGGACAGCAGCATGTGGAAGGGGAAAGAGCTTATTCCTACATGCCCGGCCCAGAGCGCAGCACAAGCCCATCCTGCCCTGGCTCACCTCCTGTTCCCAGGGGGGCACTGCCCTCCTAGTTCCCACAGCCCAGTCAGCAGAGGAGGAGGCAGAGGAGGAGAAAATGCCATCAAGTCTACCCCAAACCCACCCCTGCTCCTAGCAAGCTGGCCAACAAGCCTCACACCAAACAGGAAAGCACCCGAAACACAACAGCTTTCTTCCACGCCACCCTAGTAGGAGACAGTGATAGCCTCTCCTCCTAGTGCAAGGGGCCTCTCTGCCACAGCTGACCTGGAGGTGCCAACGTCCATGGGGCCTGGACAGGCTGTGGCGCTGCCAGCATGCAGAGAAGGACTGAAGCAAGCCAGGGCCATCGTAGCCCTGAAAGAAGTCCCAGGCAGTGCCACAGGGCTCGTACCCTCAGACAGTATGCCTTCCAAGCACAGCACAGCCCGTGGGCCAGGGGACATCCAGGAAGGAAGACAAGGGGGGCCAGGCTGGGGGTCAAGGGTCCTCCTGGGGTAAGGGTGATCAGAGACTGCCAGGAGGCCAAGAGCCAGGTGGAGGCCATGCAGAAGGAGCCACCTGGAGCCATCGGCGGTGGGGCTGGGGGCCGAGATTTCGGTATAAATTTAGAAGGCAGAGTAATGCACCACCGCACCTCCAAAACTGTCCATTTCAAGCTCAAGTCAAGCCAAACTCTGAACAATTAAAGTGGCTACTGGAGCCTGCCTAGTCATTCTCCCGGCCCCCAGCCACCACTGACTGCGGGAGGGCAGGGGCCTCCAGGGATCTCTGACCCCTCTCCCTCCTGATGCCTGCATTTCGCTCATCCAGGAAAACCCCTGGGCTGGGGGGCAGGTAGGACTTAAGAGCCCCCATCTATCATGCTGCTGAAAAAAGTGGAGGAGCCCCCACACTCACCTGCTCACAGCAAGGCGGTGGGGCGTGGACTGATGGTTAAAACAAACAAGAGCGCTCACGATCCCTCAGGAGCTCACAGGCTCAGAAAAGCCAGGGGATAGGTGAGACCCTGCCTCTCTGTCACTCTGCGCTCTCCCCACCCCCAGCTTCACAGAGCCCAGCAGGGCCCAGGCCGCCTAAGAACAGGGTGGTGGAGCCCTGCCAGGCCACGCTGCCCTTCTCTGGCTGGTATAAAAACCTTGGCTGCAAAATTTAGTCCAGGCTGAGTCCCTGAGTCCCACAGGAAGGAAGCTGGGAGCCCCACAAGGGAGGAGGAGTGGCCTGCGAGAGCACAACCCCCACCCCACGGCCCCCTGGAGCTGGCGAGAAGTCAGCCCGAAGCGCCCACTCGCCGGCTCCTGAGGACGCCTGGCTGTGGGGACCCTCTTGGTCACGGGCCTGACCCCGGGTGCTGCCATGGCCACCTGGCCTGCAGGGGCTCAAACAGAAAAACTGGAAATCAATGTTTTTGTCAGTATTTTTTTCCCCAAAAAATATTGAGATCAGTCGAGAAACAGCTTTTCCTTAGAAAAATGCCAGAGAGAAATGGAAACGTGCCCTGGCGCTCTGGAATGGGGTGGGGCGGTCCAGAGAAGGGCACAACCCCGAGAGACGCATGGAGGTGACTGGTGCCCTGCCCTCCCCCCTGCGCTCTGGAACAGTGCGGGGGGGGGGGGGGCGCCTCCAGAGACGGACCCAACCCCGAGAGACGCATGGAGGTGACTGTGCCCTGCCCGCCCCTCTGCGCTCTGGAACGGTGGGTGGGGGTCCCCAGAGACGGACACAACCCCGAGATATGCATGGAGGTGACTGGTGCCCTGCCCTCCCCCTCACAGCCCTCAGCAAAGCCACCCGCCATAGGCCTGCGGGAGAACGGGCACTCCTGATGTGCACGCAGGCAGCTCTGGGTGGGCAGGGCAGCTTCCTGGGCACACACCAGCTACACTGCAAAGGGTGTGGTCAAACGTCACTGCACAGACCCCCTTGAGGTGACAGTTCGAACAAACACCATCCTCCCTGTCCTGCTGTGGACGCTGGTGTGGGGTGCGCCTGGGACAGGGCTCTGGCCCGAGGTGTCTGGTAAAGCGGGTAACAGGGTGGACTCCAGAAGGCTGGGAGGAAGGCAACTGAAGACCCGGAAGCCCACTCCCAGGGGAAAAGGACACCGGGCGGGCAGGGGCTGCTCCTGCAGGGGCACATTCCCCTCTAATAGGAAACGCTGTTTTTGTCTGTGAAACTGGAGAAAATGCGTCACATGCGGGAGAACCCCACATTCCAAGGCAAGAGGAGAAACTACAGCGGGAGGCGCCACGGCCCACACTTCAGATTCCTCAAGTGGGGTCCGTGGCTGAGGCTGCGCAGGGAGGAGACACAGCACAGGGTGCCCTTGGGAGCAGAGGGGTGCCAACAGCTGTCCCCACACAGGGCGAGGCCTGGCCTGGCAGCCTGGTCCCTCATGCACAGTGAGTTCCACGCAGCCTCTGCACTGGCCACCCAGCCAACCCTGACCCAGCCTCGGGCCTCAGCCAGAGAATCCTCCTCAAACCCAAGTCACCAGGGCCTGCCTCTCCCTCTCAGGGTCATGCACGTGCCCCCTGAGGCCAGCCTTACCCCGGAGTCCTCAGCCCCAGGAGCCTCCAGACTGTTCCTCCCACCCCCAACATCATTACTGCCAGCCTTT
Organism: Homo sapiens; assembly: GCF_000001405.40. Lineage (NCBI taxonomy): Eukaryota > Metazoa > Chordata > Mammalia > Primates > Hominidae > Homo > Homo sapiens. The sequence goes on from NW_025791792.1 coordinate 243,661, forward strand.
GCCCAATGTCATCTAGGAGACCCCAGCTTCCACCTCAACCAGAGATGCCATCCGCTCTGTGTCCTGCTGGGTCCTAACAGTCCAACAGGAGCGGAAGCAGGAGTGCAGCAGTGATTTTCTGCTCTGTCCTGGGAGCTGAGAACAGGGGCAGTGCTGGCAGCTGGAACCTGAAAGCGTTTGAGTGAGTGAGCTGCTCATATACAAATAAGAATGTGTGCAAACCAATAAGAACAAAATGACCATCACCCCTCCCCAAAAAAAGGGGCAAAGAAAAAACCATTCACAGGCAGAAAATAACTACAAATGGTTAATAAACATAAGAAGATCAACTTGCCTAATTTAGAAGCAACTGAAGACAAGACCTTCCAATGACAGCCAGTGCCAGGCACCCCCAGCCGAGAAGCTCCTCAGAACATTGAGAATGTAAAATGGGAATTTATCTCAAGTATTCAAACTCGGAATGACTATGAATAATAAACCTGAATGAAGCATTGCTCATAAAAGAAAATGCTGGAAACTGCCTAACACTCGCAGGGTCTCCTTAGCAAGTCCTGCTATGCAGTCATCAAAGAGGGAGAAGAGCCCAGTGGGCAGGGACCTGGAGGTCAGCGCCAGGGCTGCGAGGCACCCGGGAGGTGAGAGCCAGGGCTGCGGGGGGGACCCGGGAGGTCAGAGCCAGGGCTGCGGCGGGGACCCGGGAGGTCAGAGCCAGGGCTGCGGGGGGGACCCGGGAGGTCAGAGCCAGGGCTGCGGGGGGGACCCGGGAGGTCAGAGCCAGGGCTGCGGGGGGGACCCGGGAGGTCAGAGCCAGGGCTGCGGGGGACCCGGGAGGTCAGAGCCAGGGCTGCAGGGGGACCCGGGAGGTCAGAGCCAGGGCTGCGGGGGGGACCCGGGAGGTCAGAGCCAGGGCTGCGGGGGGGACCCGGGAGGTCAGAGCCAGGGCTGCGGGGGACCCGGGAGGTCAGAGCCAGGGCTGCGGGGGACCCGGGAGGTCAGAGCCAGGGCTGCGGGGGACCCGGGAGGTCAGAGCCAGGGCTGCGGGGGACCCGGGAGGTCAGAGCCAGGGCTGTGGGGGGACCCGGGAGGTGAGAGCCAGGGCTGCGGGGGGACCCGGGAGGTGAGAGCCAGGGCTGCGGGGGGACCCGGGAGGTGAGAGCCAGGGCTGCGGGGGACCCGGGAGGTGAGAGCCAGGCTTGCCGGGGGACCCGGGAGGTCAGAGCCAGGCTTGCCGGGGGACCCGGAAGGTCAGAGCCAGGCTTGCTGGGGGACAGCTGGAAGGTACACACCTCCAGAGCTTTAGGGGTAAGCCTGTGTATTTTACTTTCTTTATATTTCTCCGAATTGTTGGAATTTTCCATGTTAAAATACATCATCACCACAATCAGAAGAAAAAAAAAATTTAATTTTGGGAAAAGTGAAAAGACCTCCAAAGAAAATGCCCAGAGGAGGCATTTTATTCTAGTTTCCAAATTTTCACTAATCTTCCTTTTATAATTGAAAAAAAAAAGTGCACTATCTACATTCTAACAGATTTTTGAGAAGTACATACAGGAAAACATTTCACAGTTTCCTAAAAACTTAAACACACACTCGATGATGCCTGCCTCACTACGCGCCTGGAGGCTTGTCTGCGAGGAATCAAAGGAATCTGGTAGTGATGGCTGAAAACTGGGTCCCAGATGCTCACTGCTGGGGAACAGGGACATCAGTCACCGAATCTGCACTAAGCTCCAAGAGGACCAACTGCCACACGCAGTGTGCTGACTCACCAGAGTGGGAAAACCACGCAGAAGATAGCGGGGCCACAGGGAGCATCCACCCCACATTCTAGAATGGAGAGAGCCACACAGAAGACAGCGGGGCCATGGGGAGCATCCGCCCCACATTCTAGAACAGGCAAAACCTCCAGCAGGACGAGGAGCTTTCCTGAGGATGGCACAGGCTGCAGGCACTGCCCACACAGACCTGTAGGTTCACCAAAACTTGCTGAATTGCATGCCTGAAATCACAGAATTCTGCCGTATGTAAACAACACCTTCAACACAGCTGCTTCCAGGTGTGGTAGCTCACGTCTGAAATCCCAGCACTTTAGGAGGCTGAGGCAGGAGGATCTCTTGAGCCTAGGTCAAGACCAGCCAAGGCAACACAGTGAGACCCCATCTCCACAAAAAAAATAAAAATTAGCCAGGCATGGTGGCGTGCACCTGTGGTCCCAGCTACTCAGGAGGCTGAGGCTCCTGGGATGTTTCTATCACTGGGAATCGTGACTTTTCACACTGCAGGGGATGAGCCTGGTGTGTCACCGGCCTTGCCTCCTGGGGCTGTCTGAAGCTGCTGGGCTTCTGGATGTGGCCCCCCCGTGGGTGTGCAAAATCCTGTATCATAAAAAAAACCAGCTGCTCACACGCACACTTCTCCAATTCAAGCAGAAGCTGCTGAAGCACAAACAAGGTGATGGCTGTGGAGATGGGCTGGGGGGCTGGGCGGCCACCCCCATCAGGTGGGCTCCTAGGTGGTTGGTACCACGGCCGGGACAACTCACTCCATCATTAGAACTTTCTTCAGGATGGAACACAGGGCTAGGGTTGAATTTTCCTCCGTTTTAAGAAGTAAACTAGTTTTCCCTCAAAGGGAAATGGTTTCCCCTCAAACTGTCTTTAACAAGTAGACACTGCACGTAGAACAAGGAAGAATGAAAAGCATGGGCGGGTACCATGAACACATGTGTGTGTCAGGACTGCAGGCAACAGGCACCCCTCCGCCAGTCTCAGGTAAGGCGCCGTCACTCTAGTTGCTTACACTGAAGCCAGGTGCAGCCTGTTCAGAATGTGGAAGACCCAAGATGGGCTTGAGGCAAGACAGGTGGCAGAGGTGGCCCCCCAGCGAAACACAGCTGGGGAAGAGCCCTGGGCCTCCCCGGCAGACTCCAAGTGGTTCCTGACGACCAGGGGCAAAGTCTCATCTCTGACTCCCCACTGCTGGCACAGCCACACACGGTGGTCCTGCTGCCCACTGCCCACTCTCTCCGCATCCTTAGACCCTTCCTCTCTCCTCACATTCGACCTCCTCAGAACTTCCTGAAGTGGGTGCTTGGGAAGTAACTCTTTCAGAACTCACACATCAGAAAATATTTTCATTCTACTCTTACATCATTGACAGGTTAACTGATGCTGAAGTCTACTCTGGAAATCCTTTTCTGACTGCATTTTGAAGACCATCTTCTACTTTCCAGGTTGGAATTCATATTCTGGTTCTCAGTACACTGTAGATAACCTGGTGCTACGCTCTGAATGTGTCCCCCAAAGGCATGTGCTGGAAACTGAACACCCAGTGCTGCAGCGCTAGGAGGTGGGGCCTGGTGGGGGGTGATTAGGGGTGGGGCTGGGAGGTGGGGCCTGGTGGGAGGTGATTAGGGGTGGGGCTGGGAGGTGGGGCCTGGTGGGCGGTGATTAGGGGTGGGGCTGGGAGGTGGGGCCTGGTGGGGGGTGATTAGGGGTGGGGCTGGGAGGTGGGGCCTGGTGGGCGGTGATTAGGGGTGGGGCTGGGAGGTGGGGCCTGGTGGGCGGTGATTAGGGGTGGGGCTGGGAGGTGGGGCCTGGTGGGGGGTGATTAGGGATGCGGGATGCTCTGCCCTAGGAATGGATTAATGTGATTCTGAAAGGGCTTGGGGCTGTGAGTTCCACCTCTTGCCCTTCCACCTCTCCCCACGAGGTGACACTGCACAAAGGCTCTTGCCAGACATGGGACCCTCCATCTTGGAATTCCAAACCTCCAAACTGTAAGAAATAAACCTCTGTTCTCTGTAAACCACTCAGTCTCAGGTATTGTTTCAGCGGCACAAACAGACGAAGGGGTTTTGTTTTGCTTTGTTCTTCTCTCTGGAAGTTGTAAAAATATGCTCTTTATCCCTGGTGTCTTCTGGTGTCGCCTTTTCATTCACTGCATTGGACACTGTGTGAGCCCATTTCATCTGTGAATTCATTTCTGGACAACTGTGGCGTTCCTTTGGTGATTTCCTCCCTTCTGTTTCCTGCTCTTCCTGGAACTCCTACCAAGCTACAGTGACCCCTGCCTGATGCTCGGTTTCCGTACCTTTGTGCTCCTGGTGTCCATGCCTGATACCCGCCCTGCGCAGTCGGCCTGCTGGGAAGGGCGCGCAGCACCATCTCCCACACCTCACTGGCTGTCCGATCCTCCTCTCTCAGGCACTCTTTGCTGTGCACCGGACGCTCCTTTCTGTACAAGTCTGCTCTTGCTACGTGGTCTTTACAACTCTGAGGAGACCCACGAACGCTATGCTTTACTCTTTGGTTTGGGCTGGCTTCCTGCTTTTTCATCTGCTTTGGTCTATCTGGTGACCCCTGCCCCCTCACATCACATGTGGCAGGAGGCACTGCAAAGCTCACTGATGGCTCTAGGTGCACGGAGGGGGCTTCGCTGGGGGAGTCTGGCTGTATTCAACACCTTTCCAGCATCACAGGAAACGACTTACCAGATTGAAGGGACTCACCCAGCATCCACGTCATTGAATGCAGAGGCCACATCAGGGAACACACTGACATTTCAGAACACTAAGGGACATGGGTGGCCCCTCCTCCCCACTCCCAGTGCCCAAGGGTTTTTTCTCTTGGCTGAGGAGACTCCCATTCTCTGCTGGAGGGTGGACCTCAGCTGCTGGGGTCCTGAGGACCCGGTGTGGGAGGGGCAGAAGGGGACCTCCCTGGTGGATGTGGAAAGCTGTCAAGGCTTCATGTGCAGGATGATGCCCTCCACTACGCCTGGGTCTCAGCGGACAGTGCTATGATCCCACGTGCTCGGACTAATCCTCCAGACACAGATCAGACATGAATGGGGTGTCCAGCTGCTTCTAAACACACCTCCAGCCTCCAGACCAGCTCTGCTGTCTTCAGCTCCACCATCCAAGGGGCTCCCAGACTCCATGGGAGCCATCCACAGTTTCTCAGTGAAAACACTTCCCCTGCTGGTCAGATTTCAGCTTTCCTGAGTTTGCGTTCATTCCACCCGACCCTCAGCTTTCCAACTTCCAAAATGTGTCTGCTCTCGTCTCCTCTGCACTCTCTGCTCCTGCAGATTTCTGCCTCTCCGAAACTCCCTGGGCGCTTATCCAAGTGGGGTCGAGAAGCAGGGCCAGCACAGAGGCTCACTGGTGCTCATCAGCCAGAGCCCTGTCTCTCTGCTCTTCAGCATCCTAGTGGGACGGGAGCACCCAGGGAACACAAGTGCACCATGACGCGGAGCCCTTCATCACCGCAGGCCACGGCGCTTGTCCTTCCCAGAGGCCCCCAACCACAGCTGCTGAGCGACACCCACACCGCTTCTCTCTTCACACAGCGGACTGATGAGGAGTCCCGCCAAGCAGGAGCTCTGAGCCACAGCACAGAGTGTGCTGGCCCAAGTCCACGCCTGCATGCAAGCTCAGCCATGCGTCTAATGGCAATAACCGTGGAATGAGCTCGTGAGGTTCGGAGAGTCCCACCCCGACGGGGAGAGCCACAGGGAGCCCCAATCTCGGCAGTGACCGGCTCCAGGTCCCCACGTACCGTGAGAGTGGGGACAGCGGTGGACAGCAGCCCTTGAGCAGGGCACAACCTTCAGAGAGACCTCGACAAGTGAACACTTAAACCAAGGTCGACCCTGGGGGAAACGCAGACCTCCTCCCAGTGCCCCCTTCAGAAAAGGTACTCAAACACTGGCTCCCATCATGAGCTGGGCACGGAACCAGGCATGGGTACTACCTGCCTCCAGGGCTTGGAGCTCGGGAGGGGAACCAATCCCGGGCCCTCGACCTGGGAGGTGCCAGAAGGCCCTCACACAAGACTCCAGCACTAGGGTGGGGAGGTTAAAGTAAACAGGACAGAGGGGTTCAACTAAGACAATACCTTTGCTCACGGTCAGAGGCGAAGGCACTGATGCCAGCCGGCGCCGACTCAGGTGAGCACACAAGCTCTCCCGCCGCGGCTGCACCACATGCCTGATAAAGGGACAGCCCTGGATGTCTAGTTCCTCAGGCACGTGTGCACACATGTGTGCTGCGTAGCACTGGCACCCCATTCCTGTTCTGCCCCAGGTAGCTGGTGCATTCCCCGGTGCTCACCGGCTCGACCCCCCAGCAACACGAGAGACCTCACAGAGGGAGTCACACTAACGTGGTCGGGGCTCCAGAGCGAAACCCCAACCACTATGCTCACAGCCAGGACCGAGCAGGCTGGGCCAACGGCAGTCCCTGCCCAGCGCCCGGCTCCCTCCGAGTGGCCAGCAGCGCCCTCTGGTGGAGACTGGCTCGGCCTCCGCGGCACTGCATTCCCACGGCAGTGGTCCATCTAGTCCCCAAGTCCTAGAGGAGGCCCCTCTCTCTCCCTCAGCCCTGGCAGGGTCCTTGGCGCCCATTCTCCACACCTGCACTCCTTGGCCCTCCAGGAATTACCGGCCTCAGGGGCGCTCCTGGAAGCAGAGAAGGGGATCTGCCTGGACCTTCCTCAGAGGCACAGCCTTCACAGAGGCACGAGGGGCTTTGGAGCAGAGGAGGCTGCCACTTATCAGCCAGACGGCCTGGGCTCAATTCCCAGCTGCAGGGCCCTGGCCAGTGACATCACCTCTCTGCATTTTCCCACCTATAAAATGGGAATGCTGACCTCCAGCATGTCCTGAGCAGGTAGAAGATTGTGGCCCTCCCCGGGGAATCCAACACCAGCCCCTGGACACCCCTGGATGCTCCTGGGCATGGCAAGACCAGCAAAGTCACCTCCCAGCTGCCCAAAAGGAGTGTCCACACCAACAGGGGCAGCAGTGACCCGAGTGCTTCTGAACACACCATTTGGGCAATCATCTTCAAAATTAACAGAACCAAGGTGACGAGAAAAAAGGCACTTCTATGGCAAGCTCTGCTCCGAGTGGCCATGAAGAAGCTGAATCTTCTAGCTGTGCAAACAGAAGGTGCCAAGTACTGGCTGCTTTCTAGGTCTCTCTAGGTCTGACTGTCATCCCCCTCCTATCAGCCCCAGGGCAGTACCCAAAACACCCACTGCTCAGCGGTGGCCACATGAATCAGAAGCACGGCATCCTGAGGCCATGGTAAGCAAATCACAGGAGACGGCTGGTAATGAGGACACGAAATATGCTCGGCCTCACCAATAAACAGAGCAGCCTGATGCATGTGAAACCACATGCCGCTGATGGAGTGGGGGGCAGGGAAAGACTGGCACCCGCCCTGTAGGGGAAGGGGACAGTTAGACAGTGGTGAAACCTCCACATGCCACTGATGGAGCGGGGGGCAGGGAAAGAGTGGCACCTGCCCTGTAGGGGAAGGGGACACTTAGACAGTGGTGAAACCTATCAGGCCAGAGGGGGAACGGGTGCCCGTTCTTAGACACAAGCAAGGGAGAGACGAGCCAGTGCGGGCCCTGCTGCTTGAGCACTGCACGGTGGGGTGGAGTGGACCGCCACAAACAGGCAGAAAGGAGAGAGAAATCGGAGTCCAGTCCTGTTTGCAGCAGGGCTGCGTTCAAATGCAGAGCCTGCAGGGGATGCCGTTAGGCAGGATCCAGAACAGAGGAGGAACCCATTTTTGTTTCAGACAAAGAAAGGAAGACAGGCATGTCCCGGTCTAGCACACAGGCCCCTGTGGGGAGGGATGGAGGCTTCAGTGCTACTTTTCACCACTGTAAGGTGAAGCATGTGACTTTACTTTTATAGTCTCTCTTCCAACGATGAAGAAAAACATTACATAAACCAAAAAATAAAACACAGAGCCACAACAAGCCCCCCCAGGACAGTTGGGCCAGTGCCCAGCCTCTGTGGCCCCCGTTCCAGGACGACCCCAGGCTCACTGGAGAGGATGCAAAGGGCAGAGAGTGCCCAGGGGCCAGGCTGCCCGGCCCCACCTCCCCGGCCAGCAGCACTCTCCGGCCCTCCAGAGCCACAATGGGTACACGCTACCCTCATGTGCCGGCTCCACCCCCTCACCTTCTGGGGGTTCAACCCCCTGCCTCTCCTTCTCCACCACCCTCCGCCATGCCACAAACAGCTCTGGCTGAGGCCACCCTCAGCTGGCCGTGTCCTCAATTCCCATCCCTGTAACACAGGGCAGGCACCTGTGGAGGCTGATCATGGCCTCCCCTGCAGCCACCCGTCACAGCTCCTTCCAGCTCCTTCTCTCTCGCACCAGCTCTTCCTGTTGTCACCGCTACCCCCACCTCTGGCTCCCCCAGGCAGCACGCTCAGGGTATACCAGACAGCTCACCTCCAGTTCACTGTGTCCAGAGATGTCTGACACAGGTACCGTGTCTGCCTCTGAGAGGCGCCCCCAACGCCTGCCATCTCTCCACAGACGATGCCCCACCACAACTGCTCAGGGACTCCCGGCCGCCATCTCCACCACCTCCCTCCCCAGAGTGAGGCTTGTCAATTCCCTCCGTTATCGGCCAGAGCACCCTGGAAGGGGGTCGAGCACAGCTGGGCCAGACGCAACTCCCACCTCTCAGTTCTTCAGGCAGGCTCCTATCACTTTGTCCCTCCATTTTGCCACCTACATAACAGGGTCACGGTAAGCGCCCTGCAGGGTGTGGCGGTGAGCAGGGGGACAGTCGGAACTCCAGGGCTGGTCACGGCAGCACCTGTGCCAGCACTGTGCCCACTGTGACTCTGCCTGATGTCACAGCTATAGGCCTAACTAGCCACATAACCACAGAGAAAGGAGGTGGCTGAGAAACAAGGGTCTGGGGACAGTAGGAAGATGCTGCCTGCTCTGACAGACACCCCCCACCCCACCCGCTGCCCCGATGGAGCCCACTTGGCCATATTTGACAACCCCAGACAGGATGCAGAGGGACACTGCCCTCCATGACTCACCTCAAAGAGCTCACTTGGAAGGGGAAAGGAAGGGCCATGAAAGGGTGAAACGCAATGGCTTCTCCCTCCCGTCCTACTGTGTGTCCGCAGCGGTTACTCCGCAGAGCCGCCAGGTACAACAGTCAAGACATGGGAAAACCTCAACGCCCAATGATGGATCAAGGGATGGGGAAAGTGTGGTGCACACGCTCCGTGGTGACCCCCGCGAGACTGGCCTGCGCACAGGGACGGCTTCACGCGTGTGACAGCAGGGGAGCAGGACCTCCGGGCCAGACAAGCCTGCGGGGAGCTGGGCCCCCGTGGTCCCTGGAGCCGCCTGCCTAGGGCTCGTCTGCACAGCCAGCCGGGCCACCCTTTGTCTCTGCAGCAATGGTTCCGGGTAGAACCCAAGAACGTGCATTTCTAACAAGGTCCCAAGCAACCCACTGTTAAGTTTCACCTACAGCTGCCTCCTTACATATTTTAAGTTCCACCTAAAGGTTTCTTTGTACATCGTGAACTATGACAAGTACAGGTGTAAACAGATCATAGCCTATACTTGTGCCAATCACCAAGTTTTGGCCAATCATATGTAGGTAACTGTTCGAGCTGTGTTCAAATAAGGCAAATGCCGAGCGTAACCAATCGGCTGTTTCTATGCCTTACTTCCGTTTTCCGTAGGTCACTTTCCCTTTCCATAAATCTTCCCCCACAGGGCTGCTCTGGAGTCTATGAGCCTACTCTGGCTCAAGAGGCTGTCAATCCAAGAATCGTTTGTTGTTCAATTAAAGACCTTTACATTAAGTTTTTCTTTTATCACTGCCCTTGCTGGTGCCCACACCCCACCTGGGGAACCATTGCCCTACAGCGCCAGGCACACACCTGGCCTCTCTGCACCTCCATTCTGGGGCAGAGATGCAATGGGGACCAAGTGGGGCCGTGTGCACCCAGTTCTCAGCGGCACGGTGCCGGCACGCAGCAGACTCCCCTTGAGGGTGAGTGAGTGTAGCAGAGGGACTTCGATGCATGCTCTGCAGGGTCCTCCACACACCCCCAGCACACATCCATCCACTGGACACCTGCCCCAGGACTGCCCTGGGACTCCGAACCCAAGAACTCACTGCCCCTGCCTCCCAGGGAAGGCCAGCAAGTGAAGGAACGAAGGCCAGGATGGAAAGGAACAACAGATGTTTCCAGCAAATGCTACCATGGACAGAAACCCAGCATGCTACAGGGGAGCAGGAGGCTGGGGTGTGAATCTGGGTCATTTCTGGGCAGCCCCTGGCCACCCAGGCAGAAGCACAGGAAACAGACTGCGGTGCTGACCAGAGATGCAGGACACGGAACAGAGCGGTAAGCTTTACACCAGTGAGGACGGCGAGTGCTGGAAACCCGGAGGCATTCTAGTTGTCATCACAAGGGGGGACACCAGGAGACCGTGTCCACAATAACACACAGTGGGCTTTATAAGAAGTTACCCCAAAATCAGGTGTTCAGGATAAGGCTGTGCTGGAAAAGGAAGCTCAGATGGAATCAAGAGTGTCCAGAAATCACCAGCTGCCTCACTTGACACAAGCTGTCTGCTCAACAGACTTTAGAATTCCCAACCTCATAATTAGTCAAAAGGGATTTTAATGCAACCATTCAGTAATATGAAATCAAGAACTATGACTGCAAAGGAGATTGAATGTTCCTTTTAAACAACGTAAAACTAAATACTATTGAATCAGTGGAGAAATGAAAAACAGAGTCTTGCTAATTTTCATTAATGGAGACTGCTTTAAGTCTTTCAGTTTATGACCAGCCTAGGCAAGACGGCAAGACTCTGCCTCTATAAAAAAATTTTTTTCAAAATTCGTGGGGCACGGTGGTGCGCACCTGTGGTCCCAGCTACTCAGGAGGCTGAGGCAGGAGGATCTGTTAAACCCAGGAGGTCAAGGCAGCAGTGAGCTGTGATTGCACCACCGCACTCCAGCCTGGTCTCTAAACAAAAAATAAAAACCAAAACAAAAAAACTATTTCGGTAAGAAATCTAGGCTGTAACAAGGCCATGTGGGGACTGCCCACTGTTTCTGCAGCTCACTCTGCGGGCCCGGGGTCAGATCCCCAGTTTCTCAGGGTCGTGTTCTGTTCCCTTTGCTCATCTCTCCTCCAGTCCCCAGGGAAGGGCTTGGTCTCCACGGCGTCAGGAACTAGACTGTGAACTTGCACGTCAATACTGAGAGTGGGGCTTCCAGAGAGCAGCCGTGCTTGCTGCCCTGCCCCTCTCAGGCTGCAGCCCAGGGAGATGCCACTGAGACGCTGGCCATCGGGCTGGCCACCCCCGGGCTCCCTCCATCCTCACGGTCCTGCTCTGTGCTGGCAGTTTCCACTGAAGTCCCCCTCCCAGTATGCAGCAAGCCTGATCTGCTATCACTCGCTCACACCATGCCTCCGTGTCTCCCCCACATCTCACATGAAGTAACTTCTGAGCCTGTTTCAAAGTTTATCCTGAACAGGGCGGGCAGTCTGGCCCCTTCACCATCTCTTTCTGTGTGGGTGCACCGAGGTGTCTCCCTGCAGAAGTGCATTCTATCCTATGCTGGGGTAAAGATGCAAGTCACTCTCAAACTGCTGAGAAAAGACCCACGTGCAGGTACTGAGAGAGAGAAAACGGCAAGGCAGATGTGGCAGAAACGCTGACACTGGCCAATCTGGGAGAAGGTATGCAGGAATTATTCACACTACTTTGGCAACTTCTAACTTTGAAATTATGTAAAAATTTAAAAATATAAACGTCAGAAGCAGCTGGGGCCAGGAGGTGGCAGATACCCTCGAGGGAGCAGCAGTGCATCTGACAGCCGCTTCTCCACAGCAACGCCGGAAGCCGGAGGTCGGCGGCCTCACGTCGAAAGAGGGCTGAAAGCAAGCCAACCAAGAACACGACACACAGCGAAAAGCTCTGCCAAGAATGAAGGACAACTGAAGGCATTTTCAGACAGAGACTGAGAGGGCGCCCCCAGCAGAGTCACCTGAAAGAAAATCCAAGAAAGCTCAAGGCTGCAGCACAAGCAGAGGAAAACTGGTCACAGACGCAAAAGGACAAACCCAGAAGGACAAAGGAGGAAGGAGAGGGTACAGCCAAAGAGATGGAGCACAAAACCAGCCAACCTAAATAAATACCAGCGTACAAGTAGCATGTGGGGGTCCGAAGTGTACAGAATTTAAAACACAGCAGTAGCATGTGGGGGTCCGAAGTGTACAGAATTTAAAACACAGCAAGTGCTCACAACTCAAGAGGGGAAGTACCCAGAAGCGGTCTAGTATCTTGGGTACTTCGGGGAGGCGGATAAAGCTGTTAATCAACATCAGACCCTGGAGGTTTAGCGTGTGCTGTAAGAAAACCACTAAAGGAGGGTGTGCACGGTGGCTCACAGTGTAATCCCAGCACTTTGGAAGGTGAAGGTGGGTGGATGGCTTGAGGCCAGGAGTCTGAGACCATCCTGGACAACACAGTGAGACCCTGCTTCTACAAAAAATCAAATAAAATAAAGTACCTAACTTCCAAGGCAATTTGAAAGAAGGATAATTAAAAAATAAAAAGAAGAAATTCAAACAAAGCATGGGAAGATGAAAAGCACAAGATGGGAGTTCCACACAGCAGCGAGCACACCAGGTGGAAAGGGTTAGCAAGGCGCCCTGACACCCGCTCTAGTGGCGCGGTGCTCACTAGACACCCGCTGTCACGTGCAGTGCGTCTAAGGCTTGGGGTTTTCCCGGGCTCACCCCAGGGGAGACGTGGTCAAGGGCTCTTTCCCAGGGCTCGGGGCCGTTTGCACGTCCTTCTTCATGAGGCATCTGTTCAAGCCTCTGCCCATCTTCTACGGGACGAGCTGTTTCTTGTTCTTTGTTGGAGCCCGTGGGGAAGTCTGGATCTGAGCTCCGGTAAGTTCTAGGTATGGTAAATTCCCCCTGCAAAAGTTGCTTTCTTTTTTTTTTGAAACAGAGTCCTGCTCTGTGGCCCAGGCTGGAGTACAGTGGTGAGATCATGGCTCACCGCAGCCCCGACCTCCTGGGCTCAAGGGATCCTCCCACCTCAGTCCCCCTGAGTAGCGGATGCCACCACGTCCAGTTAATTTATTTTTATTTATTTATTTATTTATGAGGTCTCACTATGTTGCCCAGCCTGGTCCTGAACTCCTGGGCTCAAGCAGTCCTCCAGCCTCGGCCCCTCAAAGTGCAGGGATTATAGGTGTGAGCCACGGTCCCCGGCCAGCCTTTTCAGTTTTTGAGGAATATCTTTGATAAACAGAGCTGCTTAATTTTAATGTAAACCAAATTATCTATCTTTTCCTTTATGATGAGTACTTTTTAGTCCTGTTTAAAAAAACTTTTCTTAACCCATGGGTCAAGAATAGCATCTTCTATAACAGTGCTGTTCAAGAGAAATATAACACAAGCCATAATCTGAGCCATGGATATAATTTTAAATGTTCTAATGGCCCCATTGAAAAGTAAAAGAAACAGCCAAGATTAATTTTATTTAACCCAACAGATGTAAAATATTTTCGACTTACAATCAATACAGAAAATACAAGGTGCCACTGTATTTTTTTCAGTCTAGCGTATTTTACACTCAGCACATCTCTAGCGCTGCCAAGCTACATGGCTGGAGGCCGTGCTGGACAGCAGTTCCAGAACCTTCTACACTTAGACCTACATTCTACTGGGCTCAATTATTCTTTGTAGGGTGTGAGGTACAGGCCAAGGTTTTTTTAAATATGGCTATCTGGTTGGCCAGCATGACTTATGAAAAAGACTGGCTATCTGTGCCATCTCTTTTTCCCTGTCTTGATCACTCTTGCCAGATTTTCCACTATATTCCTGTTTTCAAAGAATCCAACTCTGGCCTCGATGACTATATCTGTGGGAGACTGACTTTCTGCTTTGTTAACTTCTGCTCCAGCCTCATTTCCCTCCATCCACCGTCTCTGAGCCCAGCTACTGCTCCGAGAGTGACGAGTACCTGAGGGCTGTGAACCGCTCCTGGCCGGTGTGCACCCTGCAAGTCTCAGCATGGCATATTTTTGTTATCTTTCAGCTAAAAAGTATGTTGTAATTTCCATTACAAATTCTTCTTTGTCCCACTGGTTACTTGGAAGTGTGCTTCCTAATTTCTAAATACTAGGAGTATCACTTTGCTGATTTCTAGTTTAACTCCACTTGGGTCAAGAGCACACTCCAGAGGAATTCAATTCACCGAGATAAGCGGAGGTTTTGGTCAACGTTCCATCAGCGTGTAAAGGGGGCACACAGCCTGTCAGGGGTGGGTTCCCTATTCTTCCTGTCAGGTGAAATGTGTGAATCTGGCTTTGAAATCTTCATGCTGACTTGTGAGTACAGCTGAGCTGCTGGGACAAAGGCCCACCATCCCAGGCCCCAAGTCCTTCCCTGGTGTTAGCCCAGGGCAGGGGTCAAACTTCACCCTCCAACACCTTCCTGGGGCCCCAGCCATGGGGCAGCCCTGTTCTCACCAAGGGCTGTCGAGGAGCCGCAGGAAGGCAGGAAGAAGAGGAAGGACAAGCATCTTCCAGACGGTGACTAGAAAGCTCCACCTGCCCCCACCTATGTCTCAGTCCTGAAGCTCAGGACACAAGGGAGGCTGGAGTTCAAGTGCCTGAGAGCCCACAGCCAGAGAAGCTTGCACGGGGTCAGAAAGACAGACGGGAGTCAGCAGGTCACAGCCCTGTGCCCACAACAGGTGGCAGGAAAGAAGCTCAGAGACCTGACAACAGCCACAGCAAGGACATGTGTGCACACAGGCCAGGTGTCTCGGCAGAACTGCAGACACTGGAGGGCCAGCCAGGCTGAAGTGCACATGGGCCACACAGGGTGGGGCTGGAGAGAGACAGGGGACTTCACCCCACAGGCAATGGGGGTCCACCAAAGTGCCTTGTATATAGGAGGATGACATGTGGATCCTCTCAGGTGGCTGTGTGGAGCATGAGTCAAAGATAAGGACATACATCCCCGCCACCGCCAGGTGCCTATGGCTATAAGAGCCTAGGCCTCAGCCCAGGGAACTGCGGGCTTGCTTAGGGAATCCAGCAAAACCCTCACAGCCTTCTGGATGGAGCCCCATGGCATGGATGGCGAGGCGTGAGGGGAGGCAGGACGTGGCCTTCCTGAGCAGCAGGCTCGAGGCACGGGACACACAGGCCACCACCACAACTTCAGGCTCTGTAACAGGGACCTACCCACGCAAAAGGTCCTTATCTGAAAGGGCTCCATCCTCACCCTAGAGCCCTCCACACGTCATTTTGGGGGACATTTTATTTATTTTATTTTTTATTTTTTTGAGATGGAGTCTTGCTCTTGTCGCCCGGGCTGGAGTGCAGTGGCACATCTTGGCTCACTCCAACTTCTGCCTCCTCGGTTCAAGCAATTCTCTTTCCTCAGCCTCCCGAGTAGCTGGGATTACAGGCGCATGCCACCACGCCTGGCTAATTTTTTGTAATTTCAGTAGAGACGGGGTTTCATCATGTTGGCCAGGATGGTCTCAAACCCCTGACCTCAGGTGGATCCACCCATCTCGGCCTCCGAAATTGCAGGGATTACAGGTGTGAGCCACCGGGTCCCATTTCATTATTTTGATTAGAAATGAAATGACCTGCCCAGGCGCGGTGGCTCACGCCTATAATCCCAGCACTCTGGGAGGCTGAGGCGGGCGGATCACCTGAGCTGATCCCCAGCCTGCTGGGGAAGGGGAAGGAAGGTGGCCACAGGCCCCAGCATAGTACAGACTGACGCCCTTGAAGTCCACACTGCACCGTGGGCCCAGACAGAACAGGCCTCCCGCCCCGCCCTCACAGAGGTGCCTCGTGGACAGCCACTGCATGGCATAGCAAGTCCCTGGACCCAGGCCTGTCCAGACCCTCGTGGGAGTGGGATATGAGCTCCACAAACGTTTCGGGGGGCACCCAGGCCCCAAGTCCCTGTTCCACCACCAGGGCAGCTCAGGAGCCAGGACACTTAGCTAGTGAACCCTGGGACCTGCTGCACTCCGGGGGACACTGAAGAGCTCGGGAGCCGACAAACCACAAATGCTGCTACTTAGAACCTGTGTGTCCAACAAGGAGAAGACAGCAAAGGAGGGAAGACTGCTGGGCAGGAGAGCACCCGAGACACCACCACTCCTACCAAGAAGTCTCTGAGGACAACTGTGGGCCAGGATCCTGCGTCGTCAGCACAGAGCTGCCTTCGGTCTGCCTTGGAGTAAGGGCCTCGGAGAGGCACGGGGTCACAGAAAACAACACTTTTATTTTCACATGAATTATAAATACCCAGGAACCCTCACACAATTCAGCTTGGCCCAGCACTTCTTCAGCCAAAAAGGTAGGAGGCCTTCCCAGCAGGAATAACAGAATGTACTTGAAGATAAAGGTTTTAATGAAAAAGGGTTTCTAAACCTCCTGACAGTGGCCACCTCCAGAAAAGCCCCTGGGTCTCCACACTCACAGTGCAGGAGTGAATGTCAAAAAGCACTCCCAAGGCAGGGCACAGTGGCTCACGCCTGTGATCCCAGCACTGTGGGAGGCCAAGGTGGGCAGACTGCTTGAGGCCAGGAGTTCAAGACCAGCCTGGCCAACACAGTGAAAACCCATCTCTACTAAAAATAGAAAAATTTGGCCAGGCGCGGGTGTCTCACACCTGTAATCCCAGCACTTTGGGAGGCCAAGGCGGGCGGATCACCTGAGGTCAGGAGTTCGAGACCAGCCTGGCCAACATGGCGAAATCCTGTCTCCACTAAAAATACAAAAATTAGCTAGGTGTGGAGTACGCCTGTAATCCCAGCTACTAGGGAGGCTGAGACAGGAGAATCGCTTGAATTCGGGAGGCGGAGACTGCAGTGAGCCGAGATCGCGACACAGCACTCCAGCCTGGGCAACAAGAGCAAAACTCCATCCAAAAAAAAAAAAAATTACACTGGCCTGGTGGCATGTGCCTATAATCCCAGCTACTCAGCAGGCTGAGGCATGGGAATCGTTTGAACCTGGGAGGCAGGCGGAGGTTACAGTGAGCCATGATTATGCCACTGCACTCCAGCCTGGATGACAGAGCAAGACCCTGTCTCAGGGGAAAAAAAAAAAAGCATTCCCAAGACCCCAAGCACGAGAGGAAGCAAATCCCTTCTGTGCATCCCAACGCAGAGCTCATCTCAGAAAGCTCTGCGTCCAGGTGTCCAGGAGGCAGCCAGCTGGCCAGGCAGAGGCATACCCTGGGTGGTCAGACCCATCCAGCGCCTGCTCCCTGCCCTGGGCACGCCAGGTACAGCAGGGGTACGTGTGGGTCTGTGGAGAAGATGAAGCCTGCCCTGAAGCAGTATTTGTTACACATTTATGAAGGCAAGGAGGACACAGGAAACTGTTCAGCAGAAAACGCTGCTGTCACGAAGGGAGAGATAGCCAGCTTTGGGAAATGAAGGTGCCCACTCTGCCCTCAAGGAAGCAGCAAGCCTCAACTGCACACCCGCCACACAGCTACCCACCAGCCCCAGGCAGTCTCAGGCCACACATCCCAGAGGCCCCGTGGCATGAAAAGAGGATCTCTGAGGGCATAATACCCGACTCCCCGGTGGGGAGTAAAATCACCTCTGGAGCACAGCCGGGCAGACACCAGGCCTGCACCCCCGTCGGCACTGGGGGTGGTGCCTGTGGACCATCGGCGGCTTTAAATTCTCTTGGCTGCTCCCGTTCCACCATCCCCTCTGACAGCTAAGAACAGGCTGAGGGCGGGCAACGGGAGTAGGAATTGGGTGGGAACAGCGGGTGGCAGCGGCCGGGCAGTGGCAACTACAGGTCACACAGTCAACCACGGTTCCCTTGCTCAGAGCCTGTAACTACTGCCATCCACTGAGCTTCCAAGAGGGCCTCAGACTTTACCTGGGGCTTCCTGAATTCACCTGGTTGTCTGGGAGGACTAGTGTTTCTTGAGAGACGGTGAGAAACATGGCCCTAAGCCCTCTGCGTGGCCCCGTGCCCACTGCCGTCTCCATGCTCTGAGGAGCCTCAGTGACTAAACGTGGTCCCAACCTGTACCAGGCCATACCAAAGTCCTGAACAGGTCAGTGGTGTCAGGTGCCAGCGTGGCCTGGATTTCTTCCTGACAGAGGAACTAACCAGCGCACAGCTCCAGCCACTCAGAAAGGAGGCAGGTGGGAGGCTGTAAAAGAAAGTAAGGGACAGGCCTGGCATGGTGGCTCACGCCTATAATCCCAGCACTTTGGGAGGCCGAGGCGGGTGGATCACGAGGTCAGGAGTTCAAGACCAGCCTGACCAACCTGGTGAAATCCCGTCTCTACTAAAAATACAAAAAGAAAAAAAAAAAAAAAGCCAGTTGTGGTGGCGGGCGCCTGTAATCCCAGCTACTGGGGAGGCTGAGGCAGGAGCCAGGAGGCAGAGGTTGCAGTGAGCTGAGATCGCACCACTGCACTCCAGCCTGGGCAACAGAGTGAGACTCCGTCTCAAAAAAAAAAATAAAATAAAATAAAAAATAAAAAGTAAGGGATGGTGAAAAGAAGAGCATCCCTCAGGCGCCAGCCAAGGGCAGGAGCGGGCCCAGGGCCAGCAGGTGCCCAAGGCTTCCTGGCACTCGCCCTCCCAGGCTGCCCCCTGGCCCCCAGCTCCCCCGGCCCCCGGCTCTCCCTGGCCCTCTGGGCTGGCTCGCAGTGTACCTGTCCTCTGCCCCTCTGCAGGCCAGGGGAGTCGTGGAGACACTGCCTCGGGCTCCAGCACTTCCCATCGTTTCCGCCTGGGCTTTTACTTTTCTCTTTAAGAACAAGCTCTAAAATCTTAACACTCAAGATTAATACCCTTAAAGAGAACCCATGCCAGTCATAAGAAAACTGGACCAGTTCAAGACAAAGTAGGCAAAGACCAAGCAGATAATGGCATGGCCCACCGTGCATAGAAGCATCGGCCATATCAGCCCTCCTGCAGTAAACACGGACTAAACCTTGGCACCGCTCTCTGCCTGTCAACGTGGCAAAGATCTTCTTCAGAAAAGACCAACACAAGTGGCGGGCACCGACCTGTGGAAACACCAGCACTGGCACCACGCTCCCTTCCCAGGGACTTGGGAAGCATCACACAACCTGGGAACGTCCCCATTCCCACCGGCAGGGGAGCAGTGGACAACTCCCCTGGGTAGCAAGAGTCCCACTACAGAGTGAGGCTGGTTTTAATGTTAAGTACAGACTATCGCTGGGTGGTAGGAGGATTTGCTTTTGATTTTCTGGGTTTTTTTTCCTGTATTTTGTGTCTCTACAATGGACATGTAACACCAAGTCCCAGGTGAGCAGGGATGTGTCCTTCCTCCTAAGGTCCCCCCACCCCCGCAGGACAAGGCACATAGGACACCAGCAGGGTCCAATGGGTGCTGGGAAGATGAATGGCTGCTGAGCACAACAACCTGAGGCCAGGCCCTGCGGAGCCAGAGGCAGGTGCGGGTCAGCCCCACCCTCAGCACCACTCCTGGACTCCACCAGCCAGCGCTACCCACTGTTACAAAAGCATCAACCCAGAGGGAGCTGCGGTGACAGGGAAGGGTCCCGCTGTCCCTGCCCGCGGTTCCCTCTACCCACCCTGTGGGGCCAGAAACCCGGCTCAGTAAACCTCACCTCCCATGCACCTTTCCTTCCCTGTTGGAGACCACTGGGCCCATGCTGAGGTCCCGTTTGCTGAGTCAGAGAATGGCACTTGGGAAGCCCTGTGGGGTCTGTCTTGCTGAGTAGCCAAGGAACCCACCCAGGGCTGGTAAGACCACTGCCAGTGCAGAGAGACGTCTGGTGAAGGGGCGTGCAGTGCCTCCACAGAGAAGCCTGACCAAACACGAGAAAGGACAAAAGCCCACAAACAGCGGCTTCTGAAAACACCGCGGACACAGCCACACAGGAGCAGCTTATCTGCTCGTAGCCTGTTTTATACGATTTCTGCCATTTTTGCTAGGGCCAGCTTGCTGCTTGGTAAGTCCCAGGCAGTGTGGCTCGGTGGGTTCCGGGGTGTGCTCCCCATACCTCCCAAGACAGTCCAGGCCAGCACTGAGTACCGACACCCCCTCAGACCGGCGACTAGGGCTCAGGAACTCTTCCTAAACGAGGGGCTGCCTGAGCAGCCTCTCCCTAGAGGCGTCTCCCGGGCCACACTGAAGCCCTGTCACAGTGACACTGGACTGAATCAAGCTGAAAGCTTGGGTGAAGCCACAGAACACGTTGGGCCATGGCCTGCACAGGCCGACGCTCACCTGAGCGGGCACCATGAAAGCTCAGCAATGGAAACGCGGGCTGTCCAGTGTTGGCTCTGCCTCGGCAGCCCTCGGTGGTACCCGGAGACAGCACCTGCCCCACCTGCACAACCCCATGGCCCACAGTAGTGCCGGGCTGCACGCCCTGGGAGGAAAACTAAATGGCAGGAAGAGGAAGGTAGCCCGTGAGGAGGGCCGAGCCCTGCCCAGAAGTTAGAGGGAGAGAGAAAAGGCCTTGGTCTCTGAGGTGACCAGCCAGGGCCTCCTGAAGGAGGCAGGAGGACCAGGGCCTCCTAGAGCCCTCCTCCATCCAGAGGCAGGCTGTCCACTCTTAACCACTCCCACCCCCAGATCCAGGTGGCTCCGTGACTCCCTGACCAACAGAAGGTGGCTGAAAGGATGTATTGTCTTCCAGCCATTTTCATGATGGCTCTCCTGGGATGAAGGCCGTCCCGGCAGAGGCAAAGAGAGGCCACGTGGGGAGTCCTAGAGCCCAAAGTGTGGTCTGGGACCATGAGGTTAGCACTGTCTTTACAGTACCACAAAGGTGCCATGTGCCAAAGCCTTGTGGAAGCCACCTGGCCTGTAAAATTACAGCAGGATAAACACAGAACCTGACAGATCCAGCTCTTGAGATTTGCAAAAAGTAAAGCCACTCTATTTATTTGACTCTAGAAGATAATAGGTTTTTTTTTTAATTTTAAAAATATTACTTATGTTAAGATATACTGGGTTTTTAATTATTTCTAAATGAATTAAAGTTGTTTTACATTCTCAATTTTAATTTCTAAAAGATGAATATTCATAGCTCCATCATGTAAACTCAATAAGGACTTTTTTTTTAATTTTAGAGGCAGGGTCTCACTATCACTGAGACTGGAGTGCAGCGGTGCAGAGCTCACCGCAGCCTCAGCCTCTTGGGTTCAAGCAATCCTCCCGCCTCAGCCTCCCAAACAACTGGAACTAGAGGCATACACCATCACATCTGGCTAATTCTTTTTACTTTTTTGTACAGATGGGGTTTCCCTATGTTGCTCAGGCTGGTCCTGAACTCCCAGTCTCAAGTGATCCTCCCACCTTGGCCTCCCAAAGTGCTGGGATTACAGGCAGAAGCCACCATGCCCAGCCTCAACAAGGACTTTAAGGGGTCCTGAGAGCAAGAAGTCCAAAAACTCTGCTCTAGGGTGAGGATATAAAACTCTGCCTGGAGAGATCCATGTGGGGGAAACTGTGGCACCCCAGCAGACACCCATGACAGCAAGGCCCCTGAGGGCTGCCAGCCCAGCCACCACGGGTGGCAGTGCAGGAATAACCTGTGGGGCCAGAGCCCCACCCACCAGCCCACAGATGCGGGAAAGGTGATGAGGCCTCATGTTAGGCCCAGAAGTTTCAGGGTTGGTCACTCAGAAACAGGTGAGCAGGAACCACCCACGGCCAAGCCGGAGGCTGCTGAGCCATGCCCAAGATCAGAGACGCACGCGTCTGGAGCAGCGCCTGACACCTGACCCTGGTGGCTGACCATGCGGCCTGCCTGGCAGTCCTGGGCATGGGATGCACACCCGCACCCTGGCCCACCCAGGGGCAGAAGAGGGGACCACGAAGTTGTGTGTTTTCTGCTGAGAGCATCCACCAGAGCAGAGCTGCTCAGGAGGGCACACGGTGCTGCAGGCTGAGCATGTCACACGCAGAGCCAAGGCCGCCTGCTGGGAAGCCCACCGCTGGCAGGGAGCACAGCCTACGCACAGAATGATGCTCTCATGGTAATACTCCCCACGGAACCCTGCAGGGGTTCATTTTATTCTATATTGTCATCTTTTTTAACATTAAAAACTTGGCTACCGGTGACACTGATTATTTCTTTTAACCCACAATATTCATAAGATGGTTGCCAAATTGTAAGAGCAATCTGACCTGCCACCGAAGCCTCCTGAGCGCAGCCTGAGGTCTCCTTGCTGTTCCTCCTGTCCTCAGACTGTCCCCCATGCCCACATGAGCTCAAGGGCTTTGCTGGCACAGCTCTTCAGCTCAGAGGTTATCCAGGTGATACACAGCCAGGCTCACCAGTTCCTGCTCACAGAGGCTTCCCTCCCTGCCCCTTCGTCTATTCAACTGATACGGGAGCTGAGTCACATGCGCTCCTGCTGGCTAAATTTGACACAGCCCATTCATCAAAATATTATTAAAGACGACAATCGACTGAAAAATATTAAATAAAAACCCACGTGTCCCTGGAACCATGAGGGGGAGGAGGCAAAGGCAGCCCTTCTGAGACAAAGCACCAGGGAGCCAGGGCTCCCTCCATAGGCCTGCATGGCGAGTCCCCTCCCTCACCTCCGCAGGTCTCAGCTCAACAGCACCTTCTCAAAGAGGCCTTCTAGAGCTCCTATTCAAACAGCTCTCCCACGCACCCCCTCCAGGCACCCCATCCCACACCTCCTTACTCCCGTCCCCCTCGGCAGTGGGGAAGCTGCCCAGGGGTGGCTCCTGTTGCCTCTGTTCACGCGTGTCCGGAGCACTCAGAGCAGGCTGCGCGCATGCAGGCCTCCAACAGGAACCTGACTCAACCCAGATTCTCAGGCCCACACTCTTGTATTTCATGACACCACTGCTATGACAAATGGTCCTGTCACATGTGGCACAAAGAACAGGGCACGCAGCAGAAGGGCAGATGTGCCGGGAGGAGGAACCCAGAGCGGCCGCCCATGTAGAGGGCTGGCCGCAGGCTGTGGGGAGAGGCCAGGGCTGTGCAAGACAAACTCAACACAGACAAGCCATGCTCACGCCAGCAGCTTTCAACCCACGCCGGAGCTAATTTTATGCTCCTGGGCTCACGCCCAGGCCTGGCCCCAGGCTCAGGCATCTGGCTCCTCAGGGCCACCTGGCACCATCAGGCCTTTCCATGGGCTGAGGACAAGTCCCAGCAAAGCAGGAGTTAGGAGCTTCCGTAGACGGTGCAGGCCAAACCCCGAGACAACAGCCCCACCTGGGCTCCTGAGATTGCATTGCTGTGGGGATAGGGTCTGCCAGCCCACAGCCTGCACAGCCACCATGTCTGGAGGGGAAAAGGCGCTGCTGAAAGGGTGCTTGGAAGAAAAGTCTCCCAACCCGCAAAGGCCACGGGCAAAAGGGAAACAGCATGGTGCCTCCATGCTTTCCAACCCTCCAGCTTGCCTGCTTTCTGCAGGGAAAAGCTGCATACCTTTGTGGGAGCTCTTTGCCTCCCCGCCCACCACAGCGAAATGCTCGATGACACAGACCAAAACCACCACCACGCAGGGCGAAAAACAGGAGCTGCGGCACTTAACTCACTCACATTAACTAACTCACGTTAGCCCCGGGACATCCGCAAACAACTGCAGGGATGAATGAACAGACATTCCAGCCCAGGGAGCCGTGTGCGCTGGCAAAGGAGACCTTCAAAGAGAAGGGAGCCAGGGACAGCAACGCGACTGTGGCCACAGTCCACAGGCCAAGCAGTGCCACAGATCACACGTGGCCTGGAAGCCCTGCCCACCATCTCCTTCTTTTCTCTTTAAGCTTCCACATTTTGTTTGTTCCAATTGTTTCTACTTCCACTGAACACCAATGGGTGTGCCCCAGCCAGGAGAAATCCTGTGCAGAAAAAAACAAACATGGTGAAGGCAAAGAATGGGAGGCTCTTCTGGCCAAAGACAGACGGGAACAGCACACGCCCTTCCCTTCCAGACAGGTCTAGCACTGGCAGGAGGCTGCACAAGCAGTAATCACCACGGAGAAACAAAGGCCACGGCCCTGTGGCTCCCAACCAGCACTAAGTGGCCCTAACAAAAGTTGCAGTGGGCCCTGGTGTTTCTAACCCAGACCGCTGTGTGGACAAAGGAGAAACACTGGGGTGACAGGGGCATGGCACAGGGGTCCTCCCTCACAGTGGCCTCAACACCCCTCCTCCCGTACCGGATGACCGCAGCAGAGACCACAGCTTCCTCTGGAGAGGGGGTCTGGTGGTACACCAAGCCCCTGCTCGATCTGACAGCAGCACTTGGCAGGCAGACCCCTAGGGTGGCTGGCTTTCCCAGGGCTGGGAAGAGGCCCTCATGAGCCAGGACACAAGGGTGGCACTTGGTGGTGGCAAAGGTGGGGGCTGCGCTGTCTCAGATACACTCGTGATGAGAAACGCAGCCCTGCTGTCTACCAGCCCCCGACCAGGGGAGGCCGTCTGCAGCTCCCCTGGTGGGCTCACCCCCAGCTTCAAGGACACGTGTGCAAGGGTTCCTAGTAGTCAGTCCGAGCAGGAGAAATGGGAGGGGTGTCGCTAGGGGTTTACGGGGAGGCTCATTCTAAAAAGGGCTCCATGTATCCACGACCACTGCTTTTTTTTTTTTTTTTGAGATGGAGCCTCACTCTGTCACCCAGACTGGAGTGCAGTGGCGCCATCCCCACTTACTGCAACCTCCACGTCCCGGGTTCAAGTGACTTTCCTGCCTCAGCCTTCCGAGCAGCTGGGATTACAGGCACGCGCCACCACGACCGGCTAATTTTTTGTATTTTTAGTAGAGACGGGGTTTCACCGTGTTAGCCAGGATGGTCTCAACCTCCCGACCTCGTGATCCGCCCGCCTCGGCCTCCCAAACTGCTGAGACTACAGGCGTGAGCCACTGCACCTGGCCGACCACTGCTCTTTTTAAGGTTAATTTGGAAACGGGAGGGATGATGGAAAACTTTTTTTTAAAGAAGAGGACTCTGAATGCAACACCACCCTAGGCAAACACCTCTGAAACCCAGGCCTAAGAGTGCCCTGGTGGAGCCCTGATGGAAAGAGGCTATTCCTGAAACCAGACCTTCCAGGGCTGCCCGCTGGAGATACAGCAGACCTGGGCCAGCCGGCTTCTCTGCTCACACCTCCGCATGTGCTGCTGCTTCTTCCTGGGCCACCTCCTTCCTCCTTCCCTCTTGGAAAAGCCCTTCACACCTGCTCTAACCGAGCCCCCTGCTTTTGGCCGCACTCACCCACTCCTCAATTCTCCTGCTGCCTGGGGCCCTTCTCTACCAGCCTGACAGCTCTAGGAAAGCGGGAATGGCTGTGTCTCCATCTCTGGACCTCCGCCCCAGCACAGAGCCTGGTACACGGCAGCCCATGAACTCAGGAATCTGGGGCCCCCGGCTGAGGAACAGGCCCAGCTCACTGTCCTAAAAGTCACAGTCACAAACCGCGGATCAGTGGTGGAAGGAGAGTGGCAGATGCACATCTCCCCAGGACGGAATTGCACTTGGTGATGAAGAGGACGGAGCTGCAGACACACGCAACGCCATGGATGGACGTTCGCAACACTGCGCCGCATAGGACAGGCACACAGCCCGTGTACTGGGATTCCATTTGCATGATTCAGCTCACCCACACAGATGGCGGGAGACTGGTGGCCGCCTCGGGGCTGGAGGTGGGGATGGGGAGCAGTGCCAGTGGACATGAGGCTTCTCTGGGGCATGATAGCAAAGTTCTCAAATTAAACTGTGGTGATGGTTACTCAGCCCTGTAATTTTACCAAAAATTATTTAATTGCAAACTTAAGTTAACTTTATGGTATGTAAATTATACCTCAATGAGGCTGTTAAAAGAACTCTAGAGATTCAAGCAAGTTCAGCCTGGGTGTCCTCATAATCAGAATCAATTGTCAACCACCAGTAACATCCTCCCATGCGGCAAAGAAAAGAAAGAAGAAAAACAAGGTCATCATCACTCCATTCACATTCCTGCAGAGACACACACTCACGAGATTTTATCTCGGTCAGAGAGGAGGACCCCTGAAGGCAGCTGGGAGAGCCAAGTTAGTAAGCACAAGCTAGCAGCCCCAAAGAGGCCCTCCCCACTCACCTGCAGTCTGTCTTCAATCAGAGCTGAGTCAGTAAGCACAGGCCAGTGGCCCCAGAGAGGCCCTCCCCATTCACCTGCAGTCTGTATTCAATCACCAGCACTGTGGTGCCACAGCCCGAGCCCGCTAACCCACAGTTCACCTGCTGCTTGGAGAGTAACCAGGGCACTGGTGTCAAGGCACCGTGCGGCCTCAGAAGGAGCCAGGAGAGCCCCAAGGAAGGGTGCCTGAGATACGTGCCCCCTTGCCCTGGCTGTGGCCAGCCAGAGAAGGTGCCTGGAGGAGAGGGGCCTTTCCCCACAAACTCCACCACACTGGGCCCTGTGCAGGGCCAGCAGGAGGGCGGCTACATTCCCATCAGTCGGGAGGGGAGGAAGTGTGTTTCCTCTCCTGTATTCCCAGATGCTCAGCTGCTCCTGGGCTGTGCGTTCCGTTGGGTAACACTGACTGCACACACACCTCTTCACAAATGCCTGTTGTCAGTTGAAGACAAGACAAAAGTTTCTCCTAAACTCCAAACAGTGTGTGGTAGAGTTCCTCCCTTCCCTAGCCTCCACAGAAACCACCGCAGCTCAAGCTTCTCCTCTCCACCTGCCTACAACTCAGTGGCGCGGGATGACATCCTGTCACTGGCTGCCCAGAATGGAACAGAGCTTGTATACAAAAAGTGGAAACCGCTTTCAAGTTACAAATTACTCTTTGTAAAAGGAAGAAAGAGAGAAAAAAAAGTTTACCTTTACAGCTACTTCACCAGCAAACTCAAAGCAATGCCAAGCAAAGGAAACCTACGAGAAAGAGATGGTGGAGAGCCATGCCTGCAAACCTTCTCCGGAAAAGCCCCAGCCACGCTCATCATCACCAGTCCTGACGTGCTGGGCTCTGTTCCGGTTTCCCGAGCAGGTTTCCCTGCAGGGCCCCCGTTCCTCAGGAGCGGCTAGGAGTGCTGATGATAAGGCTGCTAGAATGCTCAGCAGGCCAGGCTCTTAGCTCTTCTCCCAGTGACAAGGAAGACGTGGCTTTTCACTTGCACATCCACAGAACACTCTTCCGGTGATCAGAAGAGAACACGGCAGGCAAAGGCACTGTTTGCTGCTACTGTCAAGTCCATACTTTGTCATCTGAGATGAACTAATTCAAAGAAATCCTTTCTTTAAACAAAAACTTTTAAAACATAAGAGACCTGTATTCCAAACTAACTACTTGGCTGACAGTGAGTGCTTTGAATTAATTAAAAATATCAAGAAATAGTCAAAAATAACACATTTCCCCAATCCCAGACTGACAGCTAGTTGAAGGATTAATGGCCAACGAAAGCGCTGGCAATGACCACACAAAAGCTGCTGAGATAGGAGCAAGCTTCTTCACTCACCGCTGACCCCTCTCCAGTGGCAGAGCCTGATTAAGTGAGCAGTGGACCAGAATGAGAGAGACCTGTGGGTCCCTGCGGCTCGCTCACTCTTCAGCTTTTACAACTTATTTTTATAGTAGATGCTCAATAAACATGTGAAATGAGCAGAGGGAAGGAGAGACAGAGTAGTCCCTGGGCCCTCTCTGCCCTGCATCCTTGTATACCAGCTTAAAACAGGCTCTGGAGGAAAAGCAGTACTTGACCACTGAAATGTACCTCTTAAAACAGGAAGCACAGCCAGGCGCGGTGGCTCACGCCTGTAATCCTAGCACATTGGGAGGCCAAGGTAGGCGGATCACCTGAGGTCAGGAGTTTAAGACCAGCCTGGCCAACATGGTGAAACCCCATCTCTACTAAAACACAAAAAAATTAGCCGGGTGTGGTGGCAGGCGCCTGTAATCCCAGCGACTCAGGAGGCTGAGAGGGGAGAATCACTTGAACCCGGGAAACAGTGTTGCAGTGAGCCAGCCAAGATCGCGCTACTGCACTCCAGCCTGGGCGGCTGAGCAAGACTCCGTCTCAAAAAAAAAAAAAAAAAAAAAAAAAGGAGGGGGGGAAGCATATATTTAAGGAATTGTTAAAGAATTCATGATTCACAACGTCCAATAGATTTGAAACCACATATGCAAAGATAACTGCACTCCATGCTAATCCCACTTGAAAATCTCACTGCCCTCTTGGAACTGCCCACTTTTACAGCCAGGCAACGGCAAACACCTCTTCCCTGGCCAGGGCCCTCTGAGGCAGCAGCTCCAAGGTCCTCACCAGCCTTCCCCTGGCACCCAGACCCAGCCTGGGGCCCATGAGATGAGTGTACCACCATCCTTCCCTGGAGGATTACTTGGTTACCAAAGTCTTAACAAGGGTCACAAGAATCTGTCCCCCAGGCTGGTCGTGGTGGCTCATGCCCATAATCCCCGCACTTTAAGAGGCCAAGGCAGGTGGATCGCTTGAGGTCAGGAGTTTGAGACCAGCCTGGCCAATACAGTGAAACCCCATCTCTACTAAAAACACAAAAATTAGCTGGGCTGGTGGCACGTGCCTGTAATACCAGCTACTTGAGAGACTGAGGCAGGAGAATCACTTGAACCCAGAAGGCGGAGGTTGTGGTGAGCCGAGAACATGCCACTGCACTCTGGCCTGAGCAACAGAGCGAGACTCCATCTCAAAAAAACAAAACAAAACAAAAACAAGAATCAGTCCCCCGGAAGCTAGTATTAGTTAATTTCTGAATATTCACAATGATGACAGCAAAATCCACAAAGCATAGACCTCAGTGAGTTTAAAAAGACCAACTGCTGGTCAGCTTCCAGGCACAAAGTACCTGCTACTTATGAATGTACACAGGTAATAATCACACATTCACAAAACGCACTCAGCTGCCTCCTTGGGAACCCGGCTGACTGTGCTGGTCCCGCTGACATGAATCCCTGTGGGTTCAACTCACCGGCTCAAGAGTCTACTTCCCACTCCGAGGCCTGGGTGCTTCCAATGCAGTCCCTCCCAGTAAATGCAGAAAGCAAGCAAGAGCCTATGATTCGGAATAAAGCAAACACAGCTGTGCGGCCTCAACTCTCAGTGTCCGTGGGTTTCAGAGGCCTTGCATGAAACACCTCTCCACACTAACAGTAGCCAACATTTACCACACGCCAAGCACTGGGCTAAGCCTTTACCTTGGTCTCTCCCTCCACAACCATGCACTGCAAGTCGTACAGTTTCCGCCTTAGGGGTGATTTTTTTAAAGCAGGTGATTTAAAGAAAGAGGTGAAGTGACCACTCACACAGCTAATAAGCGGCAGGGCTGGAACAGCAGTGTTGCCTCTTCAAGAAGCCATGAGCCGGCCGGGCGCAGTGGCTCACACCTGTAATCCCAGCACTTTGGGAGGCTGAGGCGGGCGGATCAGGAGGTCAGGAGTTCAAGACCAACCTGGCCTTGAAACCCCATCTCCACTAAAAATACAAAAATTAGGCGGGCATGGTGGCGGAAGCCTGTAATCCCAGCTACTCAGGAGGCTGAGGCAGGTAACTGCTTGAACCCAGGAGGCAGAGGTTGCAGTGAGCCGAGATCACGCCACTGCACTCCAGCCTGGACGACACAGTGAAACTCTGTCTCAAAAAAAAAAAAAAAGACATGAGCCCTCCCACCCCATGGTTGGTCCCCCGAGCCATCTGTACAGCTGCCCTGACCCCTACACTCTGGCTCCAGGCCGATCCCCGCTGCACTGGGCACTTCTGCCGTCTCTTGATTCATCCCATTCTGCTTGTCTTCCCTGCTCTCCCCGTCACTGAAGTCCATGCAATGCGATGCCAAGAACGGTTCTAATTCCTCTCCTTGGTTATCCTGACAACAACCCCCCGACCCCGCGCCCCCACGCCGCCCCTTCGACTCCCAAGGGCCTGAGAGACACTGAAACAAAATGTCCATCAAGCCTTTCACTCCACTTTCTGAACTTCGGTGTCTACACAAGTCCTTCCACCGGCCAAAACCAAGAGCAACGGCTCCCCACTCCCACCCCAGGCCCCTGGAATGAGTAAGCGGACTCTGGACAGGCGCTATAGGGGTAGCTACAGGGACAGGCAGAGATGCGCAAGGACCACGCTGTCGGGTGAAAATGCCTGTCCTTATTGCTCTTCCAAAGGAAAAAAGTTTTGTTTTTTTTTAAATCACTATAGCCAGAATAACTGCTGCGGGCAAAGCGGCGACGCTTTAGCTGCTATACCGCTTCTCCGGTTTCCAGCAAGCTAAACACAGAAGCGGATGGGAGGGGAAGGCGGCCGCGGCTCCCCAGCTAAGAGCCAGCAGTTTCTCCGGCTTCCTTCCTACTCCACCCTCCTGCCCCGGCCGCCCGCGGACCGCAGCAAGATCTGCACCTCGCCGGGACCCTCCGCGGGTCCGCAGCCCGCAACACCCAGTCCTGCTCCCCTCCTTGGCCACAGCCCCGCGAGTATCTCAGGAAACTGGGGTCTTTCACTTCTTTTTCCTTTTTCTTAAGGAACTTGTCTCTACCGGTGTTCAAGTTACTTAGTCCAGAAGCGAGCCCCGCGCAGGGAGCGGAGCGGGCAGGGAAAGCTGCGAGGCCCCGGCCCACCGACAGCCGGGCGCGCGGGGCGGCCGGGCCAGGCCTCTGACGGGACCAGAACCGGGCTGCCCCCGAGACGCCCGCCCCGGCCCGGCCCGCCCAGGACAGGCGCGTCTGCTCCGCCCGCTCCGCCCGGGCCCGATGCCCTTGAGCGGCGGTGCCCGCACGGAGCCCCGCAACTCACTCGCGCTCCGACCGCCCCGCCCGGCGCCCGCCCGGCGCCCGCCCGAGCCCGGCCCGGCCGCAGACTCACCCCATGAGCCAGTCCATGGCTGCGCGGGGCCGCCGCGCCCGCTGCCCGACGCGATCGGCCTCAGCCCCGGTGTCCGGAAGTAAACACTGGCCCGCCCGCTCGCTCCCACACGCGCCGCCCGCCGCCGCCGGAAGTGATGCGCCCGCGCGCCGCCTGCTGGGACGCGTAGTCCCGGCCTCGCACCCTGCGCTTCCTGGCCGCCAGGTGTTCCTGGCTCCACGGGCTGTCCCCGCGCACCTGAACTGTCTCCCCACACCCCGGCTGTAATTTCCCCCTTGGGCTCTCTCCGCGCTGTCCCCCACGCCCTGGACGGTTACCTTCCGCCTTTGGCGCTCCCCTTGCTCCAGGACTGTCCCTCATACCCTGGCTGCCCCCTCCCTCCCCGGCAGTCCGCCTGCGCCACCGGCTGTCCTCTCCCACCTTTGGCCCTCTCCTCGCTCCCTGCGCCGTCCCCGCTCGGTGGGCTGTATATCGCCTCGCTCTTGGCTGTCTCTCCCCCATCCCAGACTCTCCCCTTGAGCCCCTGGGTGTCCCCATGTCCCCTGGGTGTCCCCATGTTCCCTGGGCATCTGACCTCCTAGCCACTCTGTCCTGGGCCCGGCCCACAGCAGTTACTCAGTGACTGCCTGTCACTGAGTGACAGGAATTCCCCATTCTTCCCCCGGGGAAGATGCTCGGAGGAGCACAGAATCAGGACAGGGAGAACGCAGAACCTGGGGGAGAGCGGGGAGGGACTGCTTCCCCCGGCTGAATACAGGGCGGCCGGCGGGGCTGACCCTGGAGGGGGCGAGGTCAGCTGGCCTGATGCGGTCACTTGTCTGAAGCCCAGTGGCTGTGTCACTCCACCATGCTTGTCAGACAAGTGACCGCATCAGGCCAGCTGACCTCGCCCCCTCCAGGGTCAGCCCCGCCTGCTGCCCTGTATTCAGCCGGGGAAAGCGGCCCCTCCCCGCTCTCCCCAGGTCCCCTCCTGCCACCTGGCCTCTCTCCAGGCTCAAGAATGCTTAGGTATCAGGCAGGACTCTCAGTTACCATCAAGAGAAAGGCTTAAGGTGAAAAGGAATTCATAACAGATCCTGGGTAGCTCACGGCATTGCCGAGAAAGCTCGAGAACTTCTAAGACCATGCATCTGGGAACGCCTCCAGTCGCAGTGGCCTCCGTTCTTAGTCCCTTCTCTCTGGCTTTGCCCCACAGTTGAGACCAGCAGGCGAAACCTTTCAACCCCAGACCCCCCCGCCCCACCTCCCCGCAGCAGCAGGAGGCTGCGTGACGTGGTTATGGTCAATGGAGTCAGAACAGAAGTCGGCCAGGGAGGCTTCCCATCCGAATGAGAGAATGACGCCTCCGCAGGGAGGCGGTTTGACTTCTGTTTCTGCACGGGCAGAATACCTGGAGGGCGGGAACCAGGTATTCGGACTGCCTTGGTGGGAGGCATTGACAGAAAACAAGGACCGAGAAGACCGGAAGAGCTTGGGACGTAGATGACTCCAAAAAGCGGCTGCACCAGCCATGGGCTGCCCTTCTCCGGAGCTCTTGATGTGCGGGAAATGCAGACCCGGCACTGGAATTTCTGCTGGTCACAGCCAAGCCTCTTCCTGCCTGATGTGTGAGCACAGAACTGGGACAGTAAAGGCGTCACTGCTGCAACCACAGGGCGCCAGCCTCCCGCATCCCTGAGTGCTGGTGCTGGAGATGCCGCCTCCGCCGGCCAAGCGCTGCTGCTGCTGCTGCTGCTGCTGCTCGCATGGGCCGTGCATGCCGCTTTCCGTTCCAAGTTGGGCAGGTGCTGCTGACAGGGAAGCTGAGGGCGTCTGCCTGCACCGCCGTTGGCAGCTTCTCCAATGCAAGGCAGACCCGGCCTCCTAAGGAGGGGTTTCTCCAGGAAGTTAAGGTGCTTAGACGGTGAAGAACGAAACGGCCCACAACAGTCCTTCTATTTCGCTGCTTTGTACAAACACCGTTCTGCCCACACCTCACCTTACTGCCCTCATAGTGCAGCTGAGCCTTGTAGAGGTGAATCCCCACTCCCTCCAGGGCCCAGCCCGCAGCTTATCAGCAACCGCCAGGAGGCGGGGAGGCGTCCACTCTTGCTGCGTCGCTTTCCTGGTTGTAAAGCTCGTGGGTGAACATTGCAAACTTAACCAGCAAAAACCACCGGAGATAAAATAGGAAAGACAAAGGAAAGAGGAGGAACACGCATTTAACACACAGCATCTCGGGAAGGAAGAAAAGACAGACACATGTCACCAAGGTCTGACTGTTGAGTCAGAGGTTGCAGTGAGCGGAGACCGTGTCATTGCACTCTAGCCTGGGCAACAAGAGCCAGACTCCGTCTCAAAAAAAAAAAAAAAAAAGTGACAAGTGACAGAACTGCTTGTACTGCAGCCCCAGCTAAACCTTGTTCTCAATCTGGGGCACATTTAAAGCTTTTGCGCACTCTTGGGTCTCTTGCTAATTACTTAAGAGCAGCACATTCTGTAAGCACTGGTCAGAGAGGACAGGCTACCTTACTGGTGTGGCCAAGGCTGATGACTTCCTTCTCCCTGCTTCATGCTCACTTTGCTTTAACGAACCGCTCGCTCGGCTGGCTGCATCTCTTTACCTTGCAGAGTGACCCAACCCATCGTTCCTGAGGACAAGGAACCCTTGGTGGCCCTGACTGCTCCTAGGTGCTGGCCTCTTCCAGTAATGGCTCCCCTGAAAGTGGTTGTCCTAGGGGATGCTTCAGGCAGCCCCCCCAGGTTCCATCCACATTCCTTCCTGCCCCATTGGGTGCCAGCAATCCTGGCGACAGCCTGCCTGACTTGGACAGGTTGTTTAATGTCCCTGTGCCTCAGCTTCCTTTTTAGTGGAATGGGAATGATATTAGCAAACTTGTTTTAAGAAATCCTTCATTAGGCCCCTGGTGCAGGCGGAGGTGAGGAGCCATGGGGGAGTGGGTGGGCATGCTGGGCGTGTGGCCCCTGGCTTGGGCAGCTCTCCTGCCTTGGCCCGGCCCTCCTCCCCTGAGGATGGTATGCTGCCCAGTGCACCCCATGCATGTCTTCGTGTGTCCCGCCCAGATCACATGTGTGCTATCTCATGTGTTACATATTGTCTGATCTGGAGCCCAGTGGCAAGCCGGAACGTGCATCTCTAAGAATCATGTTTATTTCTTAAGAGGATAGGGCTTTGCTCCAAAGCCCTGGGGCCCTCCTAGCTCACCCTCCTAGTAGAGCTTGCCACCATCTCCATGTAGCAGCACATGGGGTGCCACTGGATCTGTTGAGTCAGAAGTGACAAGTGGCCAGGTGCAGTGGCTCATGTCTGTCATCCCAGCACATTAGGAGGCCGAGGTGGGTGGATCCCTTGAGGTCAGGAGTTCGTGACCAGCCTGGCCAACATGGTCTACTAAAAATACAAAAATTAGCCGGGCGTGGTGGTGGGCACCTGTAATCCCAGCTACTCAGGAGGCTGAGGCAGGAAAATCGTTTGAACCCAGGAGGAAGAGGCTGCAGTGAGCTGAGATCACACCACTGCACTCCAGCCTGGGTGACAGAGGAAGGCTCCATCTCAAAAAAAGAAAAGAAAAGAAAAAGGCTGGGTGCGGTGGCTCATGCCTGTAATCCCAGCACTTTGGGAGGCCAAGGTGGGTGGACTACCTGAGCTCAGGAGTTTGTGACCAGCCTGGCCAACATGGTGAAACCCCATCTCTACTAAAAACACAAAAATTAGCCGGGCATGGTGGCAGGCACCTGTAATCCCACCTACTTGGGAGGCTGAGGCAGGAGAATCACTTGAACCTGGGAGGTTGAGGTTGCAGTGAGCCAAGACCATGACATTGCACTCTAGTGTGGGCAGCAAGAATGAGACAAAAAAAAAAAAAGTGGCAACTGACAGAACTGCTTGTACTGCAGCTCCAGCTAAACATTGTTTTCAATCTGGGGCACATTTAAAGCTTTCATGCACTCTTGGGTCTCTTGCTAATTAGTTAAGAACAGCACATTCAGTAAGTACTGGTCAGAGAGGGTAGGTTAGCTGCCCCACGTCTACTTCCATTTCCTTTTTCTTCTCTTTGCTTCTCCCCCTCTTCCTCCTCCTTCCTTCTCCTCTTTTTACTTAGTAATTGAATGCTGAGCAATATGACCACAGGAAAAACTATTTTATCCAGCTTCCCAGGTAGGCGAGGTGGCCAACGAGATGTAAGGTGAAATTATTGCATAGCTTCCAGGAAATCCTTTTTGTCCTTCCTGTCTACCCCAGCCCTGTCCCAGTCTCCTGCTTCCTGACCAGAATAGACAAAAAAAATGATGGCTGGAGCTCTTGCAGCCACCTTGGAGCATGAGGAAGTGATGATGGAGAGCAGAAAGGCAGAAAGAACCTGGGTTCCTGCTGAAACTCAGAACCCTCCACGACAATCCTGATTCTCTTACCAAGGTGCTTATGTTATTTGAAAGAAATATGGGTTAAATCATCGTTCTTCCGAATTTCTGCTACTTGAAGGAAAAGACAATGTCTAATTGACACATCCATCGGTGTATCATGGTGCTGGAGGTGAAACAGCCCATCCTTTACTTTGAAAAGAATGTTCTCAGATCATTAGATCCCCAAAATGTTGCCAAATCCCTAAATGTTCATGGGATATATCTCTTGGCAAGCACATGTATATTTTTTCTCTTTTTCTTTTTTTCTTTTTAGACAGAGTCTTGCTCTGTTGCCAGGCTGGAGTACAGTGGCACAATCTCGGCTTACTGCAGCCTCTGCCTCCTGGGCTCCAGGGATCCTCCTGTCTCAGCCTCCCACATAGCTGGGATTACAGGCGTGCACCACCACGCCTGGCTAATTTTTGTATTTTTAGTAGAGACAGAGTTTCATCATGTTGGTCAGGCTGGTCTCGAACTCCTGACCTCATGATCTGCCCACCTCGGCCTCCCAAAGTACTGGGATTACAGGTGTGAGCCACCGCGCCCGGCCACACGTGTATTATTTAGCCTCTAGAGTATCTAGGTCCTCGGCTCCGGGGCCTGTGAACGTGGCATCATTCATACGATGTGATATCCTAAGAGACAATCAAAATCTGTGTGGACGAGGCCGGGCGCGGTGGCTGACGCCTGTGATCCCAGCACTGGGGGAGGCCAAGGCGGGCGGATCTTGAGGTCAGGAGTTTGAGACCAGCCTGACCAACATGGTGAAACCCCGTCTCTACTAAAAATACAAAAATTAGCTGGGCGTGGTGGCAGGCACCTGTGATCCCAGCACTTTGGGAGGCTGAGGCGGGTTGGAGACCAGCCTGGGCAACATGGTAAAGCCCCATCTCTACCAAAAATACAAAAAAAAATTAGCTGGGCGTGGTAGCGTGCACCTGTAATCCCAGCTACTCCGAAGGCTGAGGCAGGAGAATTGCTTGAACCCTGGAGGCAGAGATTGCAGTGAGCCGAGATGGCGCCACTGCACTCCAGCGTGGCGACAAGAGTGAAACTCTGTCTCAAAAAAAAATAAAAAAGTCGATGTGGATGAAATTGTGGCAGAGCGAATTCGAGTTTGCAGGACCCTGAGGCCTGAGTGGGGAGGTATACTGCCAATTTCTCCAAATAACAACACCCTGCTTCTGATGTTCTCTGTTTATTGGGATTGAGGTGGGTGTGGCTGCCTGATCAATAGCTGAATCATAACTGTTGATTGGCTCCAATAAGGACACCACGTCTGGAAGAACAGCTGCAGTTGGAATCATTACATCTTTCAATCCACTGTCAATCACCAACACTCTCTGTCTTCCGCACAGACAACACGTGGGAGTGAGACTGGAATCCTAGAGGGGCCCCTTCTCTGCAACTTTGGGGTCTGGGAGGGTGGCACCCATTTCTGGGCATCTCTGGAGATTAAGGTTTGCTTTTGGTTGACAGTTCTGGCAGGAAGGAAGACCCATAGCGTTTCCCACTCAGCCCTCTCCTCCTTCCATTCACCCATTCATCTGACAAATAGGTAGTGAGTGCCAACTACGTACAAGGACAAGGCACTTGTAAGGCGCCTGGAGAACAGTAGTAGACACAACAGACTAAAGCCTCCCCTTGAGGAGCTGTGGAGTGTCAGTGAAAAAAATAATAAAGCAGGCAGCGCATTCAAAATGACCAGTACCCTGGGGTAAACAGAGCCAGGGAGAGGGTCACGGCACACTCAGTGTCATGGGCTGACGCGTGTCCCCTGGAAAGATAAGAGGCAGTTCTAACCCCTAGTACCAGTAAGGTCTGAAAGGGACCTTATCTGGAAAAAGAGTCACTGCAGACGTCATTTTTTGTTGTTGTTGTTTGTTTGAGATGGAGTTTTGCTCTTGTTGCCCAGGCTGGAGTGCAATGGTGCGATCTCGGCTCACTGCAACCTCTGCCTCCCAGGTTCAATTGATTCTCCTGCCTCAGCCTCCTGAGTAGCTGGGATTACAGGTGTCCACCACCACGCTCGGCTAATTTTTATGTTTTTAGTAGAAACGATGTTTCACCACATTGGCCAGATTGGTCTCGATTATAGGCGTGAGCCCCCATGCCCTGTCCACAGATGTCATTTGTTAAGATGAGGTCCTGGTGGGGTGGGGGCTTCCAATCCTATATGACTGGTGACCTTATAAAAAGGAGGAATTTAGGCTGGGTGCGGT
The DNA here is from genome assembly GCF_000001405.40 of Homo sapiens. Lineage (NCBI taxonomy): Eukaryota > Metazoa > Chordata > Mammalia > Primates > Hominidae > Homo > Homo sapiens. The sequence goes on from NW_025791792.1 coordinate 281,001, forward strand.
GGCTCACGCCTGTAATCCCAGCACTTTGGGAGGCAGAGGCGGGTGGATCACCTGAGATCAGGAGTTCGAGACCAGCCTGGCCAACATGGTGAAACGCTGTCTCTACTAAAAATACAAAAATTAGCTGGGCCTGGTGGTGGGCGCCTGTAATCCCAGCTACTCGGGAGGCTGAGACAGGAGAATCGCTTGAACCCGAGAGGCAGAGGTTGTAGTGAGCCAGGATCACACCACTGCACTCCAGCCTGAGTGACAGAGAGACTGTCTCAAAAAAAATAAAAAGGGTCGGGGGGAGTTTGGACACAGCCTCACGTAGAGAAGACAGTGTGAAGAGACACAGGAAGGAGAAGGCCATCTACAACACAAACCGAGGAGCGACACCTGGAGCAGACCCTTCCTCACAGCCCTCAGAAGAAACCAGCCCTGGTGATGCTGACAATGTCAGACTTCTGGCCTCCAGGACTGAGAGACAGTCCATTTCTGTGGATTGAAGCCGCCTCGTGACAGCCCCTGCCCTTTCTAATCAGGCTCCTTCCTTCTGCCTGGCTCTAGAGCAGCCCCAGGGGCTGCTGTGCCCACTGGGAGTTCCTGGCCAGAGAAGTGAGGGGCTTGATTTTCCCAATCATGCTTCCATCTAGACTGGGGACCCCTTACAGGCAGGACCTTTGTGGAGATCCTCGGGCAGCTGTCCTCCACTGTGGGGTGGAAAGCTGGGGCTTCCAGGATAAGGGTGACCTCATGGCATGTTTCAGGGGAAAGACCTGATTCCCCAGTCAACCGCTGACTCCAGGATGCAGGCCAAGCCCTGCGGGGTCATTCACGGACTCTGCTCTGACCCTGTCTGTCCTTCTCTCGGGCCCACTCATTGCCTTTCGGGGCCAGCAGGGGACATAGCTGGTGCTCAGCGTCCCCTCTCTGTCCCAGGCTGCGCCGCCGAGAGGCCTTGGCACGGGGTAGGCCTCGTGACACACACATTCTCCTACGCTGCAGAGCCTGGAGAACAATGGCTCCCTCTCACCTCTGAGCTGGTTCTTGTGCTTGGGACAGTCCCCAGTGAGGCTGAGGGTAGCCACAGCTGCCAGCGCCTGCCTGGGCAGCCCCTCCATCCCCAGCACCCCCATGGTTCAGCATTCCCTGTACCTCCTAGACCTGAACAGAGTCTGATTTGGGGATGGTGGCGCAGAAGCCTGCCCTGCCTCCCGGTCCCAAGGTGCCGCCAGCTCTTCCAAGCCTTCAACAAACGCCTCAGATGCCCTCCTGCTGATCGCACTGTGCCTGCTGTCCTGCTCCTGCTCCCTCACTTAATCCCCAGGCAGTGACAATCCAGAGAGGAGGCTGAGGCTCCTGGAGGACCAGAGGCTTGTCCGAGGTCACTCAGCGAGTGGGCGGGCAGCTGGGGTTCCAGAAACATCTGCTCTCAAGCCCGCCATTGTCCCACCATGACCTGCCTACCAAAGGGATGCTCCTCCCTGGGTCTTGAGGAAACAGTCAAGGTGGTCACCCTTGGGAGCAGGCTGGGCAGTGTTCTCCAGGCTTCAGTCATCCCCGCCTCCCCTCCAGAGGCCAGGACAGCCCCTGCATTTGGCTTAGCTCTCCGTGGGGGCCTGGTGCCCCTGGGGTGACCGGAATGCAGGCAGGGCATGAGGATGCTGATAATCAGTGTCACCTGGGATTATGGCTGGGGCCGTCCCATGAGCCAGGTGCAGCCGAAAGCTCCGTGTGCATGACCTGAAGCAGCTGCCAGTGCTCTCTGAGAGGGTGCCCTCTGCCTCCCTATCTCCAGGTGTGGCTAAGTAAACAGGCCACGGCGGCACCACAGGGAGGCAGGCTGGGTGCTCCTGCTCATCTCTGGTGGATGCTGCTACCCACATCCAGGGCTGTCACCTGCCCATTCACGCACGGCCCTCCAGGCCACTTCCTCCCCCAGGACCTGCAGGCGGCTGCAACAACCCCCATCAAAGGTCCCGCTAGCCAGGATTCACTGAGGTCCAGTAGAGGGAGGGCTGCAGCCTCTGCTCCCAGAAAGCTGCCCTGTCCTGGCCAGGAGCAGTGGCTCATGCCTGTAATCCCAGCACTTTGGGAGGCCGAGACAGGTGTATCACCTGAGGTCTGGAGTTCAATACCAGCCTAGCCAACATGGTGAAACCCTGTTTCTACTGAAAATACAAAAATTAGCCAGGCGTAGTGGCACATGCCTGTAGTCCCAGCTACTCGGGAGGCTGAGGCAGGAGAATCACTTGAACCTGGGAGGCAGAGGTTGCAGTGAGCTGAGATGGTGCCACTGCACTCTAGCCTGGGTGACAGAGCAAGACTTTGTCTCATATATATATATACATATATATATATATGTACACATATATATACATATATATGTACACATATATATACATATATATGTACACATATATATACATATATATATGTACACATATATATACATATATATGTACACATATATATACATATATATGTACACATATATACACACATACACACACATATATATGTATATATATAAAATATGTTTATTATTTTATGCGCACACACGTATGTGTGTGTATATATGTGTGTGTGTGTGTATATATATATATTTATTTGAGACAGGGTATGGCTCTGCTGCCCAGGCTGGAGTGCAACGGTACCATCGCAGCTCACTGCAGCCTCAACCTCCTGGGTACAAACGATCCTCCTGCATTGGACTCTCAAAGCCTTGGGATTACAGGTGTGAGCCACCGTGCCCCATCTCTGAGCATATCTTTCTGGGGCACACAATTCAACTTGTAACAGGTGCAGTTACCGGCCACATGATTCATAGCATATAGGGTGTGCTTTACCTGAGGCTGAGACGGGGCTCATCTCCCCTGGGAATCATTCTTGTAAGGTGCCAGTGATCTGCAAATGCAGATGAGGCCTGAGGCTGGGGCACAGGCCACCTGCCAGCTGGCAAGTGCAGGATGGGCAGAGTCCTTGTCCAGACCTGGGCAGAGAGCGCTCAGGGCAGGCAGCGTCCAGGCTGCCGTGGGTTGCTCCTTGAGGCCCTGACCCCCAGGGTCACCTGCAGGCCATTCCTTGAAGCAAAGAGGTGACTGACCTGGGGAGTTGGGAACCTGCCCTTTGTGTCCCCAATGAGCACCCTTCCTGCCACCCCCACCCGGCCGGGATCCACCACCCTTCCTGGCCGGTGGTGCCAGCCCCTAACAAAACACCCTTTCAGGCAAGGACCTGCAGGTTTGCTCCCCTTGCCCTGGGGACAGAGTCTGACATCCTTGGGAACTGACCGTTCCCTGCCCCCTCCCCAGCTCTAGGAACTACTTCATCCTGTGCACTCGGCAGGGTGCCCGGCCCTAGGTGGGTGTGTGGTCGGTCAGGGGCTCCCGTGGCTGCAGTCATGGGCTCCCCTGCACTGCGGGGCTTCGAATGTGCTGCTACTGTTGGGAAGGAGTTGCTCCTCTCAAAGAACTCCTGCTCATCACACAAGGCCTCTCTCACATGCCCCTTCCTCCAGGCAGCCTTCCTGAGTGGTGGCACCTTTTGTACACACCTGTCACAGAAACCACTGATCTCAGAGTGATGACAGAGGCTTGTTTCCCAGGCACGGGGGCTCCGAGGGGCCATCCCCAGCACCAGAAGGGTTCCACACATGTTAATGGAAAAAATCCACAAAAAGCAGGAACGGGAAAGTAAGTTACTGACATTCCACCCCTCCCCAATTCCCATTTTGCAGACAAGACCCTGAGGCCCCAGAGGGCCCAGTGGGTGCGGCACAGTATGGAACTGGCCCCCACAGAGCTAGCCTGTGCACAGGTTCCCCGTCTCCCTATGGGAAGGAGGAGGCACCAGGCCTGCTCCAGCTCCCTCTCCTGGATTGGGACACTGAGGCCCATTACACAGGTGGGGTACTGGCAGGACAGCTCTGCCCTCCAGGGTCCAGTGGGAGCTGCTGCTGCTCCCACAAGCCACGCAGTGCCTGGAGCCAGACTGGGAGAAGCTGTCCTGGTGGGAGCCTGTGCCCTGGGACACAGAGTGCATGGTGCACATGGCCAAAGCGTGGCCTGGAGGCGTGGAGGGTCAGGAAGCAGTGAAGGAGCAGGGCCTCGGCCTCGTGGGGATGCACCCACACAGAAACTACAGATGGAGGCCAGGAGGCTCAGCCTTCCTCCTGGCTCTGCCTCTAGCCAGCTGGGGTTCACTATTGTCCCCTCCATCCACTGGGTAGGGACCCCTAGATTTCAGGTCCCCAAATGTACATGTCTCATCAACAGATGCAGCAGACTCCGTAGGGAAACTTTGGAAATACAGATTCCTGAGCCCTGCCCCCACAGAGGCTGGCTATGTAGGTCCCTGGGCCCTGCATTTAAAGATCCCCCCAGGCATTGCTGGAGGGCAGGAGGGTGGGAGTCCCCGGACCAGATGGACCCTGACAGCCTGACAGCTTTTACTTATCAAACCCATGCGGGCCCCACCTCCTGGGATGCTGGCTCTGCAAACTCACCTCTGCGGAGCCCGTTCCTAGGACTGGTTGCCAGCAGTGTGGTGAGGGCAGTCTGAAGGGTTCCCGGTGGTGGTCATAGAGCCTGCACACGCCTCCTTCTCCCACCGATACCTGTTATGGGTGGGATTGTGCATCCCACATTCATATGTCGATGTCCTGACCCCAGTACCTCAGAATGTGACCTCATTATTTGGAACTAGGGTCACTGCAGAAGAACCTAGTTAAGATGAGGCCACACTGGAGTAGGGTGGGTGGACGGCCTTGTGAAAGGCTGCAGCGAGGGGCTGAGGCAGATGCTCCCTCCTGGCCCTCCACGGAGCCCACCTGCCTACACCTGGATCTTGGACTCATGGCCTCCAGACCTTGTAGAGACATTTCTTTTCTTTTTCTCTCCCTTCCTTCCTTTCTTTCCTTCCTTCCTTCCTTCCTTCCTTCCTTCCTTCCTTCCTTCCTTCCTTTCTTTCCTTCTTTCTTCTTTTTTTGTTTTGTTTTGAGACAGAATTTTGCTCTGTCACCCAGGCTGGAGTGCAGTGACGCCATCTCAGCTCACTGCAACCTCCACCTCCCGAGTTCAAGGGATTCTCCGGCCTTAGCCTCTTGAGTAGCTGGGATTACAGGTGCCTGCCACTACACCCGGCTTATTTTTGTAGTTTTAGTAGAGACTGGGGTTTCACCATGTTGGCCAGGCTGGTGTCTTACTCCTGACCTCAGATGATCCGCCTGCCTCAGCCTCCCGAAGTGCTGGGATTCTAGGCATGAGCCACCGCGCAGGGCTGGAGAGACGTTTCTGTTGAAGCCGCCTGGTTTGCGGTGCTTGGCTCCAGCAGCCTCAGGCCACACACAATATCCCAGGGCGGCACCCTCAATGCCAGGCCCTGCTGGGAAGTCAAGGGCCGAGGTGAACATGCCCTCTGCACGGTAGGGGATTCAGAGTGCCGCCCTGCACCTGGGCTGGGGGAGGAGCGCAGAGCACACCGGCAGACCAGGGAGGGGCCCTTCCAGGAATGCGCTTTGTAGACAGCTGGGTAGGGCTGGGGCGGACTAAGGGGCCTGCGGGGTCTGGCGGAACCATCCAGGTGAGGGCGTGGTGGCGGGAGAGCCAAGAACAGCAGCTAGGTGTACTGCTTACCTGAGAAGGGGGGGTGGCCGCGAAGGGGGTTGGAGGCGTTGGGATGGGGGCCTAGTCAGACGCAGGTGGCCGCTGCCATTTGGCATTGCCCGGTCTGGAGGACAGGGAGAAAACCTGGCTGGAGACACAGCTGGTCACTGACTGCCTGAGTCCCTGGGGCCGCGGTGTGGGCGACCTTCCTGCGGGACCCGCAAGCCCAGAGCAGGTGCAGGTTGTGGGTACAGCTGAGGCAGCCGAAGGACCAAGGGGAGGGCCTTAGAAGGAGGGTGGGCTGGGGGCGCGGGGTGGAGACAGGGCTGTGCCTTCCTCCCAGCAGGTGGGTTCCCGACGGGTGGGCGTGCGTGCAGGGCCCCCGGCCCGAGAACCGGCCCCAGCCTCGGCGGGCGCGGGCAGCAGATGGCGCTGCCGGGCTGCGCTCCGCCTCGGGTTCGGGGAGCGCCGGGTGGGGGTGGCGGGCGAGCCCAAGTCGAAGCCCGAGGCGGGAGAAGAGCTCATACTACGTTCCCCGGGCCGGACAGGCGGGCTCCGGAGGGGCGCTCGCCCCGCCCATGCGGGACAGGTGTTTGCCCACCTAGGCCCCGGACCCGGAGCCGCGCTGCCCACGTGCTCGGAGCGGAGCAGCTGCTCCCCGCGCCCGCCCTCCACGCCAGCAGTGCCTGGGGACCCGGACCCGCGAGGGGCGCGCAGGACGCGGGAGCCGAGGAGCAGCGGCGCTTTGCGGATGGAGAGCGCCGCGGAGGGCAGTCTGGGAGTGGGCGCGGCCCCGCCGGGCGTGAGGTCATCGCGAGCAGCTGGCGCACCCCCCGCGCCTGCCTCCCGGTCCTCGGAGCCCCCGGCTGCGCCCCGCGGCGCGCGCAGGTTGGGCAGGTTCTGGGCTCTGGGCGGCGGGGCGTGGAGGAGCCCTGGGGCGGGATTGTGACTGGGCGCTTCCTGCGGGGTTGGCGGCCCGGACGCCGGTGCCACCCGAGCCACCCAGCGATGCTCTGGGCCCCCTACGTCGGGGCTGACCTCACCGCCCATCCTGGCGGACCCCGCCCGCTCTAATGGGACCGCGCCCACCCTACACTGGCCTGCAGCCGCCGTCCTCCCGGCTGCGGGTTCCTTGCCCTCAGGGAGGGCGGGGCCGCCACCAGCTGCCCGGAGAGGTGGGGGGACCCAAACCTCCCCTCGCCCACACCAACCCCGTCCTACTGCCCTCAATCCTGCCCCTCCTGGAGTTTCTTGTTACGGTCCACACAGGCGAAGGGCCCCATCGGCCGCGCCTTGCCAGCCCTAATGCCCTCCGAGAGGCGGAGGCCCCACAGTAGGAACCCGGACTGAAGTCACTCCCTGGCGCTGCTAGGGGCTCAGGGTGGAGGGCTCAAGGGTGTCCGGGAAGGGCCTTCGCCCTTCAGCCTCAAAGCCCCCCCAGTCCTCTGGTTTTCTGTTCCTCTTTTGGGCCCCCAGCTTGTGAGCGCCCGCTGGGTAGGTGGGCAAGAGGTGACCGAGCAGAACCAGGCACCGGGACCGTCCGGTTTGGGTCTGGCTTCCACACTGGCTGCAGTGCGCCCTGCCCCAGGCCGGCAAAGTCTCTGAGCCCCATTCCTGCCGCTGGCCGAAGGATTGGGTTGGGCGAGGAAGATATGGAAACTGCCCCACAAGCCCCCCTCCCACCCCCAGGACGCCGCCCCCACCGGCTAGGCTCTGGGCAGGCCTAGTGTCCACTGATCTCGCCAATCGGCCCTGTGTTCCAGGGCTGTCGGGGGTCTCCTGGGCCAGGGGCTTGACGGAGGGAGTGGGGTGGGGAGGGTGGAGAGGCACCGGAATCTCTTTCTGCTTGGGAGTGGGGGCGGGCGGATATCAGGAGGGGCCACTGCCCCGCAGATGACCCAGAGCCGAAGACCGCGGGCTGTGGCCAGCGCAGGCTCCACGCGCCCCGACCCTCGCGGCAGGGAGGCCCCGCCCACTGTTGGGCAGGTTCTTGACTTCACCCTGCTTCCCCAAACGTTTCCGGGTGCAAACGCCCCTCTGGGCTGGGGTGGGATGAGGGAGGGGAGCCCTAGAATGGAGTTTTGTTTTCCTCCTCTGGCATCAGGTGCTCAAGCCCAAGCTCCTCCCTCCACCCGCCTCTGGCCCTTCCCTGGCTTCTATTTCCAGCTCTCCTTGGCTATTTATAGCTGCGACCGGCCGGCAATTGCGTCAGTCAGGGGCAGGCTTCGGCCGGCGATGCCAACGGTGCCACCAGTCCCCCTACATTCCCCTACCCTTCCTGGGTAGTCACCTGCCCTGCGCTGTCCTGGTCGGAGGCCCCAGGTGTGTGGGGGGCGGGAGTGCGTTCTGCAGGTGCGCTCAGCCATGAGGGCGCATGTGCTGGGGCAGAGTGGGAGGGCACTGGACTTGGTGGGGGGGGGGCAGCAGAATTCCTGGCGGGGAAGGGGTAAGCGGCGTCTTCCCCTTTCCTTCCCAGAGCTTCCTCCTGGGAGCTGCCTGGGGACAGGCCACTGTTCCTTGGTTTCATGGGTGGTGTCTGCAAAGACTGGGAGAGATGCCCCTGGACCTAGCACCCGTCCCCCTCCCCCCGCCCACCTTCCAGAATGAAGGCCCTTCACTGAGTTCCTCTCCTCTCACCCCACTACTGAGGCCTCCCTCTCCCCAGCATTCTCACTCAACTCCAGTTCAGCTCCCATACCCCTTCCCTCCCTGAGGCCACCCCCAACCCAGCCCCTCTGGAGGGGGACATTGAAGGGTTCTGAAGCAAGACAAGTCTACCTGCTCAGTTTGGAAGGACTGAAGGGCATCCACCCAGGCACTTGCCTAGTGTTTGGCAAAGGCCTGCCCTGGCATCGCCCTGCTTGGGGGTGGGAGGCACACGCATGTTCCCCTCGCCCCACCAGGATCCCCTCTGAGCTCTGGTCCCCACAGTCAGGGACCACTCGCTTCACAAACAAGCCATCATCACGCCTTCAGGGCCTAGTGTCTTCCACAGAGGCTCCTACCCCAGGAGACCCATTCCCAGGGGCAGGAGTGGGGCCTGGGACTGTGGGCTGCCTTACAGGTCTAGACCCTCACCCCTGGGCCAGAAGGCTGTGCTTTCTCTGGAGGGACTGTGCCGCCGAGCCCCAGCTGCCTGCAGGGATAATTGAGTTTCCCCACGTGCTCCCACCATGGACACAAGGCATTTGTTGTGAAGCTCTGCTGAGAATCAGCCCCTCCTCTCCCACCCTCTGTCCAGGGCCCGCCCTGCCCTGTGCCCTGCGCCCTTCCGGGGAGGTTGGGGCACCCTCTGCTGGTGTCCATTGTATAGGCCCCTCAAAGACTCCATGGCTTCCCCTTAACAGCAAGTCCTCCCTTCATCTTGCCCACAAAGAACCACTCTTCTTAGACACTCCCCCAACCCACCTGCCATTCAGAGCCCCATCGAGATGCACCCTCTTCCCGTCGGGCCTTGCCTTGGCCAGAGGCCTTCAGCTTCTGCCTGGCTCCCCGCAGGGCGCTCCTACCTCTGCCTTTTCTCCCATGCTGTGGACCTTTGCAATGTCCTCCTGCCCCACCTGCCCCCAGCCCCTCCAAACACAACCTGGCCTTCAGAGGCCAAAACTCTCCTCCTGAAAGGCTTCCTGAGAACTGGCCCTCTGCCCTTTCTCCTGCTCAGTCTCTTCAGTTCTGAGCTCCGGAAGGGCCTTGGTAAGTCCATCCACAGGAGTACAGTGGCAGCTGGCAGGGGTGCCACTGAGACCAGCCTCCAGCTTACTTCCAGGGATGGCTCGGCAGGCAGAGGAATGGTGCCTGAGAGACCAGGAACCAAGCCCAGCCCCAACTTGGCCCCTGACCCTCTAAGGGACATTGACCAAGCCTGTTCCTCTCCCTGGGCCTTGGAGAGGGTCTCTCCTGTGATGTCCCACTCCAAGACAGTTAGTATGTGGCTTATTCATTGGACATTCACTGGGTACCTTCTGTATGCAAAGACCAGGTACCCATCTGCAGTCCAATGGAGAATGGAGGTAAGCACAAGCTGGCTTTAATGTAAGACTAACAGAAGTGCAACTAACGCAATGTAACATTATTACCCACCCACCTTCGCTCCCTCCCTCCCTCTCATTTACCCATTCTTCCACCTCCTATCCACCCCATCACTTCTCCACCCGTCCATCCATCTGTCCACCTTCCTTTCCTTCTACTCCCTAGCCACACATCTACTTGCCTATTTATGAATACCCATTTATGTATTCATCCATCCATCCATCCTATTCATTCCTCCACCCATTCATCCATGTACCCACCCACCCCACTCATCCCTCTACCCATTCATCCATCTGCCCATCCATCCATCCACCCACCCACCCCACTCATCCCTCTACCCATTCATCCATTTGCTCATCCATCCATCCATCCACCCACCCATCCACCCCACTCATCCCTCTACCCATTCATCCATCTGCCCATCCATCCATCCATCCACCCACCCACCCCACTCATCCCTCTACCCATTCATCCATCTGCCCATCCATCCATCCATCCATCCACCCACCCATCCACCCCACTCATCCCTCTACCCATTCATCCATCTGCCCATCCATCCATCCATCCACCCACCCATCCACCCCACTCATCCCTCTACCCATTCATCCATCTGCCCATCCATCCATCCATCCATCCACCCACCCCATTCATCCCTCTACCCATTCATCCATCTGCCCATCCATCCATCCACCCACCCGCCCACCCCACTCATCCCTCTACCCATTCATTCATCTGCCCATCCATCCATCCATCCACCCACCCACCCCACTCATCCCTCTACCCATTCGTCCATCTGCCCATCCATCCATCCATCCACCCACCCATCCACCCCACTCATCCCTCTACCCATTCATCATCTGCCTATCCATCCATCCAACCACCCACCCCACTCATCCCTCTACCCATTCATCCATTTGCTCATCCATCCATCCACCCACCCACCCCACTCATCCCTCTACCCATTCATCCATCTGCCCATCCATCCATCCACCCACCCACCCCACTCATCCCTCTACCCATTCATCCATCTGCCCATCCATCCATCCATCCACCCACCCATCCACCCCACTCATCCCTCTACCCATTCATCCATCTGCCCATCCATCCATCCATCCACCCACCCCATTCATCCCTCTACCCATTCATCCATCTGCCCATCCATCCATCCGTCCACCCACCTGCCCACCCCACTCATCCCTCTACCCATTCATTCATCTGCCCATCCATCCATCCATCCACCCACCCACCCCACTCATCCCTCTACCCATTCATCCATCTGCCCATCCATCCATCCACCCGCCCACCCCACTCATCCCTCTACCCATTCATCCATTTGCCCATCCATCCATCCACCCCACTCATCCCTCTCCACCCATTCATCCATCTGCCCCTCTATCCATCCATCCACCCATCCCATTTATCCCTCCACCTATTGATCCATCCACCCATCCACCCCACTCATCCCTCTACCCATTCATCCATCTGCCCACCCATCCACCCATTCATTGATCCATCCATCCATCCATCTACCCACCCACCCACCCCACGCATCCCTCTACCCATTCATCCATCTGCCCTTCTACCCACCCATCCATGCACCCATCCATCCATCCACCATTCATCCATCTGCCCATCCATAAATTCACCTATCCATCCATCCATGTCTCCCTCCCTCATCCACCCATCTACCCACCCATCCAAGACCCATCCAGCAACTAAAGCTCTTGTCCTGGGGGGAGACACAGCTGTAGGCAGGGCAACAAGCCTTTAGGGGACTCTACGTAGCAGTTGGAGGCCAGTCCACCAGTGTTCAACTCTTGCTTCACCGCCTACTTTGGGCAGCTCTTGGACCACTAGGAGCCTGATTGAGTTGGTAAATGAGACCCCCTCCTTCCATCTGGAGTCTTACACTGCCCCCAGGGTCCTGAGACCTATGTGCCCCAGATGGGCATCCTAGGAGAGGCCGTCACCCACCTGCTGGAGCTGCAGGTGCTCCTGCGCACAGGGGGTAAGGGAGCACCTCGGTGCTGCTTGAGTCAGCCATCAGCTCTTTCCAGGCCTCAGTTTTATTGACTGCTGGGGGCTGCCTGAGTTATAAATAGATGTTCTTGAGCCAAAAATAGCCTTGCGGGAGCATCAGACTATGTTTCTAGCTTTCCTCCTTTTTGAGGACTCTTAAAGATGCAGGATTCAAGGACCCTACCTCCTCCTGCAGCCCCCGAGGAGGGACTGGCCCCCTCCTCTTCCCCTCTCTTGCTTCCTCTTCCTCCTGTCTCATGAGCACTCACACACACGGTCTGGACAGCATCACTGGTTGGGAGGGGTCCCTGGGAGAGGTATACTAAACCTGGAAGAAGCTGCATGAACCAGGTCTGTGTGGTAAGGACAGATCTGGTATCCTCCGCCACAGTGTAGACAAGCCTCAGCCCGGGCTGCACGCACACTGTGAATCTTTGCAGCCTGTGGCACCTGCAGCAGCCAGGTCTGCCCTCGGTGGGGGGTGGGGGGGGGGGGAGGCGGGGCTCTGCAGGCCGGGCTGGGGCTGCCTCCAGGGAGAGGACCCTGGAGGCTGGGGACAAGCCTGGGGGAGACAAACCAGTACTTTCTACCACATACCCTGGTGTGCTTTTAATCCTTGTATGACATGCACATTACTTAAGATTTGAAAAGCTGGTTGGAGGCCAGGCACGGTGGCTCACACCTGTAATCCCAGCACTTTGGGAGGCCAAAGCAAGCGGATCACTTGAGGTCAGTGAGATTGAGACCAGCCTGGCCAACATGGTGCAACCCCATCTCTACTAAAAATACAAAAATTAGCCAAGTGTGATGGCACGTGCCTGTAATCCCAGCTACTTGGGAATCTGAGGCATGAGAATTGTTTGAACCGGGGAGGCGGAGGTTGCAGTGAGCGGAGATCGCACCATTGCACTCCAGCCTAGATGACAGAACGAAACTCCATTTCAAAAAAAAAAAAAAAAAAAGTCTGGTTGGAGACACTATATATAGCTAGACCCCTATTTCTGCTGGTACGTATATGCACCCACACACATGCACACAGCACACAGCACACATGGAGGGGCTGGGAGGGAAGCATCCAACTGTTCACATTGGGATTGTGGGAGTGAGGGGACTGGTGGGTAACACTGAGGTTTTATATCGTTTTAAGTTATTTAAGCTTTTACTAGCCTGTAACAACCGAAAAAGTGTGTTTTACACCCTAAAGGTGCAGCTGAGGACCTGTGCCCATGCCTGGCCCCCAGGGACTATTCTCAGAGCTCACCCGCGGTGTGAGCCTGGGGCAAGTTTCCAGACCCAACACACCAGGCTCTGGCCTCAGGCCTGCCTCCCAGCAGCCTCTGCCCCCACCCTGCCCACCACCAGTCTGAAGGAAGAGGCGCGGAGTCGTGGGGAAAACATCCACTTTAAGCTTTATTACAACACATTGTCTCCAAATACAAAGGGAGGGGCCGGGAGCAGAAGGTGCGGCTGTGGCGGGAGGGGCTCCAAGGGGGGCTGAAGGGCCGGCAGCCCAGTCTACAGAGACTGGAGGCTCAGCGGGGGACCTGCACCCTCTCCTCCGCTGGACTTCCCAGCAAATAACAGGAGGGGCCGGGTCCATTTTGGGGCGATCCCAATGCCAGGCAGTGGCCAGGTGGGAGGGGCCGGAGAGAGGCTTGGAGAGGACTCAGGGCTGGGTCAGGTGAAAGCCACCAGGTGGGGCCCTGGCCCGCCTCCCGCAGCACTGGAGGAGGCAGTGGCCAGGTGGGAGGGGCCGGAGAGAGGCTTGGAGAGGACTCAGGGCTGGGTCAGGTGAAAGCCACCAGGTGGGGCCTCAGCCCGCCTCCTGCAGCACTGGAGGAGGCAGTGGCCAACACAGGACCTTCGCCCCCCTGCTGGCTGCTCACTTTGCGGTAACCAGTGCCTCAAGAGTGGGAGCAGAGACAGACTGAGACAGACAGCCCCCCTCAACGGCCTGCAGAAGGGACAAGGGGAAGGGGGAAGGGAGAAGGGGGCCCAACCAGTGGCCCCAGACCACTGTCTCCCGGACAGCACAGGGGTGGGGGGCGAGAAGCGGGAAGCCAGTGCATCCTCCTCACCCAGGGTCTCCTCAGAAACCCAACGCAACAGACATATGGGAGGCAAATTTACATAATTAATAATAATTAACCAATAATAATAAATACTTAAACCTCTAATCCATAGATTGCAAATACAACGATAGCTTATTTTCTTGGGGGAACAGGAGTGGGTGGGGACAGAGGGAACGGGAACAGGACTTTTGCTGAAAGGAGGGATGACAGGAACACAGAGCTGTGGGTGAAAAGAAGAACAAATAGAAGAAACAGCAGAGAGGGCGGCTGGCCGGGGCGGGATGGGCGCCTCCCTGGCCCTGCTCCAGGACTCAGGACTGGGTCCTGCCCTGGGCTGCCTCTCCGGCCAAGCCCCTGGCCTCTTCCCACAGTGACTGGCCCCACTCCTAGACCCTAGGACATCTGAAGGGCAGGGGTCCCAATGGCCCGAGGGGGTATGGGGCAGGGGCAGCAGGCTGACCCACCTGGGCCCAAAAGCCACTTGTGTTTGGGGGCTGGCATGCCACCTAGAGAGAGAGCACCCTGGGAAAGGGGTGAATGGGAGTTTCTCTCCTGAGCGGCCCCATGGGGGTGGGGGCAAACGAGGGGGCTTTACCTGTCTTGAGGCAGTGCTCCCTAAGTGAAGCAGGCCTATCCCAGCAGCACAGGGGCTTGGCTGGCGCCTGAACTCCCTGTGTGAGCAGCACCTGCTCACAGAGCCCCTCAGCCTGCAGGTGCACACCTGAATTCCAAGTTCTGCCTGGGGCATGGCTGGGAGGGGGGCGGGGCAGACCTGGAACAGAACCCTAAGACCACCCCCTCCTCATACCTGGGGGTCCAGGGCTTCCTGCCCAGTGGAGCCAGCACTGGCTAGCCAGGCGCCTCCTGCCTGACCCCCGGAGGCCAAGCTCCTCTCCTGCAATGGTGCCACCCTGCCCGGCAGGCAGCTCTGGGGGCATGGGCAAGGGAGAAGGGAGGGCCGCAGCCCTCTAGGAATGGCCTTTCTGAGCCACTCTGTGGCTGGACTGGGGCTCTGGCAGGAGTTGGGGGCACTAACACCTCTGTCCTCCCCTGGGCTGCACCTCATCTGACGTTCCAGAACCCCCTGCCCGAAGCCCCTACACACACTGTTCTATTTCTCAGCCCCTCTGAACACCCTGGCACCATGAAGCCCAATGCCTGTCCTCCCCTGCCAGAGAACAGCTCTGGGGCAACGGGCAGCGGGGTGCCCTCCTTGCCACCAAGATTTGGTGCCTGGAGCTGATGGAGGGCTGGCCGCACCTCTCCGGGGCACACCAGCTCCTGCTCCTCCATCCTATGGCTTTGGTGCAGAGCCCTAGGCCGGCGCAGAGAAGGGAGGGAGCAGGGGAGGTGGGTGGGGGGAGAAGGGGGGTTCTGCGGCTCAGTTTGTGGCAAAGAAGTTTTTTTTTCCTTTTTTTCACCTTTTTGTTATGTAAAAAGTGCACGAAAGCTCGGCAGCCTTTGCAAAGGTCAGCAGTGTTTCCTGGGGCGGGGGAACTGGGAGGGGCCCCAGGCCTGGCACCCAGCTTGCGACTGAAGGTGGCCTCGTATTGCTTAGAAACGTATGTTTCAGTTTAAATACCAGACAGTAAAAATAGAGCTCGAGGACCACCCGCACTGTTGCCAAATCATTGCCAGAATGAACAGCTTAAATAAATAAAAAATCGAAATA
The DNA here is from genome assembly GCF_000001405.40 of Homo sapiens. Lineage (NCBI taxonomy): Eukaryota > Metazoa > Chordata > Mammalia > Primates > Hominidae > Homo > Homo sapiens. The sequence continues at coordinate 296,381 of NW_025791792.1, forward strand.
TTTACTTCTCGATAAAAATCCCAGTAAAACCATTTACCTTTCTTTGCATTATATATAATATACATTTATAACGGGCCTGGCTGCGGGCGGCGGGGCCGAGGGCAGCGGAGGGGTCAGGACACCTCGATGACCTCCACGCTGCCCGAGAAGCTCGCCTGCTTGCCCAGGGCGGCCAGCTCCTCGCCGCGCGCGCGCCCCTCCACCATGCCCTCCTCGAACTCCATCTGGCAGCTGCGGCGCTTGAACTGCGTCTCCGGGGCCGGCTCCTCGGGCCAGCCGGTCCGCGCGTCCCGGGGCTCAGCCCTCGCTGCCTCCCGCCGCCGCAGGTCGCTGCCGCCGCCTGGTCCCGGGGCGCCCGCCCGGCCGAAGGGCGCAAACAGCACCCCGCCCGCCCCCTGTGCGCCCTCGGGGCTGAAGCACCAGGGCCCGTCGGGCGACGGCGTGCCTGGGGAGTCGAGCGGCGGTGCCCAGGCCCCGGGGCCGGCCGGCTGGCCAGGGCCGGGCAGCCCGGGCGCCGACAGGGCCGAGAGGCCGTGCCGCGGAGTCTGCCGGGCCGCATCGCCGAAGTTCAGGCCGAGGCTGTGCGCGGGGGAGCGCGCGGGGGAGCCGGCGGGGGGCCGGGGCCGCCGGCGGGGCCGTGGGCGCGCCTCAGGCGCGGCGTCCGGGCTGTCCGGGCTGGGCGAGGACAGGCCCAGCGCGGCCCCCGACGGGCTGTCCAGCTTGCAGAGCTTCGGGGCCTCGCCGGGGTCGGGGGGCCCGGGGCCGTCGGGCCGCCTGCTAGGGGCGTAGGCAGACTTGATGTCCAGGGAGAAGGAGCGCTTGAGGCGGTTAGTGTCCTGCAGGCGGTCCGAGGAGAGGTGCAGGCCGCGCAGGCCCTGCTGCAGTGCGCTGGTCGCCGGGGGCGTGGGGGGCGCGGGGGGCTCCCCGCCCGCGCTCAGGCCGCCCTCCCTGGCAGCCGCATTCCCTGTGGCAGCGCTCTCTGAGGTAGGTGGTGGCAGCCGTGGCAGCGGGGCCCCGGCGGCAGGACTGGGCGGAGGCTCCGGCGTCCCTGAGGGGGTGCCCGGGTCGCCCTGCAGGGCGGCCAGCAGCTTCAGGCTGCGCTCGTACTCCAGCAGCTGGCCCAGGAAGTTGAAGTTGGGCGAGATGGACGGGCGCCTGTCCTTCACGAACCTGCGGGGGAGGAGGCTCAGTCCCAGGCGCCCGCCGGGGCCAGGCTGCCCACCTGACGCACCCGCTGGGCACCCACGAGCTCATGTGCGCCAGGCTGGTCTCAGGCCCTCCTCCCTTGCCACGGGTCCTGGACGGTGGGGTCATTCTGGTGCAAGTGGGCAGCCGGGGGAAGGGAAGCGACGCTGTGAGCCACAAGTGCGCGACTGGGGAAGGTGGTACCTGTAGGCGTCGTCGGAGGACATGCCCATGGTCTTCATGATGTAGGCGATGGCGATGGTGGCAGAGCGGGAGATGCCAGCCAGACAGTGGACGATGACTTGGCAGCTGGAGAGCTTGGCTTTATCTGGGCAGGTGGGCCATGGGGGCCAGGTGAGGGCTAAGACTGCACAGCTTCTCCCTGGCCCAGGTAGGGGACCCCACCCGCCCAACTGCCAACAGTTCCGGCTACTTCCTGGGGACCCCTCCTGTGTCTGTGGCCACACACAGCTCTAGCCTTCCTCTAGCCAGGTCCCTGCCCTCCGCCCACCGCAGACTCACCGATGAACTCGATGGACTTGTCCAGCCAGGGCAGCAGTTTTTCACAGTAGTTGTCGTTGATGGGGACCCGCATGAAGCGGCTCTCGCAGATGAAGTCAGGCTTGGGGCAGGAGTTGCTGGCGTTGAGGACGTAGCTTATTCCATTTTGCGTCATCAGATCCTGGAGGGGCGGGAGGGCGGGTTGGAAAGGGGTGGGAGAAGCTCGGGGCGGGAGTGAAGGTGGAGGCTTTTCCTGCCCTGCCGTCAGGAGGGCCTTTAGAATCCTGGGAGCCTTGGAATTTGTCCCAGATCCCAGTGTATCCAGGGGAGGGCCCAGGAGGCCTCTCTGGTCCACCCTGGCACCCTGGGCCCGTGCGGGGGGTGGGGCACGGCTGGCCTCCGACTGCAGGCCCCACCCACGGCTGGTGGTGGGCTCCTAGGAATTTTATGATTGCCTGGGTGGTGGCTTTTACCCTTTTCCCTCGTCACCATTTTTAAAACATGGGATTCTTTCAGAGCTGGCCAGAGGCCCAGTGACATCCGCAGCTTGGCATGCCAGCTCCCCGCTCCTCCCCCGAGCCCTGCCGGGCCCTCCCGCAAGCCCTGCTGTGGTCCTTCCAGGGGCATGGGTGGGGAGCCTGGGGTCCTCCTGGGCCCCCACCCATGCTTCTCCCACACCCAGCTCATCCACTGCCTTCAGCTCCTTTCCTCCCTCATCCCCCGCTCCGCTGCCAAGCTGCTTCTGGAGCTCCTGCCCCTTTCCCATTGACCACCCCCCGAACTCCACTGCACACACACCTTGTTTAGGACGTCCTTCTGCGAGCCCAGGTAGAGGTGAGGCAGGATGCGGGTCAGGCCCACGCTGGGCACAGGCAGGCAGGGCTGGGAGAGGCTCATGGGTAGCAGGGCAGCAGGCTTGCCCTCGCAGAGGCCGGGGAAGCAGGAGGAGAAGGTGGCGAAGCCCCCTGTAGGAGGAGGGCCGTCAAGTGGGTTGAGAGAACACCTAGGGCTCCCTGTCCGCCTAGGGTGCCCTGTCCGCCTAGGGCACCCCATCTACTGCTGAGGATCAGTCACACCCAGCCCAGACCCGAGCCTGAGCCCAGCCGGCAAGCCTCTGGCGGAGCACCTGCTCTGCCCGCGGTGGGGGGAGGGGGTACTGCCACACATTTACAGCCTGCACCTACGCCCACATTCCTCCTCATGCTAATTAGGGGCTGACCCAGCTGAGGACGCCGCTAGGATGCCCGTAAAGGTGGCGTTGAGGTGGCTGGCCATCACGGCACGCGCTGGGCCCAGGCAGGGGTGGGCTCAGAGGCCACAGGGGTCTCCTGCTGAGGGTGTGTGTCACACAGCCCAGAGGAGAGGCCCTCACGAGCCCGGCCATCTCCCATACCCATGGCCTGGGGCCAGGCTGGGCCTTCCTCCTCCCCTGCACTGATGCAATGCCTCCCTGCCTCCAGCTGGCTGGGAGCCCCAGGCCTGGGCTTGGGTGCCAGGACCAGGAGGCCAGGGCTTCCGAGAGGCCCTCCCCGTCCCCAGGCATGACATCACCCTGGCACAGCCCTCGGGGCATTTGCTGTCTGGTTATGGCTGTACTCCACCCAGCAGGGGAGGACGGAGAGTGGAGAAGCCCGGGGCACTGGGGGCACGCAGAGCAGGCAGTGGGCACCCGCTGCACACGTGACCAGCGTGTGCTGCTGCCTTCCACACACGTCCAAGTCCGAGGCCACAGGCTGGTGGGAGGAAGTCCCCTGCCCTGCACCAGCTGGAAGGACCCGAACGTGAATCCCTGGATGTCTGACTCAGTGACCATGGGTAGTGCACACCATGGCTCTGGTCTCAGCTTCCTCCTCCTGCCTGCCACACAGCATCATGTGGTTCCAAGAAGATAATGAGCACGAAGACACATGGTGAGAATGGACCTGGCCGTCCCT